>NC_000008.11:5803416-6105701 GCF_000001405.40 Homo sapiens | reverse complement strand
GTGATGGTGAGCACTTATAGTCCCAGCTACTCTGGAGGCTGAGGCAGGAGAATCACTTGAACCGGGGAAGCAGAGGTTGCAGTGAGCAGAGATCACGCCACTGCATTCCAACCTGGGTGACAGAGCAAGACTCCATCTCAAAAAAAAAAAAAATATGTATATATATATATATATATATATATATATATATATATATATATACATGTGAGCAAGAAATGAACTTCTGCTGTGCTTGAGCCATCATATCTTTTGAGGTTGGCTTGCTACAGCATTATTTACTTATTTATCTATTTATTTATTTATTTTTGAGATGGAGTCTTGCTCTGTTGTCCAAGCTGGAGTGCATTGGTGTGATTTCGGCTCACTGCAACTTCCGTCTCCCCAGTTCAAGTGATTCTCCTGCCTCAGCTTCCTGAAGTAGCTGGGATTACGGGTGCCTGCCACCTTGCCTGGCTAATTTTTGTATTTTTAGTAGAGACGGGGTTTCACCATGTTGGCCAGGCTGGTCTTGAACTCCTGACCTCAGATGATCCACCCTCCTTGGCCTCCCCACAGCATTATTTTAACCCATCCACGACCTCCTAAGGCTATTCTGAGGATGCCATAGGTGAAAGTATGCACAGTGCTGAGAGGAGAGCTTAGTAAATAGTATGCAAACTCCTAGAGAATATTTGTAATTATCAAGAGTTAGTGATATAGGAGCTCTCAGTCCAAACAGATACATAAAGTTGATTAGACCAAGTGCAAAACAGGACCTCAATGTATCTCATTTGTGTGTGTGTTTTAGATATGACTTGAGGTCATATCTAAAATCTCACTAGGATTTATACCTTTTCTGAGTCAATTCTGAATAAACCAAATTACATGTGGCTACAGGTATTACCTAATACATTGTGTGTGTATCTTGCTCTTCTTTGGATAGGAGGGTGGGTAGTATAAAGGCTATAATTGCAGACTTTGGATACCAGTTACTTTGCCTTCAATTCTTACACCTCCTACTGGCTGCAAAGCTGTGTGTCACTGTCCACTGGTGACCCCACTCTCTGCTTCGGATCCCTGAAGAAGGTAATAATAGTATCTCTTTCTTCCTTCCTTCCTTCCTTCCTTCCTTCCTTCCTTCCTTCCTTCTTCCCTCCCTCCTTTCTTTCTTTCTTTTTCTTTCTTTCTTTTTCTTTCTTTCTCTCTTCTTTCTTTCTTTTTCTTTCTTTCTTTCTCTCTTTCTTTCTTTCTCTTTCTTTCTTTCTCTTTCTTTCTTTCTTTCTTTCTTTCTTTCTTTCTTTCTTTCTTTCTTTCTTTCTCTTTTCCTTCCTTCTTTCTTTCCCTCCCTTCCTTCCTTCATTCATTCCTTCCTTCCTTCCCTTTCTTCCCTTCCTTCCCCCCCCCCTCCCCTCTCCTCCCCTCCCCTCCCCTCCCTTCCCTTCCTCTCCCCTCCTCTCCATTCCCATCCCCTCCCCTTCCCTTCTTTTTTCAGGGTCTCATTCTGTCTCCCAAGCTGGAGTGCGGTGGCGCAGTCTCAGTTCACTACAACCTCCACCTCCCGGGTTCAAGCAATTCTTGTGCCTTAGCCTTCTGAGTAGCTGGGATTACAGACACCTGCCACCATGTCTGGCTAATTTTTTTATTTTTAGTAGAGACAGGGTTTCACCACGTTGATCAGGGTGGTCTCGAATTCCTAGTCTCAGGTGATCCACCTGCCTCTGCCTCCCAGAGTGTTGGGATTACAGGTGTGAGCCACTGCGCCTGGTCAATAGTATCCATTTCATTAGCCAGGTGAGACTAAATGGAATGAATACCTGTAACCCGGCTAGAACAATGCCTGACACAGTCACAGCCCAGTAAATGTCTGTGGTGATTTCAGCACCTGAATGGGATTCCTTGTTTACCCTTGTTTACCTTGTTTACCTTGTTTTGCCCTTATCTCAGAGTATAATTTCCACATCTTCCTTAAGTCTTTCCTTCCAGGTAAACCCTCTTTCCCCTTTCTTCGTGGTGGTCTCTATCACCTCAATTTCAAACACCTTTCTGAGTTATTTGCAAAATGGCCTCCTGTTTTCTGGGTGTTTCTAGCTGTGGAAATAGAATTGAGACATTTAAGAACCTGATTTCACTTGCTCAGTCTTAAAAATCAATGTTCAAGTCTTGGCATGTAGTGAAGGCTTAACATGGTTTTTTCACATCACCACAGGTGCAAAAGTTTGAACATCACAATGAAAAACATTAAAAAAAAAAGATCACTGTAAATCTAAAGCTTCTTGTTCCCAGACACCCATCTCGTTTCCAAGAAAGCCTCAGCCACAGGTTCCATTTCATTTGATTTTCCCATAGGCAAGCTTGCGCATGGCTGCTGGGGGCCGTGCCTCGCGTGGCTGTCATAGCGGGAAGGCTTCCATCCTTAGGAGGCATGCACTCAACAGAATTCTGTAAGGGAAGGATTGTTTTTATGTACAACTCTGATACCATGATTGTTTTCTTGTGCCTAGAGAGCAATGTGGCTATATATTAACTTATACCCTGGGGGCTGCAACCCTTTCCAGCCCCTTCAAGTAGCCTCTTTGGGCTACTAACACTGGCAGTTCCAAGGGCCTTTCCAGCAAACAGAGCTCTCTAACAAGGCAATGCACAGAGCAGTTCTGCTTTGCTTGTGTTTCCCCTTATTTTACATTCCTCTATCTTCTATGGCATAAACAAGAGGTAGTTTATGTTTATAAATTGCTATGATTTGAATGTGTCCCCTCCAAAATTCACACGTTGAAACATAATGGCCAATGCGATAGTTTTAAGAGGTGGGGCCTTTAAAAGACGATGAGTTCATGAGGGCCTCTCCTTCCTGAATGGAGTTAAGGTTTTCATAAAAGAGGCTCACGTGGCATTGGGCCTTTTCCCCTTCAGTCCCTTCCTCCAGGTGAGGAGGCAGCATCCCTTCCCTCTGGAGGACGCAGCAACAAGACAGCATCTTGGAGGGAGAGATGGGCCCTCACCAGACAATGAACCTATCAAGGCCTTGATCTTGGACTCCCAGCTTTCGGAACTGTGAGAGATGTGTTTCTCTTCTTTACAAATTACCCAGTTTCGGCCGGGTGTGGTGGCTCATGCCTGTAACCCCAGCACTTTGGGAGGCTGAGGTGGGCAGATCATGAGGTGAAGAGATTGAGACCATCCTGGCCAACATGGTGAAACCCTGTCTCTACTAAAAATACAAAAATTAGCCAGGCATGGTGGCGCGCACCTGTAGTCCCAGCTACTCGGGAGGCTGAGGCAGGAGAATCACTTGAACCCGGGAGAAGGAGGTTGCAGTGAGCTGAGATCGTGCTACTGCACTCCAGTCTGGCGACAGAGGGAGACTCCATCTCGAAAACAAACAAATTACCCAGTTTCAGGTTTTTGTTACTGTTGCACAAACAGCAAGGCATAAATACTGTACTTACAAGAAATCAAAGAGAAAAGTTCCCTAATTACCTGAGGTTGGGTCAGACCCTTGACTGCATACAAGGTATCACCAACATTGATTTATAGCCGCCTGAGTCCCCTTCCCTGGGTGCGATCACGGAGGCAGAGAATCAGGGTTTTCATCTTTGCTCCCCAGGGTCCACCACAGCACTAGGCATGGAGCAGGTGGTGAAGTCCCTGATATGGTTTGACTGTGTCCCCACCCAAATCTCGTCTTGAACTGTAGCTCCCACAATTCCCACGTGTTGTGGGAGGGACCAGGTGGGAGGTAATTGAATCATGGGGGCAGGTCTTCCCCATGGTGTTCTTGTGATAGTGAGTAAGTCTCCTGAGATCTGATGGTTTTATAAAGGGGAGTTTCCCTGCACAAGTTCTCTCTTGCCTGCAAACAAGAAAGATGTACCTTTACTTTCTGCCAGGATGATAAGGCCTCCCCAGCTACTTGGAACTGAGAATCCATTAAAGCTCTTTTTCTTTATAAATTACCCAGTCTGGGGTGTGTCTTTATCAGCAGCATCAAAACAGACTAATACAGTCCCTAGCAGAAGGCATCAGTCAGGGAAAAGGCAGAAGTATTTATTACCATCTGACTGGGGCCCAGAAAGTTTTGATTCCCAGAGTCTCTGAGAATGGTCAAAATGAAGCATCAGAAAAAGTAAAAAACATTTGATGACAAGAAGTCATGAAATAGAACTGATGATGTGAGTTTAAATGGCAAAAGTTATAGTAAGCAAATATTTTAGAATGAGTTCCCTCTTTTTTTCTGATGTTTCCCGTGTTGTTTGACATTGTGAAAGCTCCTAAGAGCCGGTGAGAATTTCTTTTGTTGTCCCGTTAGTCTTATGTTGTGCTAATAAATGATCAAAACTAAGAAATACTGAAATCCCTTAATTAAAGAAGTGGTAATTCAATTGCATGAAACCATGTAATGTAAGTAGAATAAATACATTCGTAATTATTATCTGATTCAGCCATTATTTAAATTAGTAAGTCAAGCATGTTCATTTTATGTGCTTAGTAATTCACCTTTTAGTTTATGAAGTGTAAAAGTAATTATTATTTTTTGTCCTGGTTTCTTTATTGTTTAAAGTAGAGAGTGATGAATGAGGAATATGTCCTAAACATTTAGAAAAATTGTGAATCAGAATTGACTCTGCACTATGAAAATGCCTAATGGCAAGGTCTCTCATTTGTTGAATTATTCCTATGTATTTTATTAACATTCTACCATAATATTGTAAGCTGGGCATTATTACCTTCATTTTACACTCAAGAATTCTAGGTTTTGATACATAATTTGTCCAAGACCATGCAGAGACAGAGAGGTAGAGTTAAAAGTGGAACACAGTCCTGCTAGATGCTAAAGCAAATTTTTCTAACTTTGATGAAAAGTACGAAATATCAAGGTTGGTCTTCTAATGGCTCTTTTTTCTTTTCTTTGTTCTCTTGAAAGTGATTTACCTAATTATCTTTCTCTGCCCTTCTCATGCCAAGCTATCCAGCCAATCTTCTTTCCTATTTTTCCCCAATTTATGTCTTTCCCAACTTTTAAGAAATAGCTTAAAGTTCTCTTTTTCTATGAACCTTTCAATGATCATGTCAGAGACTGGCTCAAAGTCTGCCATGGCTGCTGTTTCTTTCTCTAGGCACACAGCTACAGGACTTGGTCAGTGTCCCTTACAGTTAGATGAGACCACGTGCTGAACTCTAGCCATGGAGTGTGGCCCGGTTGATTCAGGCTGCATCCAGGCCTGAGCTGTAACACACTTCCAAATGTACTCCTCCTGCTGTTTCCTATTCCAGGAGGGGGATGAAGAACACTCTCAGGACCTTACTCTAAGAGTAAGGTAGAGCTGGGAGCTGCAAGGAGCCTGGTTCCTCAGTCACTTCATGGAGCAGAGAGCCTCCTCGCTACCTGTGCTGAACTGTAAGTGGGCACAAAAAAATCTTTTTTAGGTGTTGAGCTTGTTTGTTAAAGGATTTAGCATACTTGATTATTATGATTAATGTTATTTCTTATTTACTTCTTTATATCCTGTAATCAGACATAATAGATTGTTGGCAAACTTACTTTATGTTTATCATTTTTACTATATATTAATTTAAAAATATTGTATAAATGTTATAGAAAATTTAGGAATTAATACAAAGTAGGAAGAGAAGAAACAAATATGAACAATTCCTGCCACTATATTGCTATATTTCTTTTTAGGTCTTCCTTTTTTCTTTCTTCAAGGATTTTTTTCTTTTCATGTAGTTGATAGCTTACTGGATAGACAATTTTGTACCTTTATCTTTTGTATTTTATATAATGGTATACTGTTTTCCATGGTGTTAAAAATTACACACTGTTTCATTCTTTAGATGTAACAATATTTATTTAACTCTCCTCTGATCAGTGGTGATTTCTTCACAATTAAAAAGTAGTGCAGTGACATTGTCTTCATCCACAATGCTCTTTCTGTAAGGAAATAACTTTAATAAAATTACTTGTTTTTTACAAACATGCATTTCTCTTTCAGTTCTTTTACCAGGGTGTTATAAAGAGCTCCCTCTTACAGTGGAGGGTCCAGCAGAGGCCCTGTGACCAGATAGCTTGGATGTGCATTGAGACAAGCGTGGCACCAGAGGATGTTAAAAGTTCCTGCCAATTTCTGTGGTTTTAGTAGGGGCCACATTTTTAAATTATTATTAATTAAACAATTTCTTAACAAAATCGTAAGTCCTATCCAGGCAGAGATAACTATGTTGTTAAGTGACCAGATATAGCCAAGTACAAAGTGTTTTGTCCTACTTAAAATAAATATTTATTTTTTAAACAGGTAATATGTTAACCTGGGTTAGTGTTCAAAAGATAGAAAAAATATAGTAAAAATTATCTTTATTACTCTTGTTTCTAGTCACTCCATTTATTTTCCAAGAGGCAAGTAAAAATTTCAGTTTCTTGGGTATCTTTTCAAATAATTTATTTGTATATACAATGAAACACACATTTATTGCTTTATTATTTTTCATATAGATGGTAGCTTGTCATAAACTTTGCCAAGTAAACTAGCTTGCAAATGCTAGTAAATCTTGGAAGATATTCTATGTGAGTTCACCCAGAGCCTTCCTTGTGGAAACTGATTCCACAGTTTTATTGCAGTCCGTTGTATGGGTATACCATAATTTAATGAACGGATCTCTATTGATGCTTCCAAACTACTTTTGTTTTGAAGTTACAAACAAGCTTCAGTGAATAACCTTAGCTATGGTAATATTGTAGTTGTGCAAGTTTTTCTGTACAACAAATTTCTAGAAGCAGAATTTCTCCCTCAATGGGTATATCAGTTTGCTATTTATGCATAAACAGCTACCTCAAAACTTGACGACTTAAAACAATAAGGACTTAGTGTTTATTATTAATAAATCTATAGGTCTGTAGATTTATTTACAGGGTGGTTCTGCAGATATGGGCAAAGCTTCATTGAGATTGGCTGGGCTTGGTCGGTCCCTACAGGCAACTGATAAATTGGCTTGGGATTGGCAAGTCTAAGATGTTCTCTCCCATACATCTGGTGGTTGGTTGGTTGGGTGTCTGTTGGCTGGAAAGACAGAGATAACTGGACTATGTGCTGATCATCCTCTAGCAGGCTAGTTGGGGCTTGTTCATACAGAGAAGGCAGGGTCCAGAGAGAGCAGAAGCACCCAGGACATCTTGAGATCCAGCCGCAAAACTGGAACACCACTGCCTTCCACTAGCCAGAGATAATCACAAGACCAGCCCAGATTCAAGAGGAGGGGAAATAGATTCCATCTTAAAGGCAGTCACACAATAGGACTCACACTGTATTCATGCAGTGTCCACTTATTGATATAAGAGCTAAAAGGAAATTATTTAGGCAGATAGTGAGGGTAAGAGAGTCCTTGGCAGAATTTCCCATTTAACAAAAGGCAGCCCCCAAATCATTTCTTTTCTAACAAAAAGCAGCCTGAAAAATTGGGTTGCAAACATAGATAAGCAAGCTGGAAACTTGAACGTGTGAATGCTGACATCTGTGCCACGGGTTACCTGGAAGCCAGGTATGTTCAACATGGAGGCTCCATCTTCTCTTTTCTTTGTCACCATGAGAACAGTGAAAGAGTGGGCAACATGGCAGTAGAGAACCCATCTGCATAATAAAAGATTAGGGTGCGGCCACAAGTTTCTTTACATGCTATGCAAATGGCACACCTGGCCCAACCAATCTCTTGTGTCCTATGTAAATCAGACACTGCCTCCTCAAGCTCATCTATAAAAACTCCTGCACTTCACCATGGACCAGAAGACCCACTTGGAGCCCCTCTCTTTCTGCAGGAGAGAGAGCTTTTCTCTTTCTTTCGTCTATTAAACCTCTACTTAACCTCACTCCTTGTGTGTCCACATCCTTTATATCCTTGGCATGAGGCAATGAACCTCAGATATTACCTCAGATGAATGACAGTGTTTCATTATGATATGGTTTGGCTCTGTGTCCCCACCCAAATCTCATTTTGAATTGAAATCCCCAAGTGTTGAAGGAAGGACCTGGTGGGGGGTAATTGGATCATGGGGGACATTCCCCTCCCATGATAGTGATAGTTGGTGAGTTTTCACGAGATCTGATGGTTTAAAAGTGTGTGGCAGTTTCCCCCCTCGGTCTCTCTCTCCTCTCTCTTTCTCCCTTCCCTGCCACCACGTAAGACGTGCCTTGCTTCCCCATCACCTTTCACTGTGATTGTGACTTTCCTGAGGCCTCTCCAGCCATGTGGAAGTGTGAGTCAGTTAAACCTCTTTTTTTAATAAATTACCCAGTCTGGGGTAGTTCTTTATAGCAGTGAGAAAATGGACTAATGCACCTCACAGAGGGATGAGGGCAGGAAAGGCTGAAGTACTGTGGCCATTCTTCCCAAGCAATCACCATATGCAAGTGCACTTAAAATGTTGACAGACGTGTCGAAATTGCCTTCGAAAAATTTACCGATGTATGCTGCCACCAGCAGTGCTTGAGGATACCTCTTTCCTTACAGCTTCGCTAACAGAGCATGTTACCATATTTTTGGATTTTTGCCAATTTGATAAATGAAAATGTAATCTTGGTTAAATTTTAATTTTTTTCAATTATTTTTGTGTTAATGATGGAAAATTTATTTGTATATTTAGAATGGATTTGTCTTGTCTTTCCCGTGCATTGTTGGTCCAGATTCCTGTATTTTGGCCTCTCTAAGAAGCCCCATGTAAGGCCCAAGGGGAGGAGAGAAACTGGGGATGTCAGGGATGGAGTGGGATATAAGGCAAGAAAGGAGACTGAGGTCAGATGATGGGCACCGGTAATTGTCATTTTGAGAAATCTGGATTTGAATCTACGAAGCAAGGAGGAAACATTGAGTTTTGCAGCCAGAGAAGTGACACAATCAGAACTGAGCTGTGTTCTAGAAAAATAACTGTCCAGAGGGTGCAGAGGGCTGGGTAGTAGAAGATGTCAGAGCGTGATTATGGCAGTGACCCAGGTGAGGGTCTCAGGCCTCCACCGGGGCATCGTGAGGACATGGCCAGGAGGGGACCTTGGGGCAGTATTGCAGAGGCAGCATGAGCAAGAGAGACAGATGGCTAGACACTGTGATGGTTGAGCCAGGAGGCTGCAGCATGGGGCTGTTACTAACTCATGTAATGAGAGAGTAAAGCAAGGGCTTACTTGGCAAGAGAGTGAGCTGGTTTTCATTCACCCCATTGAATTAAATGTGCTACTGAGGCATCACTAAGCAGATATCGAGAAGGCTGTTTAATGTTTGAGATTGCAGGCTCAGGAGCAAGGTCAGGGCTGGATATAAACATTTGAGAGTCATCCATGTAAGAGTGCTAAAGTTACCAAGGAAGAGTGCTTATGAATTAAGAACCCAGGACAGAAACTAGCAAAGGACATATTTTAATGGACAAATGTAGGAAAAGAAAACAGTAAAAAATGTTGAGAAGTAGGTCGTGATTGCTGAAGCTCTTGGCAGCTGTAAAATCCAGCGATTCTCTGGACAATAATAAATACATCAGCTTGTCCCACAGGTGGTCTGACCACATGAAACTTTGTTTCAACTTGAGCTGTCACTTGTTTCCTGATTTTCCTAGTCGTCTAGCTAGAGCTCCTTTCATTCCAGCAGTCAGCTTCTGGGGCATATGTTGTGTGTCAGCAGTTCGTCCCACTAGTATTCAATTTGACCATGAAGCAGCTAACAGCATTAAAGTGCAGCCAGCACAACCCCATTGCTGCTGGATTCATTGTCCTCCAGAAGCATATTGTGGGTGAATTTGTTTTTCTATTTGCTATTAAGTTTGGCTCATAGGGAACTCTGACAAAATGGTCTCTAAACTGAATTTGACATCAGCGACTAGTCCAAATTCTGCATCTCCTCAGTAGGTCGGATACTTTGTTTGATCTGATTTAGAATGCTGAGTCAAGCATACCATTCTCCCTAACCTTCTGAAAGTTGTGATTCTCTGTGGTTTTTTGTTTTAATCAATAGTAACAGGGACCTAATCGATAGAGAGGGTACAAGCTGTTCTCTGCCAGTGAAGAATTCAGATGCACAAATATGTTTTGATTTTGTAAGTGGCTCTAAGGTGGTATTGCATTGATTCACCATTGAAACTGCTTGGTTATTTTCCAAACACCAAGAGGAAACAATTTGATTAAATCAAACCTCCACGTTTAATCCATTTGAAACCTAATGCCTATTAAGGAGATGGAAGGAGGAGGTGGGAAACTTCTGGAGTGTTTCTGATGTAAAAACTAAAGCATGTTTTAAAATTCCTCATAAGAAGTCTCTAAAAACAATTTAGATACAAGAGTTAGCAGGTAGAGGAAAAGTCATAGTTTTGGATAGCTCTTGGGAAACCTAGAAGTAAAAGTTAGAAAGCTACTTGGCACTGTTTTCTTATGAACAGTGCATTTGCACTTGAAAAGCAGATGGCTTGCAGATGAGGTATTTGCAGTGTACTTAATAAGCTCCACTCAATATGTTGCAGGATGTTATAGGGTAAGTCAGCGAAGAAAAGCCTTCTCCTCTAGAAATAGTTAGACACTGTTTTCTTTAGGCTTCAGGTAGATTATAATGATATAGATTGTGCCCGTGCTCTCAAGCTAGGTCTCTATTAATTGAACCTGACGCCTGCTGCTATAGAACAACCAGTTACAACAAAGCCAGTTTTTTATCCTTCTGATACTGTTCAATAGGTGATGCTTCCAAACCAGAAACAACATTCTTCTCACTAAAATACTTTGAGCCAAGGAATTGCAGCACCGAAGTTTCAAAATGCAAAAATGCACTGTTTGAGAAGCATTTCATGTTTTTTCTCCTTAGAGATAAATGGTAGATAATTTTCTCTGTAACTGTAATCCATCTATAAGCACTGGGTTCTTACTCAGACTGGAAGGAAGTGGTCAGTCTTAAATCCTCTGTTTGAGTGGAAAGTCACTTTCCAAGTACTTGTAGAAAAGGATGACATGGGCCAGGCGCAGTGGCTCACACCTGTAATCCCAGAGCTCTGGGAGGCTGAGGCAGGTGGATAACCTGAGGTTGGGAGTTCAAGACCAGCCTGACCAACATGGAGAAACCCTGTCTCTACTAAAAAAACAAAATTAGCGTGGCAAGGTGGTGCATGCATGTAATCCCAGCTACTCAGGAGGCTGAGGCAGGAGAATCGCTGGAGGCCTCAGAGGCAGAGGTTGCGTTGAGCCAAGATCGTGCCATTGCACTCCAGCCTGGGCAACAAGAGTGAGACTCCATCTCAAAAAAAGAAAAAAAAAAAAAAAAAGAAAAGGATGATATGGTGACCACTTATGCTTATGCTCCATTTTTTTTTTTTTAGGCGTACAGCTGCTAATTATCTTTCTGTAAATGCAATAAACAGAATACATTTTTAATTAATACAACCTCATATGTGTATATTTATTGTAGTTTCTTTTACTAATAAGATTCTAGAATATATTGTGGGGATCCTTAAAAAAAATCTCCTGGTGGGCGTGAAATTTACCTAGCACCAGTACTGATTATTTTCTTTTTTGAGGATTAGAAAACTTAATATGTAATCCATTGTCCTTACTCAAAAAATCCTAAAGTTCACTGCACCACCTTCTTGTAACATGTCTCTATGCTTGGACTTTGTCTATTTTATGGATTCTGAGAGTTCACTTATTGAATATATTTGTCTTTGTTTGAGGTGTAATAGTATTCCTGTAGCAGATTTTGCTTAGGCAGAATCTGAGGGGATTCATCTCTGGGGAGGCTATGGGAGGATGTAACCAACATCTTAATCTCTGTCCTGTGGAAAACAGTTAGAGAATACCTCTTCCTCTGTGATGGAAAGGACCTACCCCTTTCCTGAAGAGGCCACACTGACACTGTGGAGACACTTCTCGGCCATTCATCCCCAGCATAAGCAGAGACAGTCAAATTTGCCCAACTTTAGGGGCAGAAATGAAAGCATTTTATGTTATACAGCTAAATATTGTTTGAACATAACATTTAACAGGGAATAAATGGGTGTAGGAAACCTTCAAAGGGGCTTTGCTCCTTGGTCACGCTGTCTATCTCATTATTTAGAAATATTTGATATGATCTGGTCAGAGATGGGAGTAACAAACTATAAGAGCTAGAGAGAGCCTAGAAGCAGGAGATTTAATATTTCATTTCGACACTTGCAGAAACAGAGCAACAGATTCAATTTTTTTTTCCCTCCTTGACATTTAGGGAAACAGAGGAGGAAGACCCTGCCCAGAATTGCTTAGCCTTGAGTTAATTAACTAGTTAAATAATTTTATAATAGAATGCAAGTTTTCAGTCTCTGTACACATAGTCCTCTTCCTTTTGCTTGTGTCTGACATCATATTTCAAAATTCTTCAGCTCCAGCTTACCTTGAAATGATGGAACATCTGAGGAAACGTTATCTGTGTTTGGGCTTTGAATTTCACTGTCTTTTGTACAGCTGATGATTCAAGCCTTGCCTAGTGTCCCTAACACTCCCAAATTGTTCTCAGCAACAAAGCACATGTTCGCAGCAAAGCCAACCAGATCTAGGCACACCAGCTGAAGGGTTATGCCAGATTCCTGCACAGGTCATTTATTTGTTGCCATTAGCAAGATATGAATTAGACACTGAACTAGATGAAGATTCACATTATTTATGATAACTGTCAACAGTAGATGCAAAAAGATGCCAACAGCTGTCATAAGAAGTGGAGCAGCACTGGAGTTCAGTACTATACTAAGGTTGGCCCTACCCTCTGGGACAGCCTTCACCAGCTCAACGGCATGGTAACTTTTTCTCGTCCAAACAGAAACAAAACAAGGATCATTAACCTCCTGTCTGTAAAATCTCAGGCTTTTTAGGAACTAGAAGTTGGAACATGCTTTAGATAATTTCAATTGAACAAATATTAACCATTCACTATATGCCCAGGGCTGTACAAAGCTCTATGGGGTATAGAAATGAATATGGCAATGTCTCAGGTCTCAGGAGTTTACAGTAACTGGGCTGAAAAGGGACCACATATTATTATAATATAAAGGAAAAATAAAGTAATTTTCTTTGGAGACTTTTTAAAAGTACCAAAACACCATAGTGCAATGACTTGAATTCAGAACCTTACAGACACTTGCTCAATTTCTAAAATTTGTCAATTGCTATCAGTAAGAACTTGGGTAAGACCCTTAACATTTCATGTACTGTTTGCTGCTTTAAAAAACCACCATAGGGTTGTTGTACAGAAGAAATAACATTGCTTATGTAAAATGCCTGTTATACTGCCAGACACGTTAGCAGACATTGAGAAGAGGGAGATACAAAGTCTGATAGAAAAATGGGTTGAGTCAGAAAGAAGCTTCATTATTTTACTTTTGAAGTATAAGCAGAGAATGGCAGATAGAGAAGCAGCATTAGATTAACCATAAAGATTTAAGGAGCATTCAAACATAGTTGGGCGCTGGATGTGGGGGGTGAAGGTAGATTTTTGTTGTTGTTGTGGTTTTTAGAGACAAGGTCTCACTTTGTCACCCAGGCTGGAGAGCAGTGGTACAACTGTGGCTCCCTGCAGGCTTAACCTCCTGGGCTCGAACGATCTTCCCACCTCAGCCTCCCAAATAGCTGACACTACAGGTGTGCACCACTACAATCAGCTAATATTTTTATCTTTGTAGAGATGGGATTCTGCTGTATTGCCCAGGCTGGTCTTAAACTCCTGGGCTCAAGCTATCCTCCTGCCTTTGCCTACCAAAGTCCTGGGATAGCAGTCATGAGCCACTGCATCTGGCCAGGGTGAGAATATTTTTGGAGAGCTTTGAAAGCGGATAGAAAAGACGGAGTTTGCCGATCTACAGCTGCCAGCATGAGCGACGCAGAAGACAGGTGATTTCTGCATTTCCATCTGAGGTACCAGGTTCATCTCCCTAGGGAGTGCCAGACAGCGGGTGCAGGACAGTGCGTGCAGCGCACCGTGCGTGAGCCGAAGCAGGGCGAGGCATTGCCTCACTCGGGAAGTGCAAGGGGTCAGGGAGTTCCCTTCCTAGTCAAAGAAAGGGGTGACAGACGGCACCTGGAAAATCGGGTCACTCCCACCCTAATACTGTGCTTTTCCAACAGGCTTAAAAAACGGCGCACTAGGAGATTATATCCCGCACCTGGCTCAGAGGGTCCTGCGCCCACAGAGTCTCCCTGATTGCTAGCCCAGCAGTCTGAGATCAAACTGCAAGGTGGCAGCGAGGCTGGGGGAGGGGCGCCTGCCATTGCCCAGGCTTGATTAGGCAAACAAAGCAACCGGGAAGCTTGAAGTGGGTGGAGCCCACCACAGCTGAGGAGGCCTGCCTGCCTCTGTAGGCTCCACTTCTGGGGGCAGGGCACAGACAAACAAAAGGACAGTAGTAACCTCTGCAGACTTAAATGTCCCTGTCTGACAGCTTTGAAGAGAGTAGTGGTTCTCCCAGCACACAGCTGGAGATCTGAGAATGGGCAGACTGCCTCCTCAAGTGGGTCCTTGACCCCCGAGCAGCCTAACTGGGAGGCACCCCCAAGTAGGGGCAGACTGACACCTCACACGGCCGAGTACTCCTCTGAGACAAAACTTCCAGAGGAACGATCAGGCAGCAGCATTTGCGGTTCACCAAGATCCGCTGTTCTACAGCCACCGCTGTTCTGCAGCCACCGCTGCTGATACCCAGACAAATGGTCTGGAGTGGACCTCTAGCAAACTCCAACAGACCGGCAGCTGAGGGTCCTCTCTGTTAGAAGGAAAGCTAACAAACAGAAAGGACATCCACACCAAACACCCTTCTGTACGTCACCATCATGAAAGACCAAAGGTAGATAAAGCCACAAAGATGGGGAAAAAACAGAGCAGAGAAACTGGAAACTCTAAAAAGCAGAGCGCTTCTCCTCCTCCAAAGGAACACAGCTCCTCACCAGCAATGGAACAAAGCTGGATGGAGAATGGCTTTGACGAGCTGAGAGAAGAAGGCTTCAGATGATCAAACTACTCTGAGCTACAGGAGGAAATTAAAACCAATGGCAAAGAAGTTAAAAACTTGAAAAAAAATTAGACAAATGGATAACTAGAATAACCAAGGCAGAGAAGTCCTTAAAGGAGCTGATGGAGCTGAAAGCCAAGGCTGGAGAACTATGTGAAGAATGCAGAAGCCTGAGGAGCTGATGCGATCAACTGGAAGAAAGGGTGTCAGTGATGGAAGATGAAATGAATGAAATGAAGTGAGAAGGGAAGTTTAGAGAAAAAAGAATAAAAAGAAATGAACAAAGCCTCCAAGAAATATGGGACTATGTGAAAAGACCAATTCTATGTCTGATTGGTGTACCTGAAAGTGACGGAGAGAATGGAACCAAGTTGGAAAACACTCTGTAGGATATTATCCAGGAGAACTTCCCCAATCTAGCAAGGCAGGCAAACATTCAGATTCAGGAAATACAGAGAACGCCACAAAGCTACTCCTCGAGAAGAGCAACTCCAAGACACATAATTGTCAGTTTCACCAAAGTTGAAATGAAAGAAAAAATGTTAAGGGCAGCCAGAGAGAAAGGTTGGGTTGCCCACAAAGGGAAGCCCATCAGAGTAACAGCGGATCTCTCAGCAGAAACTCTACCAGCCAGGAGACATTGGGGGACAATATTCAACATTCTTAAAGAAAAGAATTTTCAACCCAGAATTTCATATCCAGCCAAACTAAGCTTCATAAGTGAAGGAGAAATAAAATGCTTTACAGACAAGCAAATGCTGAGAGATTTTGTCACCACCAGGCCTGCCCTAAAAGAGCTCCTGAAGGAAACACTAAACATGGAAAGGAACAACTGGTACCAGCCACAGCAATCACATGCCAAAATGTAAAGACCATCAAGGCTAGGAAGAAAACTGCATCAACTGACGAGCAAAATAACCAGCTAACATCATAATGACAGGACCAAATTCACACATAACAATATTAACTTTAAATGTAAATGGGCTAAATGCTCCAATTAAAAGACACAGACTGGCAAATTGGATAAAGAGTCAAGAACCATCGGTGTGCTGTATTCAGGAAACCCATCTCATGTGCAGAGACACACATAGGCTCAAAATAAAGGGATGGAGGAAGATCTACCAAGCAAATAGAAAATAAAAAAAGGCAGGGGTTGCAATCCTAGTCTCTGATAAAACAGACTTTAAGCCAACAAAGATCAAAAGAGACAAACAAGGCCATTACATAATGGTAAAGGGATCAATTCGACAAGAAGAGCTAACTATCCTAAATATATATGCATCCAATACAGGAGCACCAAGATTCATAAAGCAAGTCCTTAGTGACCTACAAAGAGACTTAGACTCCCACACAATAATAATGGGGGACTTTAACACCCCACTGTCAACATTAGACAGATCAACGAGACAGAAAGTTAACAAGGATACCCAGGAATTGAACTCAGCTCTGCACCAAGCGGACCTAATAGACATCTACAGAACTCTCCACCCCAAATCAACAGAATATACATTGTTTTCAGCACCACACCACACCTATTCCAAAATTGACCACACAGTTGGAAGTAAAGCACTCCTTAGCAAATGTAAGAGAACAGAAATTATAACAAACTGTCTCTCAGACCACAGTGTAATCAAACTAGAACTCAGGACTAAGAAACTCACTCAAAACCGCTCAACTACATGGAAACTGAACAACCTGCTCCTGAATGACTACTGGGTACATAACGAAATGAAGGCAGAAATAAAGATGTTCTTTGAAACCAACGAGCAAAGACACAACATACCAGAATCTCTGGGACACATTCAAAGCAGTGTGTAGAGGGAAATTTATAGCACTAAATGCCCACAAGAGAAAGCAGGAAAGATCCAAAATCGACACCCTAATGTCACAATTAAAAGAACTAGAAAAGCAAGAGCAAACACATTCAAAAGCTAGCAGGAGGCAAGAAATAACTAAAATCAGAGCAGAACTGAAGGAAATACAGACACAAAAAACCCCTCAAAAAATTAATGAATCCAGGAGCTGGTTTTTTGAAAAGATCAACAAAATTGATAGACCGCTAGCAAGACTAATAAAGAAGAAAAGAGAGAAGAATCAGATAGACACAATAAGAAATGATAAAGGGGATATCACCACCAGTCCCATAGAAATACAAACTACCATCAGAGAATACTACAAACACCTCTACACAAATAAACTAGAAAATCTAGAAGAAATGGATAAATTCCTTGACCCATACACCCTCCCAAGACTAAACCAGGAAGAAGTTGAATCTCTGAATAGATCAATAACAGGTTCTCAAATGTGGCAATAATCAATAGCTTACCAACCAAAAAAAAGTCCAGAACCAGACGGATTCACAGCCAAATTCCACCAGAGGTACAAGGAGGAACTGGTACCATTCCTTCTGAAACTATTCCAATCAATAGAAAAAGAGGGAATCCTCCCTAACTCATTTTATGAGGCTAGCATCATCCTGATACCAAAGCCTAGCAGAGACACAACCAAAAAAGAGAATTTTAGACCAATATCCTTGATGAACATTGATGCAAAAATCCTCAATAAAATACTGGCAAACCGAATCCAGCAGCACATCAAAAAGCTTATTCACCATGATC
Source organism: Homo sapiens (assembly GCF_000001405.40). Taxonomy (NCBI): domain Eukaryota; kingdom Metazoa; phylum Chordata; class Mammalia; order Primates; family Hominidae; genus Homo; species Homo sapiens. The sequence continues at coordinate 6,088,127 of NC_000008.11, read as the reverse complement.
AAGTGGGCTTCATCCCTGGGATGCAAGGCTGGTTCAACATATGCAAATCAATAAATGTAATCCAGCATATAAACAGAACTAAAGACAAAAACCACATGATTATCTCAATAGATGCAGAAAAGGCCTTTGACAAAATTCAACAACCCTTCATGCTAAAGACTCTCAATAAATTAGGTATTGATGGGACGTATCTCAAAATAATAAGAGCTATCTATGACAAACCCACAGCCAATATCATACTGAATGGACAAAAACTGGGAGCATTCCCTTTGAAAACTGGTACAGGACAGGGATGCCCTCTCTCACCACTCCTATTGAACATAGTGTTGGAAGTTCTGGCCAGGGCAATTAGGCAGGAGGTGGAAATAAAGCGTATTCAATTAGGAAAAGAGGAAGTCAAATTGTCCCTGTTTGCAGATGAGATGATTATACATGTAGAAAACCCCATCGTCTCAGCCCAAAATCTCCTTAAGCTGATAAGCAACTTCAGCAAATTCTCAGGATACAAAATCAATGTACAAAAATCAAGCATTCTTATACACCAATAACAGACAAACAGAGAGCCAAATCATGAGTGAACTCCCATTCTCAATTGCTTCAAAGAGAATAAAATACCTAGGAATCCAACTTACAATGAAAGTGAAGGACCTGTTCAAGGAGAACTACAAACCACTGCTCGATGAAATAAAAGAGGATACAAACAAATGGAAGAACATTCCATGCTCATGGGTAGGAAGAATCAATATCCTGAAAGTGGCCATACTGCCCAAGGTAATTTATAGATTCAATGCCATCCCCATCAAGCTACCAATGACTTTCTTCACAGAATTAGAAAAAACTACTTTAAAGTTCATATGGAACCAAAAAAGAGCCTGTGTCGCCAAGTCAATCCTAAGACAAAAGAATAAAGCTGGAGGCATCACACTACCTGACTTCAAACTGTACTACAAGGCTGCAGTAACCAAAACAGTATGGTACTGGTACTAAAACAGAGATATAGACCAATGGAACAGAACAGAGCCCTCAGAAATAATGCCACATATCTACACCATCTGATCTTTGACAAACCTGACAAAAACAAGCAATGGGGAAAGGATTCCCTACTTAATAAATGGTGCTGGGAAAACTGGCTAGCCATATGTAGAAAGCTGAAACTGGATCCCTTCCTTACACCTTATACAAAAATTAATTCAAGATGGATTAAAGACTTACATGTTAGACCTAAAACCATAAAAACCCTAGAAGAAACCTAGGCAATACCATTCAGGACATAGGCATGGGCAAGGACTTCATGTCTAAAACACCACAAGCAATGGCAACAGAAGCCAAAATTGACAAATGGGATCTAATTAAACTAAAGATCTTCTGCACAGCAAAAGAAACTACCATCAGAGTGAACAGGCAACCTACAAAATGGGAGAAAATTTTTGCAACCTACTCATCTGACAAAGGGCTAATATCCAGAATCTACAATGAACTCAAACAAATTTACAAGAAAAAAACAAACAACCCCATCAAAAAGTGGGCAAAGGATATGAACAGACACTTCTCAAAAGAAGACATTTAGGCAGCCAACAGACACATGAAAAAATGCTCATCATCACTGGCCATCAGAGAAATGCAAATCAAAACCACAATGAGATACCATTTCACACCAGTTAGAATGGCAATCATTAAAAAGTCAGGAAACAACAGGTGCTGGAGAGGATGTGGAGAAATAGGAACACTTTTACACTGTTGGTGGGACTGTAAACTAGTTCAACCATTGTTGAAGTCAGTGTGGCGATTCCTCAGGGATCTAGAACTAGAAATACCACTTGACCCAGCCATCCCATTACTGGGTATATACCCGAAGGACTATAAATCATGCTGCTATAAAGACACATGCACACGTATGTTTATTGCGTCACTATTCACAATAGGAAAGACTTGGAACCAACCCAAATGTCCAACAATGATAGACTGGATTAAGATAATGCGGCACATATACACCATAGAATACTATGCAGCCATAAAAAATGAAGAGTTCATGTCCTTTGTAGGGACATGGATGAAACTGGAAACCATCATTCTCAGCAAACTAACGCAAGGACAAAAAACCAAACACCACATGTTCTCACTCATAGGTGGGAATTGAACAATGAGAACACATGGACACAAGAAGGGGAACATCACACTCTGGGGTCTGTTGTGGGGTGGGGGGATGGGGGAGGGATAGCATTAGGAGATATACCTAATGCTAAATGACAAGTTAATGGGTGCAGCACACCAACATGGCACATGTATACATATGTAACAAACCTGCACATTGTGCACATGTACCCTAAAACTTAAAGTATAATAAAAAAAAAGACAGAGATTGGAACTATTAGACAAAGAGAGACTGAGGAGTAGAGGTAGAAGAGATGCAAGAAAACACATGGACATTTCCTATGGGGAAGAGGTGATAGGCAACTCCAGGGTCACCACACAGAGCTGCTGCTGATTTCAATGAAGTGGGTGTTTTATGGAAGACTCTAGCCACACTCGGATCCCGCTTGAAGTGCCTGCCAGCTGTAGAGGACAGGGACAAGGCTATGACTTGCAGCCATCCCCCTTCCTCTGCTGACTGTGCTCTCTAGGTATGGGCAGCGATGGCCATTGACCATGCCATCTCCAGGACGGGGATCAGTCTGGTCAGTTGACCAAATGTCCTGGCTTAGAGGATATGGTGCAATGGGGTTGGTCACCCTCCTGTGCAGTGGTTTAATACTTGTTCTCATTCTTGTCCAGAATCAGCCAGGTGTTCTGGAGGGCCTGAGAGGGGCAATGATGATGATGGGATGGGGAGAACAAAGTCAGATTGAAGCATGTGAGTCATACTATTTAGACATAAAATGCACCTGATGGTTTATTGCAGCACAGAGATCCAGAGAGGGGACGTGATGTGCCTGGGGACCTGGAGTAGATGTACAGAGTGCGAACTAGAGTACAGGCCACCTGCTTTATGGTCCAAGCTCCTTACCACCACAGGACCTCTCACTAGTAGAGACCACACACACACACACACACACACACACACTAATGTTTTATGTGCATTTGATATCTCAATTATTTTATTAGACCCAGTTAAAGTATCTCTTTGAGAACTATCCCGTGACTTTTCAGATGGCAGATATCACTGGTCCTATGTACCCCCTTACGACATTGAACATATATCGATGGTAACACTTGTCCACATGCTTTTCTTCCTAACTAGTATAGTTTTTAAAATTTATCTTGAATTCTTTTTTTTTTTTTTTTTTTTTTTTTTTTTTTTTTTTTTTTTGAGACAAGGCCCCACTCTGTTGCCCAGACTGGACTGCAGTAGTGCAATCTGGGCTCACTGCACCCTCCACCTCCTGGCCTCAATTGATCCTTCCACCACAGCCTCCTAAGTATCTAGGACCAGAGGCACATGCCACCACACCAGCCTAATTGTGGTAATTTTTGTAGAGCTGGGGTCCACTCTGTTGTCCATGCTGGTCTCCAACTCCTGGGCTCAAGAGATCCAACCACCTTGGCCTCCCAAAGTGCTGAGATTACAGGCTATATTGAATTCTTAATCTTGTACTTCTCTAGGACCTAGTTGGAATAGATGCTTATTAAACATGTGCTCATTAAATTACCTTGGGCAGTATAGCCATTTTTGTGATATTTATTCTTCCTATCCGTGAGCATGGAATGCTCTTCCATTTGTTTGTGTCCTCTTTTATCTCACTGGGCAGTGGTTTGTAGTTCTCCTTGAAGAGGTCCTTCACATCCCTTGTAAATTGGATTCCTAGGTATTTTATTTTCTTTGAAGCAGTTGTGAATGGGAATTCACTCATGATTTGGCTCTCTGTTTGTCTGTTATTGATGTATAGGAATGCTTGTGATTTTTGTACATTGATTTTGTATCCTGAGACTTTGCTGAAGTTGCTTATCAGCTTAAGGAGATGTTGAGCTGAGACAATGGGGTTTTCTAAATATACAGTCATCTTATCTGCAAACAGGGACAATTTGACTTCCTTAGGCTCCTGCCCCTCACTGGAGGCTGGAGGAGGAATCACTGAGGACATCCTTCCCTGTTGCTACTCAGTTCTTGGTGCTTTCCACTCTGAATCCTACCCCTGACTATAGGTCCATAAAACTGTTGGAGTCTTTGTTTGAAGCTCCCTAAACAGACAGACAACCCCTGTCTTCAGTGACTCACTTGGCCCTTGACTGGTGTACCACTCCATAGAGGAAGATGGCACAGGAGAATTGGTCTTGTCTCCAGTTTTATCTGACTAGTAACCTGAGTATAATCTCATAAGACATCTGCCATTTATTGATTGTCAGCGTTTATCCAGCTATGAGTGCAGATGGGGTGAGAGCTCTTCTTCCCCTTGGCTCTTCATGGCCATATCTCGAGAAGTTGTAGGTCTAAGGGGGCTGACTTCCCAGAGAAAGGTCTCTTCCCCATTCAGGGTTATATAACTAGCCCTCTGTTCCTCATGTTAGAACATCTAAATATTTTGAATCTGCAGATAAATAACAAATTAGGGTTTATTTTATTAACTCAGGGCTTTCACGTAGTAGTTTCTTACTAGAAATAAATGTAAATAATCATCAATTCAGTGAATTATAGGTGTTAAAATTATGAAGGCACTATCTAGCTAATCAAAATAACCAAGGCCTAGGAGGACTTTTTGAACACTGTTCTTTCTGCTTTTATTAACATTTCTACTATGGGTTGGCACATAATCTTAAAAAATGATGAACTACATTATGAATATCTGACTCAAAAGAAGATGAGAGTTGTCTAATTTATTTAACGTTTTTATCAGTTTAAACTTTTTCTGGCTTCTAAAATCCGGGAAATAATATCAGCTCTCAGATGGCGGCAGAACCGTGGGCTCTATAGAGGTTACCCCCATCCTCTTCTCTCTTTCCACTGGATTTCTAATACATGTATCTCCAGGTTTTGAGGAAATAATTAGGTAATTAAGTGTTTTGGTTTGAAAGATCACTTGTTGGACTAAAGAATACATGGAGCAGAAAATGCAAACACAAGATCGTGGGTGGTCTCAACAAAGATCTTTCTTTTCTATTTTGCTTAATTAGGTTCCTAAGAATTTGAAAGCAAGATTTTCTGCAGATAAACTGTGGGGCAGATGAGTGCCTTAGGAAAATTGATAGTTGACTATGCTTGGTTGTGCCATTTCTGGGAACAATGTAAATTTCATGTAGGGAATTTGTTACAAAGCTGATGAAAAGGCTAAGAAAGCTCATGGAGCCATGGGCGGCCTGGAGATTAGCAACAGTGGGAAGCCTGGGCTGGAGGGATGTGGTCAGGAGCTGTCAGTCCGCAGCTTGGGGCCTGGGCTCAGGGCAGAAGCTGGAACTGGGGCAGGTCTGCCCTGTGCGGGTTGGGCTATGGCTTAGTTATGAAGGTTAGTTAGTTCATTTTTTACCTGCAGAGTTTTTCAAGTGCTGCTGTCAAGAAACAGCTTTTGTTTCCTAACCAATTTTCATTAAAGCTTTGGTGCCACTAGGGTCTCAGCATTTGCATCAGGCGTTTGTCCATTGATTAATTCATTCATTCATCCTACACATTCCTACTGAGTGCCTGTGAAATATTAGAACCTGCTTTGTGTTAGGAAAGCAGGCTTCAGCTGTCATCAAACTGTGTTAGGTTTCTCCAGAGAGACAGAGCCAGTATGATCAACAAAAGGAGATGTATTAGGGGACCTGGCCGATGCCATCAGAGGCGAAGTCCCACCATAGGCCACTTGCAAACTGCAGAATCAGAGAAGCCGATAGCCTGGCTGAGGTCAAGCCCAAAACCTGTGTACTAGGGAAGTCATGAGTAAAGCCCCCAGCCAGGCCCAAGAGCCCCCATCTTGGTGTCTGGTGCAAGTTCCAGAGTTCAAAAGCTGAAAAGCCTTGAGTCTGATGTCCAAGGGCAAGAGAAAAAGGTTCTTCCTCTGGAAGAAGGAAAGCAGAGTGAATCCCCCCTTCTTCTGCCTGTCTGTTGCTCCAGTTGGGTCCCAACTGATGGGCTGGTGACCACCCACACTGAGGGCAGGTCTTCCTCTGGAAATGTCGTCTGGAAACTTCTGCATTGACACCCAGAAACAGTGCTTTACTAGCTGTCAGGCAGCCCTCAATCCAGTCAAGTCGACACCAAATATTAACCATCACACAAACCTAATGGACATTTGGTTAGTGTGCTTCAATTGTTATTATTTTTCTTTTCAAGAATGAGTCTCGTGGTTAAACCAGCCAAGTATAAGCATTAAGTAACAGAGGAGACTGCCTTCAGCGCAAGGAAGGAAATTCTCACAGTGGTTCTATTTGGAAACTTCATGATGGATGCCTATCAGTTTTCAGTTTCAATAAAGACCTAATTTTAAGGATGACTTTTTTTTTTTTTTTAAGATGGAGTTTTGCTCTTATCACCCAGGCTGAAGTGCAGTGGCGTGATCTCAGCTCACCGCAATCTCTGCCTCCCAGGTTCAAGTGATTATCCTGCCTCAGCCTCCTGAGTAGCTGGAATTACAGGCATGTGCCACCTTGCCTGGCTAATTTTGTATTTTTAGCAGAGACGGGGTTTCTCCATGTTGGTCAGGCTGGTCTTGAACTCCTGACCTCAGGTGATCCACTGGTCTTGGCCTCTCAAAATGCTGGCATTTCAGGCGTGAGCCCACTGTGACCAGCCGAGGATGACTTTTAACTTCTCCACCTGTAGTAGAACTCAAAGTAAGGGCATTTCCCTCCATAGTAACTGGCTTCTCTGCTCCTTCTCATGAACAGCTGTCACAGGAATGGCTTTGGTTTGTTCACTCCAAGTTAAATCAGCTGAATAAGGCTGATGAGTACTTGGGTATTTCATTCTTGGACAGCAGGTGAGGAAGTAGAAGGGAGCCACCCTGGCACTCCCATCACATGTAGATTCTCTTCTCCCGGAGGGTGTCTTTGCACACTTAGGAGATACCCTACCCCTGATTGTATCTTCTTTTTGAGACCATTAAAAAAAACAAATGAATAAACACACATAGATTTTGCTCCAAACCCTTGAACCTTTTTTGTATAATTACTTGATTTTGCATTACTCCAAATGACTATTTCTAGCTTAGACTTCCCTACCTTTCCTAGCCTACCTCTGCAGTTTCTCCAAATGTGCTCCAAACAGGCTGCACATTGGAGACGCTACTTGATCTATTATGGGGTGATGTCCTGATAAACTCATCACACGTTGGAAATATTTTAAGTCCAAAATACATTTAGTACACTCAACCTACCAAACATCATAGCATAGTCTCGCTTACCTTCAACATGCTCAGAATACTTACATTAGCCAACAGTTGGGCAAAATTATCTGACACTAAGTCAGTTTAATAATAAAGTGTTGAATATCTCTTGTAATTCATTGAAAACTATACTGAAAGTGAAAAACAGCGTGGATGTATGGAACTCAAAGTACAGTTTCTATGGAATACGTGTTGATTTCCCACCATTATAAAGTTGAAAAATCAAAAGCAGAACCATTGTAAGTTGGGGACCATCTATATTATTACTCGTTTTTAGAATCCTCAATCAAGGAATTTAGTAAGATTAAAAAGAAGAAAGAAAATGTGGTACTTAGACACAATGGAGTACTATTCAGTCATAAAAAAGAATGAGATTGTGTCGTTTACAACAACGTGGATGGAACTGGAGATCATTATATTAAGTGAAATAGGGCAGGCACAAAAAGACAAACATCGTATATTCTCACTTATTTGTGGGACATAAAAATCAAAACAATTGAGCACATGGAGACAGAGACGAGAAGAATGGGTACCAGAGGCTGGGAAGTGTAGTGGGAAGTTGGGGAGAGGCAGGGATAGTTAATGGGTGCAAAAAAGTAGAAAGAATGAGTAATACTTAGTATTTGATAGCATAAAAGGGTAACTATAGTCAAAATAGCTTAATTGTATGTTTAAAAATAACTAAAAAGAGTGTAATTGGATTGTTCGTAACACAAATGATAAATGCGTAAAGGGATGGATACCCCATTCTCCATGATTTGATGATTTCACATTTCATGTCTGTATCAAAACATCTCATGTACCGCATGAATACATACACCTGTCTATGTAAAATTTGTTTAAAAAAGAGAAAGAGAAGTAAAGTTGATTTTTCTTTTTCTGTCTTTTTTTTTTTTTTTTGAGACAGAGTCTCAGTCTGTAGCCCAGGCTGGAGTGCAGTGGCGCCATCTCAGCTCACTGCAACCTCCATCTCCTGGGTTCAAGCCTCAGCCTTCCGAGTAGCTGGGATTACAGGCGCCTGCTACCACACCCGGCTAATTTAGTAGAGACGGGGTTTCACCGTGTTGGCCAGGCTGGTCTCGAACTCCTCACCTTAGGTGATCCACCCACCTCGGCCTCACAAAATGCTGGGATTACAGATGTGAACCTGGCCTATAAAGTTGATTTTTCACAGAATTGTGTTTTGTTTATTTTATTTTATTATTTTATTTTATTTTATTTTATTTTATTTTATTTTATTTTATTTTATTTTATTTTATTTTATCCTAACTGATGAAGCAGGGCTTAAGCATTTATGATGGGTGAAACTGATGTGGTGCAATGAAAACCTCATGCAGGCACTTTGGATCCAACTCAATTCATCATACATTTATGGTGCCAGATGCCATTTTGGAGAAGAAAGGGTCTTGTTCTCATGAAGTGAAGCTCACAATCTCTTAGAGAAACAGATGGGTAAAGAAATATACACCCACGGAAAGCACTTGATTAACCACCTCCTGGTAGGAGGGTTGATGGTAATTAACTGTCTCTAGGGTTAGGATGAGGTTTTGGAGGACTGGATGTCTGAGTTGAGTTCTGGAAGATGGAGAAAACAAATTTCCGTTTTTTTGTTTCCCGTGGGCTAGGAGCAAGTTGTGGCCAATAACCTCTCTCTTGACTTTTCTTTCTCCCGCCCCCTGCATCCCTGGCTCCTTCTCACCTTCAGGCCTCAGTAGGAATCTTCTCTGCAAGATTCTAAGACCGCTTGCCTCGAGTGAGCCCCTAGTCCCCCTGTGACTGCTCACCAGGACAAGTTGTGTTTCCCTCCTACTCCATAGTGCAGTGCAGAATGAATCGTTAGCGTTTAGGGGGTGGGTTTTGAGCCTCTCTCTCGCTGGATGGTAAGCTTCCTAAGGGTAGCAATCATGTCTGTTTTGGCCATCTCAGCAGAATCTACATGAGTTCTGGGCAAACAACAGGCATTCAGTAAATATTGGTTGGAGTCTCGAATGTATGTGGCTTTTACTGTGGGAATAAAGACAAGTTTGAGCTCTGCTTCTACCCTGCTTTGTTGATGTGGGGATGACATCAAATGATTTATGAGTTCCAAGTAACCACAGATGGATGTAGTTCCTTATAAGATGCACTAACATAGAGTCTTATAGATTTACACATGCTGTTGGTGGGGGCCCATGCCAACAAGTTAAGGTTGTAAGAAGTTTTCATTTTTTTCTTGAATGGGAAAATATTTACAAAGATTTTCTTCATTTGACAGCCTGGTAAGTAGCCTTCAATAGCTCTCCATTTTCCACCCGTCTGATGTAAATTCCCCCTGCCAATTTTTTGTCACTCTCTAAAATCTGACCTTCTCTAGTTTAACTTATTTTCCACTACTCGCTAATACACAGTTTACAGTTTAGACAGGTCCTATTGAGCCCTCACATGTCAAATTCACAGCTGGGTGTCTCTCACAGAGGTCCCACCACCTTTTATAGGGGACTTTCCTCATTCTTTGCCTTCAGTAACTTTTGCCAGATTCTTTCTGAGTTCAGCTTCCAACTTCCCCACTCCCTGGCTACTGGAGTCTCAGTGATCTCTCTGTCCTCTGAATGTTTGGTGTGTCTCTTGACTCAGCTCTCAATTCTGTCCTGTCCTTCAGTGCTCAAGGTGAGATCTCATATATGGGGCTTACCTGCTCACCTGATTAATCTTGATTTCCTTACCTGCAAAATACAGCTAATGCCTCTGTCACTGATGAAAGAGAGAGAAAATACTTCAAATACCTGGCTTGGCAGCAAGGCCGGTTCCCTCTTATTCTCTGTTTCTGCAGCCACAGCCCCCTGCAAAGCAGTGTGTTGCTTAAGAAATGGAATCTGATGGGCTGATTCCTAGTGGTGGACTAAGAGGTGGTTGGTGGAAGAATTGGGTAAAAGCCAGAGAGTGTGCCACCACTGAAATTAAGGGGGAAAGTTTTGTTTTCTCTCTTTTGTATTGTAGGCCAGGACACAGAGGGTTATTTGTCATTTTGCTTATGGACAAGAGAGTTTGGGAAAAAAGTAGAAGCTGCTAGTGGTACATTTGTATGGGAAATATTTTGACAAAACTTTATCCTAAGTACTTCACATAATTTCTTAGAAGAGAAGGGGAAACTAGCCAGCTAACCATATCTACTCTACACAAAGCAGGGTCCCAGACTGGGGACTAGAGAAAATAAAAAGTACTGGACATGGAGAGCCAAGCAGGTTAAATGACTGGAGGGTGTCAAAAGGACGTTTACCTGCTGAGCCTCCAGGCATCCATGAGCCTCCTTCCATGCATGGATGTGCACACACATACTCCGAGATGCCACAGACATAGACATGTGCACAGATACAACCAGACACACACATATGGACACACTGGCACACAGAGATACATACTCACACAGAGATACATACAAATGTGTGTGTGCACAGACAGATACACAGTCATACAGATACACACATGTGCACATAGATACACACAGATATATACGTCAACATGCAGACATATATGTACAGACATACACAGATACACATATATGCACACACAGAAACCCAGACACACACACGTGCACACAGATATATTATGTGCACACACAGATATACACGGAGATGTATACATACACACAGAGAGATACACTCATGCACGCAGATACATACCTGCATTCATACATGCACACAGGTACACAGATACATACATGAACACACTGACGTATATGTACAGATACACATATGCACACAGATACCTAGACATACACACACACAAATGGATGTGCAGACACACACATGCACACACAGATATACACACAGAGGCATACAGATACACACATGTACGTGGACACACAGATACACAGACACGCAGATACATGGACACACTTTCTTGCCTCTTCATTGCAAGGACACCTTCTGGCCACCAGGTGTCACTGCGTGAACCGCGCTGGAAGTCGCTGGGGGACTGGAGGGGGCTGGCAGTAGCTGTCATGGAGCCACTTTCTGAATGACCTTTAATGAAAACAGAGCTGCCAAAGTAGCTTGACAGCAAATTTTATTCGTAACAGAAAATCCATCCTAAGACTCACTGTAGAATTGCTCCAATTCATTTCTCTTATCTGAGATGGTCACAGTAAAAGCAGCTAAAGAAAAGAATCACAAATGGCCCACTTGGCTGGGCCCCTATGCATTCTTGGGAAAGGTTAATTGGAAACGGCTTCGAGCCTCGCCATACAGAAGAGTCTCGGCGAGGGGAGGTTATTCAACTACAGCCAAATGAAGACTTTTCTTTCAGAAGCAGGTGGAGGGGACCCTGAGTCCTCAGGTCCTGTGCCGTACGTAAGAAATGATACGGAAGCTCCGGGAGCTGATAGTCACATTCGCCTCTGTGCTTCCCTGCGCAGCTAGAACAATTCCATCACTCTCTCCTGTGTAACGAGCGTCCTTAACAAGCCTCAAATATGCATCCTCATGCCAACAGTTCCTGCAACAAAGGCAATCTGCACATTTCAAAAATCAAAAGCAATTTGGCTAAAATACCTGTAGTATAATGTGGTACATGCCTGTGGAAGCCTCCAGATCTGGGCTGCAGGCATTTCGCAAAGGCTGAGCCTCTCCAGGAGGCACATTTTTTGTAGAAGTGGCTTCACCGTTATTTAGTTTTTATGATCTGACTCATAGTGGGATCTCCTGTGGGCCAAGAAGGGCATCGAAGTGTCCATTGCTTTTTTGGAATCACGTAGACTGTCCGGTTTCTAGTTTAATGACAGCTTGACAAGGACTTCACAGTTGTCATCTACTGAAATGAGCTTTGGTGTATTTAAGCAGAAGAAAGAATTATTGAGATGATATTGGGAAGGTTGGGTATCAAGGCTCTGAAGATGGGCTGACATCGAAGAGCAGGCCCGGGGGCACAGCTCTCCTTGCTCACTGGGGACATTCTTGAAAGAGCCGTGCCACTGCTGCTTGTGGATGTCGGGCCTGGCTGCTGACCTTGAAGCCCTTCTGATTGCTCCCTGGGCATCATCTTGGAGACTCCGCCGTCATCCCTGTCCTGTCCAGTCATCCACCCCAGAGCCAAAGCCCACGGGTGTCCTTTGTCCTCCAGCTAGGAGACCCAAATCTGGATTCTTAGTCACTGTGATAATAGGCTGGCCAGACCATGCAAGGAATGTTGCCTGGAGCTCAGGCAGGAGTTTGGATGATGGTCAGCTACAAAGCCGCAGACATCCAAGTAGATTGCCGAGATTGGACTAGAAATTGAGAATAGTTTGTGGGCGGGCTTCGAAAGGTGCTGGGTGATTACTGGGTATATACCCAAAGGATTATAAATCATTCTACTATCAAGACACATGCACACATATGATTATTGCAGCACTATTTACAATAGCAAAGACTTTGAAGCAACCTAAATGCCCATCAATGATAGACTGGATAAAGAAAATGTGGCACATACATACTATGGAATACTATGTAGCCATAAAAAAGAAATGAGTTCATGTCCTTTGCAGGGACAGGGATGAGGGTGGAAACCATTATCCTCAGCAAACTAACACAGGAATAGAAACCAAACACCACATGTTCTCACTCATAAGTGGGAGTTGAATAATCAGAACACATGGACACAGGAAGGGAACATCATACACCAGGGCCTGTCTGGGGATAGGGTAAAGGGGAGGGAGAGCATTAGGACAAATATCTAATGCCTGTGGGCCTTAGAACCTAGATGATGTGTTGATAGGTGCAGCAAACCACCATGGCACATGTATACCTATGCACGTTCAACACATGTCTCCCAGAACTTAAAGTAAAATAAAAGAAAAAAAAGTGCTGGGTGGATTTGAACATGAGGCATATGTAATGCCCAGTGGACTAGTAGTGAGACATTTTTATCACAAGGGTTCATATTTAGGGCCATATCCCGTGCTGCAGCCAGGCACCCAGATGCAAACACTCCTGTCCCTGCTACTCTCAGCATTCCTACTGCATTCTGGGATCTGGCCTGTCCAAAATGCTCTCTCTCCTGCATGGCTGTGTGCTCCGAGCCATGTCTGGCCTCTGTCAGCCACTTCTCCTGGGCTTATACTGCCATCTCACACGCAGCATCCCTTTTAGGGTTCCCAGGGCATCTGGTGCCCCAACCTCCACCATGGCCAATTCTAAGATGCAGCCTGCTAACAGGTGCTTCGTTAGAGTCACCTGGGGTACTGCTTAGTGCAATCTGATCAGAATCTCCGGGGATGGGCTTGGACCCCAGACTTTTTACAGCCCTCCCCAGGTGAATCTGAGGAAGCAGACTTTATGGTTTAAAAAGTCCATTCAGTGTTTACTGAGCTAAGAGGAAGCCGACTTTATGGTTAGAAATGAACCCGGGAGGGGGAGCTTGCGGTGAGCCAAGATTGCGCCACAGCGCTCCAGCCTGGGTGACAGAGTGAGACTCCATCTCAAAAAAAAAAAAAAAAAAAAAAAAAAAAAAAAAAAAATTCCATTCAGTGTTTACTGAGCTAAGAGGAACCCGACTTTATGGTTAAAAAATCCCATTCAGTATTTACTGCGCTAAGAACGATGGTAGCGGCACCGTGGTGTTTGCTCTGGTGACATAAAGTGGCCTGGAGCATCTCAGCACCTCCTCTGCCTTCAGAACAGGGTGCTCTCCTCCACCTGTGAGCCTGGGAATGCTGTTTCCCTGTCCAACATGCCTAGCCTCCTCTCTCCCAGTCTGTGAGTCTTTCCCATCCTTCGGTTCTCTGCACCAGCGCAGCTTCCATTATGAGTCCCTCCCCTGCTCTTCCTGCCTGATCGGCCCCTTCTTGGAACTGTTGTCAGACTTACCTTCATTTTACTGCTTACTCTTGCCCCTTCGCTTATATCCACGGATTCACCCTCCACTCTGTGTATGTTGGGTTTGCTTAAACATGTATGTCTGTGTCTAGAGATGCACAGCATAGCCCTGCCTTTCAGAAGCGTGTGTTAATATTATCTTCCGATTAATCTCCTGTATTAATATTAATTCATGTCTTAGCAATTGGACTGTAGGAGTTTTGATGTCTGGGATTGTGGTGGATACCTTGATGTGAACTTCTCAGCGTGTAATAGATAGTGACCCCTCTTGCTTACAGCAATGCACTGAGTGAATTTTTTAAACCATTTATGGCTATGGTCTGCCTTACAATGGGGGACTTCTCCCTAATAGAATACTTTTGATTCAGGGCTTACAGGAGCATGACACTGTACACAACTTTTATGATTCTTAGTAATAGCACAGTTGCTGACAGATAGGAGATGATACAGCCAAGTACAGGGAGGGAGGTTAGGAGTATTTTCTTGGTATCTGTAAAAAAAATCATAGGTACGGTTTTATGAGTCCTTTCATGTTCCTGCCATGGTGCTGAGTGTTTATGTGCATTATCCACGTCATCCTCATGGCAACCCCAGGAGTTTGGTGTCACCAGTCCCATGTTATAGATGAAGATAAAAGGCACAGCAATGATGGGTAATCACGATTCCACGCTGAATAGCAGAGCTGAGCTTCACCTCCAAGTCATGCCGCTTTTTCATGTTGCCTGTGTTTGTGTGCATGTTTGTGTGCATTTGTGTGTGTATGTTTGTGTGTGCGTGTGTGTGCATCTGTGTGTGTATGTTTGTGTGTGCGTGTGTGTGCATTTGTGTGTGTATGTTTGTGTGTGCTTGTGTGTGCATTTGTGTGTGTATGTTTGTGTGTGCGTGTGTGTTTCTCTGTGTGTGTGTGTTTGTGCATGTGTGGGTTTGTGTATTTGTGTGTGTGCATCTGTGTGTGCGTGTGTTTTGTATGTGTGTTTGTGCATGTGTTCATACGTGTGTGTGCATGTGTTTGTGTATGTGTGGGTTTGTGTGTGTGTGTGTGCATGTGTGTGTACATGTGTGCATGTGTGTATGTGTGTTTCGAAATCAGTTACTCCGAGTGGAAGTCAGAGGGAAAGGAAATTCTAACGTGGTGTTGAAGACATTACTGCAGCATCAAAACCAAGAAGGAAAGGTCATGGGTGGATCGAGTGAGAATGAAAGGGTGGGCGGATGGGCAGGACTGGGGTGAATCCTAGCAGAAGAAGTTGCAAAAACCCAGCCCCTGCTTGGCAGAGAATGTTGTTTAGAAGCAGGTGAGAGATCTCTAAGAAACTACCTGCTGTTTGTTGTTATTCCTTGTTCCCTCTGTAGGAGGTTTGGACAGGCACTCTCCCACTGACGTGCTTGTAACTTTCATTGTGACCTTTATCAACAGACTCGCCCCGTGGAGAGAATAAATTGGATGCATGACCAGACCTCTGAGAGGCTGCGTCTCCAGGCAGCTGGTGGGAAGCTGTCTGGAAACAAACACATTTTCCAGCTTGCTCGACCCTCACATTTCCAAAGCAGAAGGTGTGTGATGTGGACTAACTGAAACTTGCCACCAGCTTGTCTCATCTCTCATGAAACTGCTGGAAGAAACACAGTGGATAATGACTCATTCCTGTGCTCATGTCCAGATAATAACTCTCACTTCTTAATAACTTCCCTCTGGCCATCGATATCTCAAATGCAATAAAATGTTGTAAGCTGGCCGATGATATTTTCATTAGATGTGAAGCAATTTTAGCAAAGCAAGATATAGATGATACAGGGCAAAATGCTACCTCTGACCAAATGAAGAGGTGAGCTGGAAAGTACATGAAAATAGGACTTAAGGTCAGAACAGGGAGGCCAAGAGTTCCTGTTCCTAGGAGAGTGAGAGAATGCCTCATCTTCCTGTCCTTGTTGCTGATTGACCTGTCTTGGTGTTTGGAAGGTAGGCATTCACCTGGACTGGCCACGTGTGGGTGCTGCGTGTTAGGTCATAAGGGATGTGGCAGGATGCAGGAGCTACTTGGCTTTCATATGCGTGTGGGAGGGGGAGAATTTTGACCTTCCACTGAAGAGAACAGGATACTTCTCTGGGCTCTATTTCCACGTAGTAGGCTGTCCTCAAGCAAGTTCTCTAGCTTCTCAGGATCTCAATTTTTTGTTGTTGTGTTTTTGAGACAGGGTCTCTCTCTGTTGCCCAGGCTGGAGTACAGCAGCATGACCTCTGTTTCCTGCAATCTCTGCCTCCCAGGCTCAAGCGATCCTCCTGCCTTGGCCTCCCAAGTAGGTGGGAGTATAGGTGCATGCCACCACACCTGGCTAATTTTCAAAAATTTTTTTATAGAGACAGATTCTCCCTATGTTGCTCAGGCTGGTCTACAAACTCTTGGGCTCAAGGCATCCTGCTTCCTCAGCCTCCCAAAGTGTTGGTATTACAGGTGTGAACCACCACACCTGCCTTCTTTACCAGTGAAGCTGCCTGACCTAGGTTTCCATAGGCTAGTCTTAGTTTGTTTGGCCTTCTGTAACAGAATATCTTCAACTGGCCATGATCTCATTTTTCTCTGTGTAAAATCAGTTACAAAGTCTCCTTGTGCCCTTCCCACTCTGAAATCCTATGCTTTTGCCCCTTTCCAGTGACAAATCTAATAGTTAAACAGAAAGACAAAGCAGTAAGCTTGAAAACCAAAATCACAAGTCTGGATGGCAGATAGGCGTTCAGAGGACAAGGTGGTCATTGTGGACTAGATATTCCATGGGGGAGTTTTGGCCTTAGCTGGACTCTAAAGGAACCCAGGACTGAGTCCTTGGAGAGGAAGATTCTGGAGGTTAGATGGAGAGGACAGCAGGAGCACTGGCCCCGCATGAGCTAGTGGCCCTTCCCTAAGACGGAGAAGATCTTTGTCCTTCTGATGGAGAGCTTGTCTCATTTTTGTCTGTCTGTCTGTTCTTCAGAATACCCTGAAAATGTTTTTAGCATACGATTTCAGAATCCTCACGAAAAGCCTCAGTGTTTCTACAGTTATAGAGAGATTCTAAAAATGTGTGGATCAAGGGTTACCACTTCCACTTATTAACCTACTTGTGGTAGGTAATATATTCATCACATTCACTTGCATGTAGATATTACTCTCTTCTAAAGGCATACAGCCATTCATCCAATTTCATACAGTAATTATCCAAGGCTCTCTGCCCCTAGTTACAAGAACTGAGTTAATGTGCTCCTGAGTCTGTCTATATTTTTAATGATCATTTCATTTCCCTCATTAAGCATTTAGGTTGGTCATTTGAAACGTCCAAATTGATAATGTTCTTTCATCTTTATGTGGTTTTCATGGAAGCATGAGAACTCCTCAAAGACAGAGCAATGGCTCTAAAATGGATCTGCTCCAGTCACTAGAACTCCTGCATTCCCAGGACCAACACCTGTGTATCCAGGACCATGTTTTCCAGCCCAGAAATGACTCCTGCACACCTAAAGATACCCCATCAGCCCTCACCTCGCCTGTAAGCCTCCTTCCCAGGAAATAAAAGCAGAGGAACAAAGAAGCCACAGATGAACAAAGAGTTTCATCTCGGGGATATGGAAATGAAATACACTGCATAACTGTTAAAGACTGAATTGTGTCCTCCTGAAATTCATATGTGAAGCCTTCATGCCTAATGTGACTGTATTTGGAGACAGGGGCTTTAAATAAGTCATTAAATGTTATCAGTCCATTCTCACCCTGTTAATAAAGACATAGCCAAGACTGGGTAATTTATAAAGGAAAGAAGTTTAATTGACTCACAGTTCCACATGGCTGGGGAGGCCTCACTATCATGGCAGAAGATGAAGGAAAAGCAAAGGGATGCCTTACAAGGCAGCTGGCAAAGATAACTTGTGCAGGGGAGCTCCCATTTATAAAACCATCAGACCTCATGATGGTTTTTCACTACCACAAGAACAGTATGGGGGCAACCGTCCCCAGGATTCAATGATCTCCCTCTGGCTCCCTCCCATGACATGTGGGAATTATGGGAACTACAATTCAAGATGAGATTGGGGTGGAGACACAGCCAAGCCATATCATTAAGGTGAAATGAAGTCAAAAGGAAGGGGCCCTACCTCATACGACTGTGGCCTTATAAGAACAGGAAGAGACACCGGGGATGCAGGTACACAGAGAAAGGGCCATATGAGGACACAGCTGGGAGATGGTCATCTGTAACCCAAGGAGAGAGACTTTAGGAGAAACCAACCCTGCCCACGCATTGTTCTCGGACTTCCAGCCTCCAGGACTGCAAGATAATAAGTTCCTGTTGTTTAAGCCACCCAGTCTCTGATATTTTGTTTTACAGCAGCCCAGGTAAACAAATGCAATAACAATAGAAGAAAACTGATCAGTGGAACAGAAAAACCAACAGAATGGATGTCTTTCACCATGACTATGAAAAGCTTGGAAAAGGATTCCACTAAAGCTGACAATTCTTTCATAGCTGGATTACGGAACAGTTGGACATGAAACAAAATAAAAACGATCACAGCTCTCCCTCTGTGCCTGAAGCAGTTTCTAGGGGGAAATTCAAACATGAAAAGCCAAGCGGATGATCTGAGGTGTTGTTAACTCAAGTGAAGGCGCCAAGCATCAGGCAACGTGGACTTTCTGACCAGCACCGTGTTCTTGCCTGCAAAGCTCCTTATTAGTAGGGATTGTCACAACCCTGGAAATAAACTTTTCTCAGGTGACACATCTTCAGTGAGAACATTGTTTGAGGCCTCTGTGCTCAAGAGACCGTGTTTGGTTTTTGAAATGTTTAGTTTTCTCCTTTAGAATGGAATAGCCTGGGGAGGAATAAGGATTGTGGGTGGCACCTGCCCAGGAGATGCTTTCTTTCTCCCTGTAATCCAGATACAATGCTATTTTTATCTATTAGGTGGCAAAAGCAGCAATGATTGTGCCTTTCATCTTTTTTTATGAGGTAAAGCTGCAGGCCAGGGGATGTATTTAGCTATTCTGTTCTACAGAGAGCCTTCTGGACAGCTGATCTTGAACGATGTGCAGTTGCTAAGGTTGCTAGCTTCTCCAGAGTAATTCCTGTTGAAGGCTTTCCCACCATCTTGCACAGTTGGAGTCTGGGGCTGTTAAGAAGTTTAAGAAGAAAAACAAAGCAAAACAGAGAAAACAAACAAGCTCACCAGCTTCATCATGTAAGCAAAGATATCTTATGAAGGAATTGGTTCAGTTCACATAAAAACCTTGGTATACAGAGGCAGGAAAATATCATTATACCCATTTCACAGAAGGAGAAACAAGGAGTGATGAAAAAGAAGGAATGAGGAGGAGAAGGAAGGAAGGAGAGGAGAAGGAAGGAAGGAAAGCAGAAAGGAAGGAGGATGGGAAAGAAGGGAGGAAGAAAGAAGGATGGGAGGGAGGAAAAGAAAGGAAGGAGAATGAGAGAGAGGGAAGGAAAGAAGGAAGGGAGGGATAAATGACAGAGGGAATGAAGGAGGGAAGGAAGGAAGGAAAGGATAGAGGAAGGGAGGGAGTAAGGCACAAAGGTAGGTGCGGGGGTCCAGGCATGAAGGGAATGTACCTTTCATGAGTGTGGTTACATTGAACTGCATGTGCTTTCCGTTGGAAACCATAAAGTCATAATGGACTCTTCTGAAACGGAGCCACCTGGTCTACCATAGTCTCTTCTGAAGAGACTCAGTCAAGATGATGCCATGTAGGGTGGGTAAGAGGCAAGGGTCCAAGTTCCCTTTAGCTCTTCACCGTGGTTTAGTCATTCAACCTTTTCACTAAGCTCTAGTGAAAGGATTGAGCTTGAATCCCTGCGTCATCATTTACTAGCTTTGTAGTCTTGGGTTAATAACTCATTTAATGAGCAAAAATGGGATGAAACTATCCGCCTTTTAGGATGGCTATGATGTGAGCTCAGATTATGTGCAGTGGTTGCTTAAAAATTGGCAGGTCCTGTGGAGATGGAGCTGTGTCATTCTGTTCCTCGCCTTCAGGGCGTCCCACAGCGTAGTGTGGTGCTCGCACCTGTCTGCGTTCACCATGAGTCATCGCTGCACCTGCATCTTGTGGCGTTTATGCGATAGTGATCATAAAGGTAAGTGCAGCAGCTAATGTTCATTGAGTGTTTGCCACTCACCAGGTGATGTTCTAAGTGCATTTTATATATTATTTTATTTCCAGCACATTTTGAGGAAACTGGGGAAGAGGGGTTAAGCAGCTGGACCCATGCCTTGCCACTGGTAAATGGTGGGCCTGGAATTTGAGACCAGGGACCTTGACTTCAGACCCCGTGATCCCAACAGCTCCACCATAGTTCACTCTGTTTCTAGCTTGAAATGTAGCTGCTGATTAATTCTTTATGCCTTTTTCCATAGCTGGTGATTAGAATAATTGCTTTTCAGTTAATCTTCTCATGATATCAAACCTTTTTTGCATTCCATGATGTTGTGTGTGTGTATGTGTGTGTGTGCAAGTGTGTGTGTAAGTGTGTGTGTGTGCATGTGTGTGTGTGTGTGATTCTCTTGTTTTTAGTAAAAATAAACAGGAGGGTTTTCGTACCCACAGATTTGAGTTTTGAAAGCTCTTGTGTAGCACTGGGTGGGGTGTGAAAAAGAGAGGAGAGGGAATTGTCATTTTCTTTTCCTGTAGAGATCTTTAAATTGAGATGGGTTATCTAACTGAAAGACTAAGAGGGGTGCTAGGATTAAGATTCTAGGACGGTCTCTGAGACCCAGGCTGGAAAGCATAAATTCGCTCCTCCCTACTGTGAGTCAGTGACTCTCGGGGGGATACGGCAAATCCTGGGCTCTGAGTCCCAGGTTCTGTTTCTCTTTGGAGGGCTATGTAGGGAAGGAGCCTGTCCAGCATTGGCCCAGGACATTGGATCTAGCCACACAGACATGTTTGCTGAGAACTTACCTGGTGCCAGGCTTTGTACATTATGTCCTTGATCTCACAATAAAACCTGCACAGAAGCAATATTTTCTCCATTTGTAGAGAGGTGGAAATGAAGGCTTAGAGAGGTTGTAACTTTTTTCAGAACCCAAAACTCATAAATGGAAAAGGCCAGTTATGCCTAAAATTGGTATAAAACCTTGGAGAAAATATACTATACATATAAAAGCTGAGATAGGATAAATTACTGTTGTTTAAGCCACCCAGTCTATAGTATTTTGTTTTATGGCAGCCGAAGTAAACAAGTGCAGTAACAATAGAAGAAAACTGATCAGTAGAAACAGAAAAACCAACAGAATGGTTGGTTTAATTTCAGAAGATGTTGGTAAAGTTCTTTACAAGCCCCAAGCTTTCCCTTTATGGTCGTGTCAAGAGGCCTGAAAGCTATCCAAAATGGTACCCAGTCCTCCCACACATGTGTACACACACACACACACACACATACACATCATGGAATGCAAAAAAATCAAAGCTCAAGCATTGAGCATGCCTCTCTCTGTGCTTTACCACCTAACATAATAAAGGTTTTTAAAATGTTGAACAAAAAATGAATTCTGGCTTGGGTAAACAAGGCTTGGAAAGGAATGAAATGCAGGCAATTTTAATTTACTGGCAGTAGCAGCTTCTTCCTTACTAGCATTTAAAGCCAATTAGCAAAGATGGAGAAAAAATTCTAAACATCGGAAACTTCATAAACAAAAACTCACTAATCCAGGAAGCTGCATGGCTCGCCGCCCAATTATACTCACGAAAGCAGCACATGGCTGTCACTGAAGAACAGCCAACAGTGCTCTGAAATGAATCGTGATGGGTGTAGAAAACGTCTGAATTATGTAATAATAGCTTACATCGGTATACCATTTTGATACGCGGTATCTCTTTAAACAGTCACAGCATCCCTGAGACACAGCTAGGGGAGCCATTGCTCTGCCCACTGAATGGAAGGGGAAACTGAAGTGCAGCCTCCTGAACTGATTCTCCAAAGATTACATAACTGATCAGTGGGAGAATGGAACCACCCCTCCTCAGTGGGACACCTTTTTCCTCTCTTTTTTTTTCCCTTAAAATTCATGAGATGATAGATACAAAATGGAAGGATCTGTAGAAACTCCACAATTGGGGCTTATTTGGTAGAACTGTGGAGGACAGATCTGTTTAAATAAATGGGCCTTTCACCTGAAATTCTTCTCTTCCAACATGGTCACACGTGCATTACCCAATAGGGGATGTCAACTCACAATTAACATGAGCTATTTAATAAAGCCCATCTCCACGAGCCAGAGGTTTATGACAGGAAGTGATTTTATTTTACTAATGTGGACAAAACTCTCCATGATACAGCTGGGACTTTAACTCAGGTTTAAAAAATAATTGAAGAGTTGCTAGTCACTTGATAACGAGGGGAGATAAGCAACTCACAGAAGATGAATTGAGGAAAATGAGAGGAAAGGCTGAAAAGGAAGGTTGCTATAGCAATGACAGAATTCACCTTTTCCCCATAATGACAGTGAAGGTCAGAATGGGCCTTGGGTCCCAGATGGTACCATTGAAATGGAAGAAATCAGGTATTCTATGGCAATTCTCTCCCAAGGCACTGCCTGGGTTATGTAGATCTCTTTAAGCTAAACTTCCGTGCTTTTAATCTTCTTTACCTCTTAGGACTCTTTTCAATCTCTCTTCATTTCTGTACCGCTTATCATTCCACCCATATTTTTGGCGAATTTTATCGTTTAGCCCTTAAATAGAATTGAGTTTTTCATTATACATTGACTCAGCGATCTGCAAGTAATGGATGCATTTAAAAATGACGACAATGGAACCTAAACCCAAAGAGTTGTAGACTCATTCAGAAGGCACCAGGGATGCGTTCGGCAGTGGGAAAACCACAGTACCCAACTGCACAGAAGCACGCTCTTGTGGGAGAGCAATGAGACTCACAGGGACCCTCCAGGGATTGTGAATTCACAGGGGGATGAGACTGCACCTCGCTTTGAGTCTAGATTATTAACAGTTTTATTTATCATCACCAAGAGCTTTATTTATGATCAGCAAGAACTTGATTTAGAGGAACGACACCTTATTTAATTGAAATTGTCAGGGAAACTTAGTGAGGAAGAATGTAATTATGATGCTCGGTAATTAGCTCTGTTGGCATGAAGCAGGCAGGGATCGGAGTGAAATGCTGAAAAGTAAATCAGGATCCCTGATTTCTGGGAGTTCTGGTCCCACCCCTAATTCCCTGGTCATCTGGGAGGAATGACTGTCATTTCTCCTCTCTCCCTTATTTTTCTTTTTACTGTTTTGCTGTATGTAATAGAGCAATGTATTCTTGAACTACAAGATCCTGGAGGGAAGGAATTCTCTTATTTATCTCCGTAAAAGACCCAGCAACGCATTCTTTCTCTGGGATTTTCTTTTTTGTCTGTAAAACAGTAATTTTTTTGGGGGGATGTGGGAAGGGAGATCTATTTGTTTTTTTTTTTACGCTTTACTATATCCCCTTATCTTTACCTCTTCCCTTCATTTGATTATTTCCCGCTGGATTTCTGATATCATGTTGTCGTCTTCTATTGATACTTTTCTCTACTTACACTTCATATACTTCCTTTTTTTTTCTTCCTCTCTGCTACTGATGTATCTGTGCCAGTTGTTTTCCCCTCTGGTGATGTGTAGATTTATGAACAAAATGACTTAAGTTATTTGGCATACATTATGGCTTGAAGATAAACTAGATGGAGATTTAAAATGAACTTGTCTGTTCCCCAATTGCATTGATGTTTATAATGATGGCTTTAGAAGTTGTTTATTATAAAAAATGACTTAATGAAGGACAGCATATTTGAGTGAATGAGCTTAACTACTTGCATCTTACATGTGTGCAAAGCCAGTGGGCAGTGGTTTTTTTTTTTTTTTTTATTGTTTCTCCAGTAGTATGGCACATCCATCTTCAATTATTTACAGGAATCTCATGGCATCTTGATTCCCTCAGCTTGTCAAAAAAAATTGCAATGAACAGCAAAGAAGACTATATTCAAGCTTATTGCAATTGGGGAAAGAGACTATTAAAATAGGGGAGAGACATAGAAATAAACTCTTAAAACAAGGGGGAGAGTTTGTCAGCACTGGGGTGAGCTAGCAGGAAGCACTGGAGGACTTTGGAGGGGAGGGTAGCCGATATGCTTAATTGTCTGTGTTTGTTAATTGGCATTTATTAAAGTTAGCCTCCTACCCTGCCACGTAGGCACTCAGAGATACATACACAGAGATATGTACACATGCATTTGTGCACACACAGATACAGACACTCATACAGATGCATACATGAATACACTGACATATATGTACAGAGATACACAGATACACATGCACACACAGACACATGTGTACACACAGAGATACATATGTGCACAAACAGATGTAAAAAGGGATGCATACATACACAGATAGATGGGGAAACAGGAAACCTATCCTTTTGAATGACTAAATTTCAAAGAGATAGCTCCCAGATCCTTGAGAAAGACGGTCTTGGGTTGCACAACTGGCAAGAGGCTGGGAAATAATTTACGTCTCAAAGGGGCAGAGAAAGAACTTACAATGATGAGTTTTCTAAAGTAAACATTCTAAGGAAAGGGAAGTCAGGGGTCTGGAATTGGGAAGAAGCCTGTCTAAAGTTTAGTCCTGCAGAGGGTTGCATTGACCTTGGCCAAGCTTAACAATTCATATGAAAATCTGATATATAGAAATATGCAATTTCTTGCAAGATTTATGTGGATTTATCATTAGCACTGGCCCAAAATGCAAAGGTGAACTAATCGTTGGCTAAGGAAAGTGATTTTGACTGCAAGCCAAAATGAGAGACATTAAAATAAAAATAAACAGAACATGGCAGTATCACGGGAAACATGTACCAGTGGTGCTATGCTATAAAGTGTAACTAAAATTAACCTCACATTCTCATAGTATATGTTTTCCTTTTTTTTTTTTTTAACAGAAAAGTGTGTAATTTGGTAATTTTGTCTATATTTTGTTTTTTTAAACTTCTCTAATTTTTTATTTGTGGTCAAGAGACATTGAGACATTGTAGAAGATCAGGAACTTGCATTCACATATTGGTCATATGACTTTCTCTTAACTTGGCCAACCTCAGTCTCTCTTAAAACAAATGGACACCATAAATGACTTGTATCATTGTCATGAAGATTGTTGTAGATGGTCAATAAGTGATGATTAAGCCAGACGTGGTGGCACTGCCTGTAGTCCCAGCAATTCGGAAGCCTGAAGTGGAAGGATCACTTGAGCCCAGGAATTTGAGTCCAACCTGGGCAACAGAGCAAGACCTCCATTGCTTAAAGAAAAGTGAAGATCAATAAGTGATTATCTTATTATTATTCTTTATGAAATATGAGAAGTGCCTTAAACCTGAGACCTTCTATAACCTTTAATTTTGAGAAAGGCTACACTTTGTGAAAACAAAGTTCTACTTGGCTTAGGGAGACACAGATTGCTATTTGTGTCTCCCTGTCACAGTGTCTGTCACAGTGGTACAATGTTTTCAATTTTTAATTTTACTATTTTAAAATTGTCTTTTATTTCAATGGACTTAGGGGTACAAGCTGTTTTGGTTACATAGATGAACTGTACAGTGGTGAAGTCTATGATTTAAATGCACCTATCACCTGAGTAGTGTACATTGCACCTAATAGGTAGTTTTTCATCCTTTACCCTCTTCTTACCCTTTCTCTTTCTGTGTCTCCAGTGTCCAAAACTTGAGATTAGCCCGGGAGGGTTCTTGGCTTCATCCAGGAAAAGAATTCAAGGGCAAGCCAGTGGTGTTAGTAACTTGTGTTGAAGTGGCCGTGCACAGCAGAGGGCCTGCTCTTTGCAGAGCAGGGCTATGTCACAGGCAGTGTGCCCAGAGTAGCAGCTCAGAGGAGCTCTGCAGCCATATTTATACTCACTTTTAATTACATGCACATTAAAGGGCGGTTTGTGCAGAAAGTTTTAGGATGAGGCTGGTAATTTCCAGGTTGTCAGACATATATGGGTCTGCCTGTCAAGAGAATTTGGGGAGAGGAATCTAGGGAGGGGCTTATTTGGAAGGAATGTACTGCACCGTGAGACCAGGTTTTTTACTTGGGGAAGGGCTGAGTGAGCTGTCCTCCCTCCTGAGCCTGGTGTGAGGGCTTCCAGAGGTCCCTTGGAGAGCTCTGAAATGTGCTTTTTTCTAGACGGACTCTGGTGGAAGAGACTGGCTAATGCCCTTCTCAGCTCTGGGCAAAGCAGAGATGAGGTCCCTCCTTTTGTGTGGGGATCAGCACTCACTGCCCTAGCATATGAATGTTTGCTGTACCCCAAATGTAGGCTACACTGGGTTATCCTGAGTGCTCTTTCCAGGACCACCTGAGGGGACAGAGCTCTCATTTGGAAGGGGGCAAAGGTGACCATGAGGTGCCCTGGGTGCCCAGTCGAGTGATGATCTGAGGCTCCAAAGAGCTTATGAAAACCACTATGAGAAAGAGGCAGTGATATTTTTGGCTGTGTCTCCACCGAAAATCTCATCTTGAATTGTAATTCCCATAATCCCCACGTGCCAAGGGAGAGACCAGGTGGAGGCAATTGAATCAGGGGGGTGGTTTCCCCCATGCTGTTCTCGGGTTAGTGAGTGAATTCTCATGAGATCCGATGGTTTTATAAGTGGTTGTTCTGCCTGTGTTCATTCTCCTTCCTGCCACCTTGTGAAGAAGGTGTCTTGCCTCCCGTTCATCTTCCATCATGATTGTGAGTTTCCTGAGGTCTCCCCAGCCATGGGGAACTGTGAGTCAATTAAACCTCTTTCCTTTATTAATTACCCGGTCTCAGGCAGTTGTTTATAACAGTGTGAAAATGGACTAATACAGGCAGCTATAAACTTCCAGACTCACCCAGGATATTAGCTCTGCTATCCCCAGGCTCAGAGGGTGTGAAACCTTCAGTTAGATGCTCTCCCTCCTCCCCAGCTTCAGCCTTGATGGGAGCAGTGCTGTTGGCCAGCAGGTGGAATGGACAGAGAGAGGATGAGAAGGAAGATTAGGGCCCCTTTCCCTTGGGGTAACATTAAAATCTTGGACCCAACATTCTAAGGAATGAGAATGAGTTTAGGAATGAGTTCATTCCAATGAATGAGCTGCATTTAGACTCAACATGAGCAAGGACCTCTCCAGCGACCTAGACTGACTGAGCAGAAAAGCTGCTGGACCTGCAGAAGTTTTCGTCAGGGCAGGGGCAAAATTACTGCATGTGAATAAAGATCAACGAGATAGTGGGAGTCAAGAATAAAATAGTGCTTTTTAATGTCATGGGTTCGGCTTGCTCAACCTGCCAAGTTATTTCATTTGAATAAGATTTTTTAATGTATTAGTTTGTTTCTATTAATATTATGTTTTCTTAGTAATTCCACTGTTTTGGACAAAAAAAAAAAAACCCTTAACAGCTTCCTTTTGCAAATAAAATGGTAGTAGACACATAATTCAGACATTGTGTAAAATTTTATTAGTGAAGATTTTTTCCTGTTTTTTGAAATACTAATATTAAGCTTTTTTAAAATTTTACTTTAAGTTCTGGGATACATGTGCAGAACTTTTTTTTAACTAAGCAATAAATGTTATATTACATATCCTTACAATTACCATATTATTCATCATCCAGAAATGGGACATATTGTCTTTCCACATATGCTGAAATATTTGTTCTCACACAAAAACTATGGTTTTTGGGTAAAAATTTACCTTTTAAGTGAGTCTGACTGAGAAGTTACAATTTGTTTGCTGGTAGGCTGAATCCATCCATAGAGGTATAATTGTCTTTCATATACAGTAGCTTTTTTTTCTGTTTTTTTTTTTTTTAATTTGTATTTGAATTCCTTTAGATAAGCAATGCCCTCTTCTGTCTGCCATTGTCACTGCAAATTCCTTTGCTTTCACTCAGCCTGATTCTTACAGCTGCTTCAACTTCCTGACCCTTACATACTTCGGGGATTTTGACTCCTGCTACAGTTATAATGATCAATATGGGTTTTATATATATTTTTGAAAGACAGTTACAACTTTAATAGGGTTTATATATGAGGAACAGCAGTGTCTACTTGTGGAGTAAATCATATCAATGATTTTTTTTTCCCAAAATCAACATGGAATATATTAAGAGTGATTGATCAAGTAATCCTCCCCTAGGTATAAGAAGCATGCTGTGATATTGAGTCAATTGGTTGCCCAATCACAGACATCTTTCACTGACAGAGTAACAGGTAAGAAAAGGACCGTTTTAATATATGGCACCGATTGCTACAAGAATCGCTTTGAGGATTTCCTGGCATCTTTCTCATTTTTATTATTTTCTTATTTCTTTAAAGAATGCAATTAATTAAGAGCCTCAGCATCAGGGACTTAGCAAAGCTTATTTCCTTCCCAGTATTTTCTATTTGGCTTTATCCCCTATTTGGTGGTGGTTTTTTTTTTTTTTTCAAGACAAGGTCTCACTCTGTCACCCAGGTTGGAGTGTGGTGGCATGATCTCGGCTCACTGCAACCTTTACCTCCTGGGTTCAAGCGATTCTCCTGCCTCAGTTGCCCGAGTAGCTGGGATTACTAGTGTGCACCACCCCACCAAGCTGATTTTTATATTTTTAGTAGATACAGGGTTTCGCCATGTTGGCCAGGCTAGTCTCAAACTCCTGACCTCAAGTGATCTGCCAGCCTCGGCCTCCCAAAGTGCTGGGATTACGGGCGTGAGCCACCGCGCCCGGCCTTTACCCCTATTTGACTGCATACCTTCTTGGGTGATTAATACTTTTACCTCAGTGTCTTTTAATCATAGGAAACACAATAAACTAATCATATTTAGTGCTCCTACAGCAATGCTCATTTTCAAATCATATGAGAAGGCCTTGCTAACTGATGGTCGATGCTCACAGGTGTGTGGGCTTTGAGCAGTCGCTACACCTTCCCTCTTCAGGCATGATGAGAGGATTCCTGCAGCGTTTTGCAAGAGGTAATTATGAGCCTCTCCCAGTCTCTGGTCAACTTCCCTTCCTGGCACAGATTGGCCTCTTTGAAAGGGGGTATCCTTTTCAAGGAGATGCATGATGTGATTTTATAATTGGTAGGCGAAATTGGGGTCAAGGGAGTCCACTGAAGATTAAAAGCTCAGGCTGTCTCTGTGAAGCTGCTGTGGACAGGAGGACAAACAATTTGATTTCCCTTTGTTCGCAGGGGTTGTGAGGATGCTTCTGGATTCCAAGTCAAGTTCATGACTTATTCATAAACATATATTTAACTCATGTAACGTTAGAAACAGCTCTCTGAAGCCAACCCAAGTGCAATAACATCCCTCCCAATGGGGTGGATTCTACTTAATTTTGCTGGTGCTGGCAGTGTGTGCATATTATTTTGACTGGGAACATATTATTAGTGAGGATGGCCCTACATCCTGGTAATAATACATGTTAGCCCTTTAGAAGGCAATCAAATAAATGTGACAGTAGCCAAGTGTGTTAGTGTCCCGAAAGAGGTGTTCTGCGACACGGGGAAGGCTATCTCCATAACGAAATCAAGAAATATTCTTTTCCCAGCCTTGTGTTCTCTCTGACTCATTTTATTTTTATTATTTGTAGTTTTTGAGACAGGGCCTCACTCTGTCACTCAAGCTAGAGTACAGAGGCACGATCACAGTCACTCCAGCCTCCATCTCCAGGACTCAAGCAATCCTCCCACCTCAGCCTCCTGAGTAACTGGGACTACAAACGCATGCCATCATGCCTAGCTAATTTTTTTGTATTTTTTTTGTAGAGATGAAGTTTCATCATGTTGTCCAGGCTGATATCCAACTCCTAGGCTCAAGTGATCCTCCTACCTTGGCCTCTCAAAGTGCTGGGACTACAGACATAAGACACTGCACCTGACCTCTGATTCATTTTAACTCATAAAACTTTGAATATGCAATTGTGTTTAATTATCTTTCTTACGTTTTCTGTGACAGGTTTTCTGGACTTGACCAACAAAAGCGGTTAATATATTCCCTATAGTTAATTTTTATTTCCTGGAAGTTTAGGAGGCAGAAGAAAAGTGTGAAAGATATTGAGGAGGAAGTTTCAGTTAATACACACTCACACGCAAGCCCAGCCCCTGCAGTCATATCCTTCACTTTGCTTTGAGTGACAAATGGTGGTGACTTGTCACAGTGCTCTTAGTCTGAGGGAGGCTGGATGGGGTCTCACTGCACAGGGAGCACAGAATGGGAGCACGGCGGCTGGGGAGAGCCCTCCCCCCTTCCCGGCGCCAGCCTGATGGAGAGGAGATGAGACAGGCCAGGAGGAGGTCAGGTTGTGGCTGCAGATTAGGAAGGACCTGGTAGGGTTTTGATTGGGTTTTGGCTTTAATTCTGGGTGAGAGTGGAAGTCCTGGGAGGATTCTGAGCAGAGGAGTGACAAGCTGACATTTGGACGCCATCATGGTGCCTGCTGAGCCAGGGACAGAGTGTCGGGGCCCAGGCAGAGCAGGGCGGGGCTGGCGCAGGTGTCTGTGTGTGTGGTGGTGCAAGGGCATGGTGATGGGGGTGGTGATGGGGGATGGTGATGGGGGTGGTCTGCAGATTCTGGAGATGCTTTGAGGCTAGAGCCAACAGGATTTCCTAAGGATGGGCATTGGGTGGGAGAGAATGAAGAAAGTTGAAGATGGCTCTGGATTTTATTTTGTTTGTTTTTGTTTGAGCAATTCTAGTGAATGCAATTGTCATTAACAGCATAGGAAAGACTATGAGGGAAGCATGCTTGGCAGGGACAATAAAGGAATAGCTTTTCAGCTTTGGGCAGGTTAAGTTTGAGATGCCAGTCATATATCCCACAAGAGAGGCCATGCAGTTTGTTGGATGACGAGGTGTGAGTTCAGCTGGGCATGGTGGCTTGTGCCTGCAACTCCAGCACTTTTGAGAGGCTGAGGTGGGCAGGTCAGCTGAAGTCAGGAGTTCGAGGCCACCCTGGCCAACATGGTAAATCCCCATCTCTACTAAAAATACAAAAGTTAGCCAGGTGTGGTCGCGGATGCCTGTAATCTCAGCTACTGCAGAGGCTGAGGCAGGAGAATCACTTGAGCCCAGGAGATGGAGGTTGTGGTCAGCTGAGACTGCGTCACTGCACTCCAGCCTGGGTGACGGAGTGAGATTCTATCTCAAAACAACAACAAGAACAGCCAGCTTTGAGTTCAGGGGAGACATCGGGAATCATTAGTGAGAAGGGATGGGGTCTAGAGAGAACAGGGCAGAGGTAGTGGTCTGCGTCGGAAAGCAAGCTAGCAAAAACAACACAAAACAAAACAAAAAAAGGGTGGTGAGGAGAAGCCAGCTTGGACATGGAGGTGGCTCTCTGGAGGAGAAGCAGGGCAGGGTCGTGTCCTTAAGCTGAGGAAAGAAGGAGAGATGTTTCAAGGAGGAACAGCTGCACCCAAGCTACTGAGGGGCCACACAGGAGAAAACTGACAAGACACTGCTGAGGTTAGGCAGCGATGGGACATTGAGCACCATGGTGAGAGACTCAGGGAGGTGGTGGGAGAGAAATGATGATGGAAAGGGGTTTAAGAATGACCAGGAAAGATTTAAAACAGAGGGAGCAGATGATTCTTTTTCAGGAGTTTTATTGTGAAGTAAAAAGAGAGGAGGTTGTAGCTGGAGGGGATAAAGGTTATGAGTTTTGTTTTGTTTACCTTGCAAGACGGGAGAAAACCCCAACACTATTATAAACCAATGGGAATAATCTGGGAGAGTGAAAAAATTATGTCAAGAGGAGACGGGAGAGTTGCTGGGCAGTTTTCTTCAGGGCCTTGAGGTGAATGGGATTCAGTGAGCACCTAAGTGCAGGGTCCCTGAGAAGGGAGGGGGAACCTAGTGGTGAGTGTCTGTGGCTCCTGCGGGAGGGAGAAGATGTCAGGCCTTTCTGAACTGGCTTCTCGGCTTTTTCCTCCTCTATCAGCTGGTATCAGTTCGCTGGGATGCTGGCTCCTGAAGTGGGACCATCAGGAGACACGTCCCTTCCTGAAATTTGGAAATTGTTTTAGGAGAGGGAGAAGAAAACTTGTCAACAAAAGAACACAAGGAAACAAGGCATGTGAGTGAGTGAGTGTGCATGTGTGGTGTGCACGTGAGTGTGGGATGCAGGGACAGGACCCATAGTCTAGAAAATGTAAGAGGCTAAAAAACTGCATGTGAGAGCCCACACAAAGGGTTATCTATAGACTAATCCTAAAAAAAAAAGCCTCAATTTCTATGGTGGAAATATCTGGCCACCTTAGAAAATGGTGGGAGGATAGTGGGCTACAGGATTTCTGTGTCAAATTAATAAGAATAAGGGAAAATGAGACATGATTTTGATCTGTGTTCCACCTTGGAGTGCTCCTTTGGTTCGCAGTGGTCTAGGTGTGTGGAGCACAGCCTCAAACACAGATATGCATTTATGCAGGACATGGTCCCTGAACAGACTCAAGCTCTACCAGGGACCTATGGGCATCCCTGTCATAGTTTTATATTAGTATACAGTTTCCTGACTTTGATGGTTGTGCCATGGTTATATAAGACAGCGTCCCTGTTCTGAGAAAATACATGGAAATCTTCAGGGATAGAGTGTCTTGACGTCTCCAACTTACTCATGAATGGTGTGGGAAAAATAGAGAGAGACACTGATAAAGTGAATGGGACACAATACAATATTACACTTATATTTTTGCTAATTTTCTCTAAGTTTGAAACATGATCAAAGTTGCTGAGTGGGGTGGGCCTGGCAGTCTGTTTCCCAGGCTCTGCCTCGTCCTCTAGAGCTTTATGAAGCTCCCATCCTTCCAGTGGCAGATGGAGCATGCTTGGGGTGGGAGGTGCGGTCTGTATCAACCCCCTTCCCCATTTTTAATATGAACAATGGACACTTTCTCAATATTGGGCGAATATCATTGTGCAAGCAACAGTAAGACAGGCCTTCTGCCCTTTCTTCAGCTCAGACTGTGGCTCCCAATTCCTGCTCTGTGGGGTTTCTGCAGCCATCCTGCCCACCCTATGTATCGGTGTCTTTTCCAAGTGTGAACGATTAAACAGCTCTGCTGTGTGGAAGCATAACTTCTGATGGCTTCTTACTCTGAGGAAGAAACACCTCTCACATTCGCACTGTCTTCCCCCCTTAAAAAGGTCGGGTATACCGGTATCTTTGACTGATGTTTCTCCTGGAGTTTGGAGTGAAGCTCTGCAGAGTAGAAGATATTGATGGGCTTCGTAATTATTAGGAAGACACGAGATGAGATTGGTATCTTAAATTTATTTAGAAATTCATCACTGTAGAATTATTGGCCATAATCCAAACAAATTCTTGCACAAAAGTACACATTTGGTTGGCCTACATAGTCTTTAGAATGAAGGAATATTTTGTTATGCAATTCTCGGTTTATCCTGAAATTCTGCCCCCTGTACTTTAGATCTGCCTCTGCACATTAGGTTTGAATGGAATCGAATAGGACCGTTACGTTGTCTGAATTTATCCTACTTTATGTAATTGAAGGTTAGAAGCTTTTAAATGCACCATGGAAATAGATGCACATTTCTGTAGGATAAAGCTTCTCCAGAGAGCTTTCTAATGAAGCCACATGGTTGGCATATAGTAGATGCTAAAAAATTTGTGTTTTATCCTAGGTTTGTATCTAATTTTCAGGAGAACTAGACAGTAGGTGATTACCTTTCTGTCCACTGCTTAAGTATGGGTTACAAAGAACAAGCTTCTGGGGCTTAATTCAACAAAAGCCAATAAACAACATTATGGACTAACCTGGTAACAATGATAATAATTTAATAATATATATTATTATTATAGTAATATAGTGCTTACTGTGAGCCCGGCTGGTCTCAGTATAGGCCTATTTATTTATTTATCCCTTAAGACAGTGCAATAGCAGCACAATCAGGCAGGTATTGTTACAAACACTACTTCCTAGTGGAGAAGGCTGAGGCCTGCAGGTTAAGTCTGCAAGCTGGTAAATGGTAAAGTAGGATTCAAACTCAGGGGCTCTCCTTCCAGGGTCTGGGATCTTAGTTACTAGCCTACCTTCTCTGAGCGGCAGTCTATAGACTGGACAGTCTCACGGGCACAGTAGGTAGTCACAGATGATGGGGCGAAGCTGCGGGTGTTAGGTGGCGTTTCTGGGTAGCCAAGTCCTGCTCAGATGAGTGAAAGAGACCTAAAAGAGGCTTGTGTTTGGTTCGACAGGTGGACCCAGGCAACTGGGGGTCCAGGGTCAGTACTTTCGCGGAGACGGGCGCTCAGCGGAAGTCCGTGGTGGTTACGGTAATGACTATCGTACCTTACGATCCTCACTGGCTCTTTGTAGAATTCCCTCCTCGCCTACCTTTGAAGTAGGGGGTGGGCATGGGACTGGGTTCAACCAATCAGATGTGACTTTGCTTTTAGAGGAAGCTTGTTAGTAAACCTCCTCCTATTCTCTTTCCTCTGACTCAGAAACGTGATTTTCCAGAAAGCAGGGACTGCGTTAGCCTAGGTCTAGAAACAAGGATCAGGAAAGAAAAGCCCTTTCAGCCCCTATTCCTACCCTAGATGGGGATGTGGTCAGAGGAAAACACAAGACTTGTTGTCTGAGCCCCCTGAGAGTTTGGGATTGTTTGTTCCTGAACGAACTTAGCCTGTACTGACTGATACACAGCCCACTGTCCTCTGGGAGGAAGTATCTCCATACCCAGTCCAAGCAGAAGTGAGGTGTGAGAAAATAAATGGAGAGTTTTCATGTCTGATCCTGAAGTGCTTGGTTAGTTCTCAGGAATAACATCCTCAGCTTTTTACGTCAGCATAGAACCAAGATTAATGGGTGCTGATCCTGGTGTGACCATTACAGACTCAGGCACTTGCTGAAACCCTCAGGAGCCTTATGGGATGAAGAATCAGAATTGGGCATGATATAGGATGCACTCCTCATGAGACAGGGAGAATGATCTTGTAAGGTTACTCAGAAACTTTTCTTTTTTTTTTTTTGAGACTCTGTCACCCAGGCAGGAGTGCAATGGTGTGGTCTCGGCTCACTGCAACCTCCGCCTCCCGGCTTCAAGTGATTCTCCTGCCTCAGCCTCCCAGGTAGCTGGGATTACAGGTGCGTGTCACCACACCCAGCTAATTTTTGTATTTTTAGTAGAGATGGGGTTTCGACATATTGGTCAGGCTAGTCTTGAACTCCTGATCTCAAGCAATCCACCCGCCTCGGCCTCTGGAAGTGCTGGGACTACAGGTGTGAGCCACCTCACCCGAGCAGAAACTTTTCTTTTGAGGTTTGATTTTAACTCCTCGGATGGGATTGGAAAGTTGCTGCACTTCCCTACTCCCCAAGAAAGCCAGATTTCATTTTGTGGAACCGGTGAGAGGAGGCCACGCGCTGCTGCATGTCTCAGAGGCCTGTCACTCATGGGGTCACGGATGACTCCGCAAGTCGTCTCAGAAGCCAGCCCAGCTGCGATGATACCTGGGGGCCGGACAAACAGACCCATGATGGACGTAGAGAGTGGATTTCGGGGACTGCGAGGCGTTGTGCCTGGCTCCCGTGTCACGCTGCCTTCACTGTGGGCAGATGCAGACGCCGGAGCAAGGTGACTGCTAGCTGCAGGCGTGACCATCCGCTGCAGTGGAGGGCCTGCCTCGGCTGTCTTGAGCCGGACAAACAAGGCTTATTCAGGGGACTGTTGGAGTGTTCGTGTCCCCTCCCACCAGGTATAAAATGGCCCACTTTCACCCAACACGGAGGAGGAGAGTCAAAGAGGTTCCTGGAATCGTGTACAGGTGGCAGTCAATGGGAGAGCCAGGTCATGTACCTCCCCAGCTTACCTGTGACGATTTCCTCATTTTACAACACTCAGTCTGACATTAGTTCAGTGGAAGAAGATGAGAAATGGGAAAGTTGCAAGGAAGCTGCTGCGTTCACCTCGTGAAAGGCCACCGGGCTCCCACGGTGGAGGCAGCAGATGGGGAAGGGAGGAGGCCAACGTGCAGGCCCAATGTCTCCTCGGTGTGACCCAGAGAATGCGGGTATCATGGATGGAAATGGGCCAGGGAGGAAACATGGTGCCCCAGGTCAGGGGACTATGCTTATTCTGTTCACTTTGTCATCAAGCTCCCAGCACAGTGCCAGGCAAATATTTGATAGTCAATATTTGTTAAATATTTTAAAATAAATGAATACATGAGTGCATGAACAAATGACATGGGGGTGGCTGTGGGATGCTGACTGCAGGAACTGCTGCTCAAGAGCGAGGTCTTGGCTGGAGAGAGAGTTCCAGTTCATCTAAAGCAAAGTGCTGGGAGCACATGTGGTCTTCAGGAGAGGCAGCACAGCACAGACGGAAATGTGCTCTGCTTTTGGGAAGGGAAGCTGGATTTTCAGAAGAGAGCATAGGGTGCTCGTCTCTGTGGCCAATGAAAACCCTCAATAGTTTGATTTTAAAATGTCACTTACTGTTAGATTTGTCACCTGAACACTCTCTGAGGCATAAAGTTGAAACTGTAGGCTGCGCGCCGTGGGTCACCTGTAATCCCAGCACTTTGGGAGGCCGAGCTGGGTGGATCATTTGAGGTCCGGAGTTCGAGACCAGCCTGGCCAACCTGGTGAAACCCCATCTCTACTAAAAATACAAAAAGCTGGGAGTGGTGGTACATGCATGTAATCCCAGCTACTTGGGAGGCTGAGGGAGGAGAATCGCTTGAACCAGGGAGGTGGAGGTTGCAGTGAGCTGAGATTGCGCCACTGCACTCCAGCCTGGGTGACAGAGCAAGACTCCATCTCAAAATAAAAAAAAGAAAAGAGAAAAAAGAAAAAAAAGTTGAAATTGTAAATATGGATTCAATCTTTGATTTGCTCCTAGTTTAGTTATCAGGCAAGAAAAATAATGATCACCTAAGAGGTATATAACCATGATTGCCTGGAATTGAAGTGGCTGTTTATTTTTCAGAATGCCATCATTTCATCAGGCAGTTTCTACTTGCCTTCAAATGCCTGTGTTTCTTCTGTGAAGTTTGAGGGGATAATGCAGCTCAGTGCTACACAATGCATTTGTATTTCTCTTTCATTGAAAGCTTTTGCTGTCATATTTGAAAATCAGCTCAGACGGACACTGCAATTTGCTAAAATCAATATAATTAGAGAAAAAATTGATGTGCTGAGAAGAGTTCAACGCAAGGAACTGATGAGCATGATTGAAATGCCTAATGAGCTGTGTGTCTTCAAAGTCTAGGATCTGAACCACAGTGAAACCTGGACTTTTGTAATGGAAATTTTATGTTAACGTTCTGTTCCTCCACGGCAGAGCAATACTTGAAAAAAATCTGGCTCTGGAGTTGTGTCCCTTTTAAAGAGTGGTTCAGGCTTCACACCATGACACCACAATGTCCTACTCACACCTAATTTCTTCGCATCATTAACCTTTACCTCTTTGGTTGTGGTGGGGTGTAAAACTGTTAAATTCTTTTGAGTCCCAATTTGTGCTTTTAACAGCTGAATTCTCCTAGGTGTTTCTCTAAGGCTTTTGTAGAAATCACTATTTCCTTTCTATCAGCGCAGGGAGCAATCTGTGTCATGTGATTTGGCTTTGTGTCCCCACCCACATCTCACCTTGAATTGTAATAATCCCCAAGTGTCAAAAGCAGGACCAGGTAGAGATAATTGAATCATGAGGGTGGTTTCCTCCATGCTGTTCTCGTGATAGTGAGTGAGTCCTCACAAGATCTGATGGTTTTCCGGGCCTCCCGCTTCGCTTGGCACCCATTATCTCTCTTGCTGCCCTGTGTAAGTTTCCCAAGGTCTCCCCAGCCATGCATGCAGAACTGTGAGTCAATTCAACCTCCTTTTTTTTTTGAGACAGAGTTTCGCTATTGTTGCCCAGAGTACAATGGTGCATCTTGGCTTACTGCAACCTCTGCCTCCCAGGTTCAAGCGATTCTCCTGCCTCAGCCTCCCATGCAGCTGGGATTACAGACACCTACCGCCACACCCCGCTAACTTTTTGTACTTTTAGTAGAGACTGGAGTTTCACCATGTTGGCCAGGCTGGTCTCGAACTCCTGGCCTCAAGTGATCTGCCTGCCTCGGCCTCTCAAACTGCTGGGATTATAGGCATGAGCCACTGCACCCAGCCCTCTTTTCTTTGTAAATTACCCAGTCTCGCTATTTCTTCATAGCAGGATGAGGACAAACTAATACACAGTGTTTAAACGAAGATTTTGGTTTGCGCACAGAAAAGCAAATCGTGTGTTGTTTGTGGCTGCAACATCATTTATCAGATGGATAACTAGGCTTTGTCCTGTAAAGCCCCTGATTCTGTCTGAGGCCCAGGATTTTGGCGTGGAGAGTTCATGGGGGCTGGGCGCAGTAGCTCATGCCTGTAATCCCAGCACTTTGGAAGGCTGAGGCAGGCAGATCACTCCAGGTCAGGAGTTCAAGACCAGCCTGGCCAACATAGTGAAACCCTATCTCTACTAAAAATACAAAAATTAGCCAGGCATGATGGTGGGTACCTATAATCCCAGCTACTGGGGAAGCTGAGGCAGG
The DNA here is from genome assembly GCF_000001405.40 of Homo sapiens. Lineage (NCBI taxonomy): Eukaryota > Metazoa > Chordata > Mammalia > Primates > Hominidae > Homo > Homo sapiens. Next base: position 6,049,427 of record NC_000008.11, on the reverse strand, counting down.
AGAATCGCTTGAACCCAGGAGGCAGAAGTTGCAGTAAGCTGAGATCATGTCACTTCACTCCAGCCTGGGAGACAGAGTGAGACTCCCTCTCAAAAAAAAAAAAAAAAAATAGTTCATGGGGTCTCATTCTTAGCGCATCCTATCAGCAGTGAGAGGCAGGGAACAGGAAGTCTGCTGGCGTGGGAGAGATGATCAGTCGCGCTTCTCAGGAGCCGTGTGAAGAGGTTCACTGAATGAACCAGAACTTTTCATGGAATACGTTTTCTTAGCAGGAAATCACAGCCAAAGAGGTGGGGAAAATGAGGAGGGAATAGGCTTTGAGCCAGGCAGCGGTGGAGGCCACCCGGGCTCGGCACAGCTGGGGACCTTTAGCTGCTGCTCCACCTCCCCATCACCTTGTCTTCTTGTGGGAAGGGATGATGAGGCCTCCCCATGTGGTGACTGGGAAGACAAATGGGACATAATATTTTAACGGTGTCGAAAAGAAGGCAGCATCCCTGTAGTGGGTACAAGCTTCTTCTTATCTGGCTTCTCAGCACAAAGACACACAACTGTAGTCCTTGGCTTAGACTTCACCCTGGAAAACTCTGGAGGGTTTTAAAGAATTTGGATATTCATAGAGATAAGGAATATAAGCAAATGACTGAAACTGTGCTGTGGGAAGTGGATTTAGAGTAACAATCACATACACATTCTCCCACACGCACACAGCAGCCTGATGACCACGCGCCGGGAAGCTGGTATCTCCCTCTGCATTCAGCCTCTCCACATCAATGCCGTTGACTAAGGGCATCTATGGGGAAGGATACTACCTTCCTCCTTGAAACCTGCTGGGCTTATTTCTGTTTTCTGTGCTGCTCTGTGCTGCTTCTGCTTCTTGTTTTCAAGGCACTTAATAGAGTTGGCAGAAACTTCCAAGCAGTTGCTATATCGCAATGTTGGGATTTTAAGCAAGTGTTTTTCTCAGTCGATTTCAAAGGAGGGTTCACCTCCTTTGAATACACTCTGTAAGGCCACAGTGCTAGATGCTTCTTATCGAGGAGGCCTCAATTCCGTCCATGTTTGACCTGTGTTTCTGCAGTGGGTCGCTCTGCAAGGGGTGCTGTGCTTCACCCTGCTGCCTTGGTTTTCTGCTCATGATTCAGTGGTGGACGTGGCTTCTGCCTCAAGTCGTTTTTTTTTTTTTTTTTAGACGGAGTTGCGCTCTCGTCACCCAGGCTCGAGTGCAATGGCGTGATCTTGGCTCACTGCAACCTCTGCCTCCCGGGTTCAAGCCATTCTCCTGCCTCAGCCTCCCAAGTAGCTGGCATTAGAGGTGCCTGCCACCATGTCCAGCTAATTTTTGTATTTTTACTAGAGACGGGGTTTCACCATGTTGGTCAGGCTGATCTCCAACTCCTGACCTCAGGTAATCCACCCACCTTGGCCTCCCAAAGTGCTGGGATTAGATGCGTGAGCCCCCAAACCCAGCCAGTCATTTTTTTGATAATAGTAAATTTCAGGTTATGTTGGAAGTGAGAAGGATCTTTTATGGAGCAGAAACATAGTTGTGGGACCTCGATAAGCAGTGTCACTAAACACATGCTGTAACTCACACGGACTTACCATCTGCATGTCACCTGCAGGAGGGCATCTGCTGCCTGGCCTATTGCAGTGGTGCTTTGGTAATGGTGCTGGAGAAGCTGGTGATGAATCCGAGGAAGATGCTGTGGTCACTGTGGCCCCATGACTGCTCAGGACCCAGTCTCCCTCCTCTGCACAGATCTTATGTAATCCTGCCAAAACTCACACAATGCAGGCATTCATTTCACAACGAAAAACTCAAGAGAAGTTTAGGTGACATTGCTTATATATAGACAAGTTGAAATTTGGACCCAGATATGACAGAAGGCAAAGGTCTTGTTCATTCAATTTACCTCACTCTACCATCTTTTCCTGTGAAGGAGTAACTTTTTTCATTCCTTTTTCCCTGTTATTTCCTCTTCTGACTCTTATTTAGTTTTTAATTTTATAGCTGGATATTTTGATCTTGATTAAGCTTTAATATGAACCATGCTACTGGAGTATTTTAAGCAGAAAGCACTGGCATTTCTTTGGGTATGGGTCAGGTGGGCGGGTATTATGGACTGTATGTTTACGTCCCCCCCAAATTTCATCTGTTGAAATTCTAACCCTCAATGGAGAGGTAGTAAAAGGTGGGGCCTTTGGGAGATGAGTAGGTCAGGAGGGTGCAGCTCTCATGAGTGGGATTAGTGCCCTTATAAGAGGAGCTAGGAGATCATGCCTCCCTCTCTGCCACACAAGGATACAGTGGGAAGGTGGCTGTCAGATCTGCCAGCACCCTGATCTAGGACTTTCCAGTCTTCTGAATCTTAAGAAATAACTATTTGTTGTTTAAGCCACTGAAGTTTTCGGGGATAGTGGCCAGAACTAAAACAGTAGGAGGGTATGGACAAGATGGCCACCGAATCAGTCTCCCTCATGGACAACTGTGCCTAACACAGTACCCAGCACTTAGTCGATACTTAATAAATGCTGGTTGAATGAACAAGGACATGGATATGAAAGCACCATCATTACACCAGTCAGTGATTTCAGTCCTTTAAAGGTGTCAGGTTTGCATGTTGGTCCATTGCCAGGTGTGGCAGGTGTGTTGCACGCTGCAATAATCCCTTCAGTAAAGGCCTCCTTGCCGCAGTTTTGGGGGCAGCCGTGCACAGTCTCCTGCTCTCAGCCCCTTCAGAGGTCACTGCAGCTGCAGAGAGGCACCTGACCCCAGTTCTGCCCTCTCAGATGGCCCCTGGCTGATGGATGCAGGAGGGTGAGCCCCCAGCTTCTGGCCCTACTCTGGATGGCTCTGCAGTGCCCATCCAAGGGCTGAGCTCCCAGTAGTTAACAAGGCTTTTTGGGGTCTGCCTCCCAGTTCAACTTCTGCTGTGCCCACTTCTGCCTCCTTTCTTCTCTTCCTCCTTAATAAACACACTGCACATCAATAGGCTCAGAGTGGGCTTTCTGGAAACCCAGTCTGGAGCACCAGGTGGCTGAGTATGGGCGGATGTTTTTTTTTTTTCTCCCTCCAGGCTTCATACTTGTCATTCCCAATGCTGCTGTTAGGTGATTGTGTATAAGGAAACATAATGAATAGGCAATATTTAGAACACTCTTGATGTTCTATAATATGTCCATATAGAGTAAAGATCTATCATTAAATATGGATAATTTGCATTTATATATAAACATAAAGCCAAACTTTTATTTGAAACAGATGATAAAGAAATGGCGATGCCTAAGTACCTCTGAGTGCTTTCTCTTTAGTGTAACTGAAATTAATCACAATTATGCATACTTTATTTGTCTTAGAGTGTGATGTTTCCTGCTTATACTTTTCTCAGTATATTTTTCTTTAGAATTTCAAAGATGTTGCAATATACAGATAAGAACTTGATGTGAACATTGCTTTTTGTCCTATGACACTTGATTCTGAGTTTAATCCAGTTTTATGTTCCCAACATAAAAAGATGAAAAATGATATTACGCCCACTCAATATTACTATGTGTGTCTTTTCAGTGGAAATGATCAGTTATGTCTCCTTCCAGAGATTATTCTGTTTATCAACAAACAGTTACAGCTTGTTCTTTCTCTCTTTTCTCTCTGCTTCTTTTTCTCTGCTCAGACTATGACAAAGAGCATCACAGCAACCATATGATGTGCCTGTATTTGGCTACATGTCAGCGTCCCTTCAAAGGTTCCCATGTCTAGAGTGTGGGGATCATGTTTTGATTCTCCTTCCCCAGCAGAGTGCTCAACATGTAACTGGGGATCAGCAACTTTTCCATAAGTGGAAGTGAGACGTGACAGCGTGCTGGCAGCCCTCACAGCCCTCGCTCGCTCTAGGCGCTTCCTCTGCCTCGGCTCCCACTTTGGCGGCACTTGGGGAGCCCTTCAGCCCGCCGCTGCACTGTGGGAGCCCCTTTCTGGGCTGGCCAAGGCCAGAGCTGGCCCCCTCAGCTTGTGGGGAGGTGTGGAGGGAGAGGCGCGGGCGGGAACAGGGGTTGCACCCGGTGCTTGCGGGCCCGTGCGAGTTCCGGGTGGGCGTGGGCTCCGCGGACCCAGCACTTGGAGCAGCCGGCTGGCCCCACCGGCCCCAGGCGGTGAGGGACTTAGCACCTGGGCCAGCAGCTGCTGTGCTCAATTCCTCCCCGGGCCTTAGCTGCCTTCACGCGGGGCAGGGCTCGGGACCTGCAGCCCGCCATGCCTGAGCCTCCCCCAGCCTCTGTGGGCTCCTGTGCGGCCCCAGCCTCCCCTGAGAGTGCCACCACCTGCTCCAGGGCGCCCAGTCACATCAACCGCCCAAGGGCTGAGGAGTGCGGGCGCATGGGGCAGGACTGGCAGGCAGCTCCACCTGCAGCCTCCGTGTGGGATCCACTGGGTGAAGCCAGCTGGGCTCCTAAGTCTGGTGGGGACTTGGAGAACCTTTATTTCTAGCTAAGGGATTGTAAATAGACCAATCGGCACTCAGTATCTAGCTCAAGGTTTGTAAACACACCAATCAGCATCCTGTGTCTAGCTCAGGGTTTGTGAATGCACCAATGGACACTCTGTATCTAGCTACTAGGGTGGGGACTTGGAGAACCTTTGTGTCCACACTCTGTATCTAGCTAATCGGGTGGGGACCTGGAGAACCTTTGTGTCTAGCTCAGGGATTGTAAACGCACCAATCAGTGCCCTGTCAAAACAGACCACTCAGCTCTACCAATCAGCAGGATGTGGGTGGGGCCAGATAAGAGAATAAAAGCAGGCCGCCCAAGCCAGCAGTGGCAACCCGCTCGGGTCCCCTTCCACAATGTGGAAGCTTTGTTCTTTTGCTCTTTGCAATAAATCTTGCTGCTGCTCACTCTTAGGGTCCACACTACCTTTATGAGCTGTAACACTCACCGTGAAGGTCTGCAGCTTCACTCCTGAAGCCAGCGAGACCACGAACCCACCGGGAGGAACGAACAACTCCAGATGCGCCGCCTTAAGAGCTGTAATACTCACCACGAAGGTCTGCACCTTCACTGCTGAGCAAGCGAGACCACGAACCCACCAGAAGAAAGAAACTCCTAACACATCCGAACATCAGAAGGAAGAAACTCCAGACGTGCCATCTTAAGAGCTGTAACACTCACCGTGAAGGTCTGCAGCTTCATTGTTGAAGTCAGTGAGACCAAGAACCCACCAATTCCGGACACAGAAGGACGAGGAATGAAGGGTGTTCCGGTGGGTACATGTTGGCTCCTTTGCTCAGCTCAAGTGACCTCTGAAGCCTGTTCTACCTTTCACAGTGGGAAGAGAGGAAAGGGTCACTAGAGTCATGTGTAAAATGTGGCTCCATCTTCTCAAATCAGGGATGAATGCCTGCCTATTTCTGGATATGTCAGGGAAGGCAGACACAGAGAGTTAGAGAAAGGGAAAGAGAATGAGACAGAGAGAGACAGAGATAAGAAGGGGGAGAGGGAGTGAAAAAGAGAGAAGGAGAGGGTAAGGGAGAGGAAGGGAGGGAAAGGGGGAGAGAGAGAAAGAGGGAGGGAGAGAGAGAAACAGAGGAGACAGGGCTGAGATACCAGACAGTGGATTTAGAGTTCCTGGTTCCCACAAGGCTCTTTGTGTGAATCAGAACAAGTTTTTCCCACTGGACAGCTGCATCCCTATGGGTCCATGGCTTTCCCACTGGGCTGCATCTTGATATGAATTAGAAAATGTCATCTTTAAGTTGGAGATTCTCCACCTCAGCACTGTGGACATTTGGGCCAGATAATTCTGCTTTGGTGGGCTGTCCTGTGTAGAATGTTTATAGTAGCATTCCTGGCCATTACTCACTAGGTGCCAGTAGAATGTATATCAAATTGTGACAATCAAAAATGTGTTCAGGTATTGCCAAGTGCCTCCTGGAAGGCAAAATTGCTCCCTGTGAGATCCGCTAACTTAAGTGAACATAGCTGCGTGCAGGAGTGCATGGTTTGGAGAAAGGATTGTAGGTGGGTTTTTAGTCGTTCCCCAACGACTTTCTGGGCTCCAGTTGCTTCCTTGGCCAGGTACACTTGTGCAGTGCACAATCTCCACAACTGTACATAGCAGTCCTGCTGGTTCCTGTGCATTCCTGTGTCATGGCTGAATCTCTTCCACTGGGTTCTCTGGGACACTCTTGAGTCCTTAAAGCAAATGTGCCCTTTATACATTGTCTGTCTTGACTTTAGTTTTATTTGTAGGTGAACAGCCATTGTTCTCTTCTTATCCCTCCATCTCTGTTTGTGTTTTATCAGAAATTTCAAAAGATGCTACTCTGTTTATGTTAGCACAAGTAGCTACTGTGTGTGTTTCGAAACTTTTTGCAAGTGTGAAAGTGTTTGGTTTGAAAGGTGGTACCTGTATTCAACACTCATCAAATCTCTTCTTCAAGGGCCTTTTCTTTTTTCTCTGACCTTTTATTTTTGGACCAAACACCTCTAAGACACCATAGAGTGTATCAGTTTCCTTACAAAAATGTGGCATCGTTCACTTCATTAACGCTGTTTGATCTTTGACAAGTGATAAAGGTGTGATATGAAACATAATTTCTCATAACTTGAAGATACTCCAATTAGCATATATGAGATGGGAAAAAATAAAGAGGGTATTTTCTAATTAATTGAAAATCATGCTTAGATTTAGAATGGTGTTTCCCAAACTATCAGGTCTGTAAGTTCACAAGAAAGAATCACCACCATTTTTAAGTAACAAAAATAAAATAATATTTTGAACAAGTTGTTTTTATTTCTTCTTATTATTTTAAACAAGTTATTATTGAAAGGGTGATCATGATTGCAGTTTCTCCCTGCAGTATCTGTTACCAGGCTCACAGGTGCAAAGTTGGAGTGCTAGGTGAGATTCCGCAAGTGTCCAGGCTCTTTTCTTTCTATCGAATGAAAAATCTTTACTCTCAATTATAGGTTGTCAGGAATGAGAGCAATTGTTTGGTGGCTCTGTAATACAGTTTTGGATATTTTATCAAATATGGCCCCGGAAATTATAGAGCATTTTCTTACTCAAGAAAACGTTCAGACACTTGAGACACTAAATCGATGAGTATCTATTGCTCTCAGAGGCACACTGAATGTTTGAGCTTTCAAGGTTGCAGGGAGTGAATCCCTAATTCATGTCTGAGCTGCATTTGGGCCTAAAAGTATTCTTTTTCCATGTTCGATTATAGTGTTGGAATGTGACTTCTAAAGATGCTCCATAATATGTCATTACATTTGCTCCAGTGAGAAAAGAAAAGCTCTTCCCAGATCAGCCCTCACCTCGGGTCCCCAGCCACACTGGCCTTTCTGGACTAGCCATCCTGGGACCTGCTCATCCCTGTGTGTTTGCACTCATCTCTCCTTAGTTCTGTTTGCATGCCTGGCTCTTTTGCATCTTTAGATCTGTCCTCAAATGTCACCCCTCCAGAGAGGCTTTTTCTAAAGTGGTGCCCCTTGGTCACTCTCATTCCCATCACCCTGTTTAATTGCTCCCCATCATTCATTGCAATCAGTAGTGACTTTGTTGGCTTGTTTACTATGTTTTCCCACTAGAAAATAAGATCCCCAAACTTGGGGCTGCATTGCGTCCACAGCTGTGTTTCCAGTGCCTGGAACACAATAGGTGCTTGATAGAGAAGACTGGATTTCTAAATGGTTACTTCTTCCCGCTAGACAGTACCTTTTAAATCCTGTAAATGTATTTAGATTTTGGTTTCTTCTCTGCCTTTTTTAGACGAAAAACTAGTTTTCGATGGAGAACATTATTTTGCACTTTTTCTTCCTGAAAAATAAACCTGGTTTATCAGGGAGATGACTATACTTTCTTTGAAAATGATGTGAGGGCCTTGATGGCTTTATGCTGCTCTTTAGAAAAATCTCACAACTTTCAATCCACTGGGACGCAGGAGCACATGGAACATTGGTCCATTAAAGTCCAATTTTCAAATAATTGCTATTGGATTTTTTTTTAATCTTTCTTTCTTTTTCAACTGTGTGGAAGAAATCACACTTTTGGATGAATTGTCCCAACACATGTAATTTCAAAGTATATGCTTCCATGAAAGTCCTGCTCACAATTGTTATAGGCTGTGTCCCCCCCAAATTTATATGTTGTAGCCCTAATCCCCAATGTGATTTTATTTGGAGATAGAACCTTTAAGGAGGTAATTCGAGCTAATGGGGTCACGGATGTGGGGCCCTAATCAGATAGGACTGGTGTCCTTATAAGAAAATAAACAGACATCACTATCTCTTTCGCTCTTTCATATAAGCACACAGGAAAGGCCATGTGAGGACACAGAGAAGGCAGCTGTCTACAAGCCAAGGACAGGGACTGATGTGGTTTGGCTCTGTCCCCACCCAAATCTTGTCTTGAATTGTGGTTCCCATGGTCCCCACGTGTGGTGGTGGGACCTGGTGGGAGGTAGTTGAATCATGGGGGCAGTTACGCCAATACTGCTGTTCTCATGACAGTGAATGGGTCTCATGAGATCTGATGGTTTTATGGAGGGCAGTTCTCCTGCACATGCTCTCTTGCCTGCCACCATGTAACATGTGACTACTCCTCCTCCTTTGCCTTACACCATGATTGTGAGGCCTCACTAGCCATGTGGAACTGTGAGTCAATTAAACCTCTTTCCTTTATATATTACCCAGTCTTGGATATGTCTTTATTAGTGGTGTGAGAACAGACTCATACAGGGGCCTCACTGGAAACCCTGACGGTACTTTGATTTTGGACCTGCAGCCTCTAAGACTATGAGAAAGTAAGTTTGTTTTTCCTAAGCCACCCAGTCTGTGGTATCTTGCTATGTCAACCTCCACAGGCCAGTATATCAATGTATATATAATTTTGAATTTTTCATTTCAGCTTACTATTCTCATCACTAGTTCTGTGCTATATTTCAATGAATACACTTTGAACCATTCATTTATTATTATTTTTTTAATTCAGGGATAATGCACAATATAGTACTAAACATCAAATGTCGACTTCAATGTAAACTGCAACACTCATTTACAAGAAGAGTTGCAAGTTGTCAACAAAAATTTAGCTGATTCCAACTGAGTACACATGTTACCTTTAGGAAAGTAATGATTCTGAAGATGACAATGAGATTTCTGTAAAAACTATAATTAATGTAGCATTTCATATATTTGAAATGTGTGCAAAAATAATTTTGTTGCTCTTTCCTCTGAAGCAGAAGTGAATTGAAAACCACTTGATGTGGGTCTACATTGCAAAATACACAGCCTCCTTTTCTTTCTAACTTCATGATTTGAGGATGTTGACTTCTGATGGGTCAAGAGTCTGAGGGCATGGTGTATTAGTCCATTCTCATGCTGCTAATAAAGACATACCGAGGCTTGGTAATTTATAAAGGAAAGAGGTTTCATTGAATTACGATTCAGCGTGGCTGGGGAGGCCTCAGGAAACTTACAGTCATGGCAGAAGGGGAACCAGTCACATCCTTCTTCACGTGGCAGCAGCAAGGAGTAGTGCCAAACAAAAGGGGGAAAAGCTCCTTATAAACCCATCAGAACTCATAAGAACTCATTCCCTATCATGAGAACAGCATGGAGATAACCGCCCCCATGATTCGATTACCTCCCACCAGGTCCCTCCCACAGCACATTGGGATTATGGAAACTACAGTTCAAGATGAGATTTGGGTGGGGACACAGCCAAACCATATCAGTTGATGAGGGAGCTTGCCTTTAACTGGTACTGAGTCTGCTAAGTTGCATTTACAAGCAGACAGACAAGTTTTAAGCTTCAGGTCTGAAGACACTGGAGTATATAAGACATGCTGGTGACCTCTGTGTGCCTTATGGAGTCATGTCTGCCACTTCTTCACTGTGCATTGTGCCCTGGGGGGTTGACCTCTGTTGACTGCATCAAGAGGTGCCTTTGCCCTCTGGCCTTGATTGGGTTCAGGTGATAGGAAGTACCTGCGGGAGAGCAGAGAAGGGTAGGCTCAACAGTGCTCACGCCCTCAGTGGCGCCCATGTCCTAATCCCTGGAACCTACAAATAATGACCTTATAGGCACACAAGATTTTGCAAAAGTGATCAGGCTAAGGGGCTTGAGATGGGATGATTGTCTTGGTTGGTCCAGATTGACCCAATGTCATCACCAGTGGCCTTATCAGACAGAGGCAGGAGGATCAAAGCCAGAGAAGGAGATGTGATTGAGGCAGAGATTGGGGTGATGCAGCCATGAGTCCAGAGGACCTGGCCACGTCTAGAAGCTGGAAGCAGCAAGATGCAGATTCTTCTCTGAGGTCTTCAGGAGGAACTAGCTCCAGTGACATCCTAATTTTAGCTCCATAAGACTCATTTTGGGCTTCTGACCTTCAGAACTTTAAGAGAGTTTGAAAAATACATCACAGACCACTGGAACATGTTTTAAGTGGCAAAACTATATTGTTCTCTTTTCTTTTTAGCTTTTCACCTTGGGAAGGAAGTTGCTTCATTTTTTATTTGAAATAGAATTGTTTCTGTTGTTTTCCTAGACCTGGAGAGTGAAGGAAGCCATCCTTGAGGAGTGAAGACAAACTTTGGATGTAATTCCTGTTGATTTCAAGTAGCTTCTCTCTATATAAGACAGTAATATAATGGAAACATTTGTCCTTCTGCCACTAACACAGACATTTGTGTTTTTTTAAGCCGTTAATTATTTTGGTAAATTCTTACAGGAGCAATAAGGAGGTAATTAGAAGGGGAGCAACAGTGAGATGAGGGAGCTTGTGTTCCCTCCTCCCACACTCCCTGGGGGTGGCATCTGATATGGTTCCGGTCTGTGTCCTTGCCCAAACCTCATGCGGAACTGTAACCTTCAGTGTTGGAGGTGGAGCCTGGTGGGAGGTGATTGGATCACGGGGGTGTATTTCTACTGAATGGTGCTGTCCTTGAGATAGTGAGTTCTTGCGAGATCTGGTCGTTTGAAATTATGGGGCACCTCCCTCCTGTCTCTCTTGTTCTGCCTTTGTCATGTGAGGTGCCTGTTCCCTCTTCACCTTCTGTCATGATTGTAACTTTCCTGAGTCGTCCCCAGAAGCCAAGCAGATGTCAGCACTATACTTCTTGTACAGCCTGCAAAACTGTGAGCAAGTTAAACGTGTTTTTTAAAATAAATGACCTGGTCTCAGATATTTTTTTATAGCAATGTGAGAATGCCCTACTACAGCATCAGTGAGCTGCACACGTCTGTGTGCTTCCCTCTCACTTCCCTTGAGGCCCAGGGATGGGAAAGAAAAACTCTCCAGCTGCCCCACCCTTGCAAACAGAATTTCTTCTACACTTCTCTCATTTTATAGGAGTTCGAATTTGCCATTGTTTCCTGCTGAGCTGCTATGAGGAGTAGCAGCAAGGAAGCGAGGATGGGACTCTGTGGGAGATGAGCTTGCATGGTAGCCTCCTGTCTCTGGCCAGAGTCTGCCTTTTTAATTGAATCCCTTCTGGGCCCTAATGAGAACGAAATACATCCCCCCAACTGATGACCTGAGTCCTCAAGCCCCAGTGCTGTGGTTGCTATTTCAAAGGATCAAATTTGATTCATGCGGAGAACATTTCTCATTGGTTTCCAAGGGTTAACCATGGAGTGAAGAAGATGGGATTAAACCACTGCCATGAGAAATTAAAGATGTGTTATAAAATGTATCAGAAAACTTAAGAAAATGAACTCTTCTCTTGTTTTTAAAAACAATGCTTAAAGAACTCTTACGAGTATCCTATTAGTTTTTTTTGTTTAAAAACAATTCTTTTTTTTTTTTTTTTGGGACAGAGTGTCACTCTGTCATCCAGGCTGGAGGGCAGTGGTGCAATTTCAGCTCACTGCACCATCTACCTCCCAGGCTCAAGCAATTCTCGTGCTTTAGCCTCCTGAGTAGCTGGGATTACAGGCACAAGCCATCACGCCTGGCTAATTTTTGTATTTCTACTGGAGATGGGGTTTCAACGTGTTGGCCAGGCTTGTCTCGAACTAATGACCTCAAATGATACACCCGCCTTGGCCTCTCAAAGTGCTGGGATTACAGGCATGAGCCACTGTGCGTGGCCCAAAAACATTTCTTAAAGAACTCTTATTTTGAGAATCCTCTTAATTTTTTGAACTTTTGGAAATAGGACAAAAAACTCTTTGGAGAAGGGGAATAGGTCTCTGTGGAAGGAGAAGAAAGTTTGAACAAACCATCCAATGGGAAGCAACGAGGCGACAATTTCTCTTTTCTTATCCCACTGCTATTTTGTGGCTATGTACTGTCCGGGTAGTGTCAATAATGTAATCCTCTGCTGTGATTTAATGGCAATGTAAGGTTTCACGCTTAATTTTCTGGTAATGTTTGAAAAATACATCACTGACCATTAGAATGTGTTTTAAGTGACAAAACTCTCATTCTCTTTTCTTTTTAGCTTTTCACCTTGGGAAGGAGGTCTCTTTACTTTTTATTTGAAAAGGAATTGTTTTTATTGTTTTCCTAAAGCTGGAGAGTGAAGGAAGCCATCCTTGAGGAGTCAAGATAAACTTCGGATGTAAGGTCTGTTGATTTAAAGTAGCTTCTCTCTCTCTGAGACAGTAATATAAATGAAGCATTTGTCTTTCTGCCACTAATGCAGTTCTGCCGTTTGTAGTGGCCTGGGCTCCCTCTGGGTGGAATGTTTCACCAGGCATTGTGAGAAGAGGAGAGCGGGATTCTGACCCAGGCGCTGCTGCTGGAGGCTCTGTGACACCCGCACATCATCACTTAACATGCAAGGGCTGTCCATGGTCACTGTCTCTTTACAGTGTATGATGTAATTGGTATTTCATGACTATAATATAAAAAAATGCTCAAGTGTCTGTGTGGATGATTGAATAGAAGAGAAACCTACTCTGTGCTCATAACGCAGGGTTTCGTTTGTCCTATCTTCCCTTCCAGCTGAACGGTCACTGGGTCACAGAATTCCACCGGGAACGGGAAGAGCCTCTGGAGCAGCGCCCACAGTCCTGCCTTCTGTGCTTGGGGTGAGTTGGGTGAGTGGAGCCAACCTAGACCTCGGGATGGGCAGAGTAGGATCCGCAGGCTGGCTCTGCCCTGCCCAGTGGTCAGGGACAGGTGCTCCGGGTGGGGGCTGTGCAGGCTGGGTCCCTTTACTGCTTAGGCTCCTGTCACCTTGCTCTCAGCCACTGCTGCAGGTGAGCATTGGGCGGGCGGATTTCTCACAGGAGATAGACAACTTCAAAGGCATGGTTGCTGTCTATCCTGTCACCCCCATGCACTCACAGGATGAGATTTTTTTAACCATTGGGCAAAATAAAATTTAACTGTCAAAAATAAAGGTCTGATGCTGCCTATGAACGGTTTTATATTTCATCCTTAATGCTTCTGTCTCTTTTTTTTTTTTTTTTTTTTTTTGAGACATTGTCTTGCTCTGTTGCCCAGGCTGGAATGTAGTGGCACAATCATAGCTCACTGCAGCCTCAAACTCATGGGCTCAAGTTAGCTCTGATGTTAGCCTCCCAAGTAGCTGGGACTACAAGTGTGCACCACCATGAACATTTTTATTTTTATTTTTTAAGGGATGAAGTCTCACTATGTTACCCAGGCTGGTCTTGAACACCTGGGTATAAGAGACCCTCCCACTTCAGCCTCCCAAAATGTTGGGATTACAGGCATGAGCCATCATCCCCAGACCTATATATATAAAAACTTCAGGACTATTATTTATCTCCTAAAATCAGTGTAGAGTAATTTTTAAACCCACTCGCCTGTATTCTGCATATCAGCTTTAGTTGCTTTCTCTTGCTGAGCCTTCTGCATTATCCAGGATTGTTTTATTCTCTCAATAAACACAGCCATTTCCTTGAACAGGGGAGGTAATACCTGCATAAGTGTACGTACAGTATGTAGCAAACCATGTGGGTAATTCCTAAACTATTTTGCTTTGCAATAATGAAGGGTTTGAAAACCCTAGGTGAGTATTGGCCCTCTGGTGCCTCTCTCCCTCAGCTCTCTCTTCTCCATTTTCTTTGCTGCTTCATGCTTTCCTCCATCTTTGCTATGTGTCCCCTTCTTTCCTAATTATTTTGCCTTGAAATGCTGCTTTTAAAATACGGTTGCTGGCTTCTCCAGCTTTCCATATTAAATTTATGCTAAGTCCTGTATCTTGGTGGCAGCGCATCAGTCTTTCCTCGGCAAAGTCCTTGCTGACATATCCTTTTTGTCCTCTACTCCACCGTCTGCTCTGCAAGAGGCGTCTGGCTGCAATGCCTCATGCCAAGCTGCTTTGAAATCATATCTGAAAACTTACCATTTTGCTGAAAATGTATTTCTCTGGTGGAGTCTCCAGTGACAGATGGTCTGTTTCAATATTTTTCTGCCCATAAAAAATCCCAATAGTCATGGAAAAGAAATGTCTACCTTTGTAAGGAGCATTTTGGGTGGGCTTTCTAGGGTTGGTTTCTTTGCTTGTTATTTCCTGCTAGAAGTATGTTAGATGGAGGCTGTGTCCTATTATAGAGCCGTGTTTTGCATAAAGTCTCATCAACTGTCAGCATCATGACTTAAAATGTGATAATGAGATAGAGACATTTAAGTTCCAGATTGCTCAGACAGTGTGGAGTCGATCATGCCTGCATAGCTGTCCAATTCAAGCATGCATGCAGACACGTGTGTGTCTCTTTCAGCGTTCTGAGTTGGATGACAATTTTACTTTGGATGGATTTTGTGATTTGCATAGAATTATATACATCTTATTTAAAGTCTTTTGCCCAAGTTGCACTGAGACTCTCAGAAGGGTGATTTTCAATAGGGAATCCTGGTACTTATGGTTGTAACATTTCAGAAGAGCTAACACTTGACACACTTCCGCATTTTCAGCAGCATTGTGAAAACTACAAATTCATTTACACGACTTGTTGAAAAACTGCAGAAGTTCTTTAAATTTTGTTTCTTTTTTTGAGACGGAGTCTCGCTCTGTTGCCCAGGCTGGAGTGCAGTGGCACGATCTCAGCTCACTGCAAGCTCTGCCTCCCGGGTTCACTCCATTCTCCTGCCTCAGCCTCCCGAGTAGCTGGGACTACAGATGCCTGCCACCACACCTGGAGAATTTTTTGTATTTTTAGCAGAGACGGGGTTTCACTGTGTTAGCCAGGATGGTCTCGATCTCCTGACCTCGTGATCTGCCCGCCCCAGCCTCCCAAAGTGCTGGGATTACAGGTGTGAGCCACTGCGCCCAGCCTAAATTTTGTTTCTAAAAGAAGTGAGAGCTAAAGGTAATAAAATGACATATGAGAAAAAGAAAATAAATATGAGAAGATTAAACCCTCAATAATCCCATCTTGGCTGAAAGTGGGCCAAAGGCAGGTTGCAAAAAGCAGCAACAATAGGTGTATCCTCAGATTTGTTGCTGCTTTTTCTTCTACCTGGAAAAGCTTTCCATCATCATTTAGTAACATATAAAATCTGAGTGTTTCAGACTAGAGAGCCAATGTAAATACTTAGAGCGTATGTAGGCTTTCTTGATGGTCTTTATGAGGACTAATAACAAATTGTGTACCTGTTCTCTTTCTTTATAGAGTTTTCAAAGTGAGTTCTGGGAAATGTTAGGCCATGTATAAAAGAAGAGGTGGTCTTAAGAAAGGCCATGGTACCCGTGGCTGGAGGTCCTGGACACAGCCTCTCCCTCATCTCATCCATGGAGAAAGTTCCCTATATTAGTTTGTTCTCACATTGCTATAAAGAACTACCCAAGCCTGGGTAATTTATAAAGAAAAGAGGTGTAATTGACTCACAGCTGTGCAGGCTGTACAGGAAGCCTGGCTGGGGAGGCCTGAGGAAATTTTCAATCATGGCAGAAGGTGAAGTGGAAACAAGCACATCTTCCATGGCTGGAGAAGGAGGGAGAGAGCGAAGGGTAAGGCACCACATGCTTTTGAACGGCCAAGTCTTGTGAGAACTCACTCACGATCATGAGAACAGCCAGGAGGAATTCTACCCCCATGATCAAATCACTTACCACCAGGTCCCTCCCCCAACACTGGGGATTAAAATTTGACATGAGATTTGGTCAAGGACACAAATCCAAACTCTGTCATTCACCAACATGTTATGGCACCTACCGCTCCTTGCCTCAATGCTCGTTTTCAGCTAGCTTCAGTTGCCAGTTTCTGGTGCTTCTTAAATGGGTTTCTTAAATGGTTTTCGGAGGTTATGTAAAAATGTGTCACCGAAATTTGTGTGTATGCGTGTGTGTGTGTCTGCACACATGCACATGATCTCCTGGGGGAGAGATTCAAACATTTTCATCATGTTTTCAAAAGATGCTGGGATCCACGGAAGGTTAATAATTACTTCTTCTTGTGTCCTTGTTCAGCATGGGTTCTTTCAGTGAAATTAGGTGAATACATCATATAGCCTGACAATGTGAATATAGATTGTGCTATAATTTAAGTGTTTCTTCCAAGAAGCAAGTGTTGAAAGCTTAATCGTTAAGACAACAGTGTTGGGAGGTGGGGCCTGATGAGGTTGATGCCATCATGATGGGAGTGAGTGAGTTACTGTGAGAGCAGGCTCCTGATAACAGGATGAGTATGGCCCCCTTCCACTGCTCTCTCACACACACACTCTTGCCCTTCTGCCTTTCATCATGTTATGATGTGGGAAGAAGGCCCTCGCCAGATGCCAGCCTCTTGATCTTGGATTTCCCAGCCTCCAGAACTGTAAGCCAATAAATTTCTGTTCATTATAAATTACCCAGTCTCTGCTGTTCTGTTATAGCAGCACAAAACAGACTAAGACAGATTGCAAACTCAAAAGGCTTTGGAAGCAAGGCGGGTAAAATGAAGGACCGCAGCAGGTGATCTACAAGGCAGTAGGGAGTGTTGGAGCCTGTGGGCAACTTGGAGAGTGGTGGCTTATTTAAGGACACCTAATTCAGTCAAAAAGTTTACATTCAGTTCAACTGCTGGCTGAATATGGTTCACAGGGACTGCACTGCCATTTATGACAACCTTTGCTTGTTGAGAACAAGAGAGAGAGATAGCCTCCTCCTTGTCTTTATTTTCTGTTTATCTGCTAGAAATGCAGAACAATAGTAGGTAGATGGGATAGGAGCTGGTCATCACGGGTCCCAATCAAACAATATCCTGACATGATTTACAAGGATTAAGTCCTTTCAAAGTGTTCAGTTGAACCTAGAACAAAGTAGAGAATTTCTGACATGACCTGCTAGTTGTGCCCAGCACGGCATGGCCTCTACCTGCCTCTCCCACTGTCTCTGGGCCTCTTGCTACTCTCCTCTCCTCTCACTAAGCTCCAGACTTCTTTCTTCTCTCTACATGCATCCGGCTCTTTTCCACATCACAGTCTTTATTTCTGCTCTTTTCTCTACCTGGAAAACCTTCATATTTACTTTCATAGCTAACTCCTACTCAGTTCTTTAGGTTCTAGTTCATATTTTTTGCTTAAGGTATTAGTATCCTTACTGTTCATAGACCGCAAACTTCTTGAGAGCAAGGATCATGCAAACCATTTTTGCTGCTGCGCTTTCTAACACAGCGCCTGACACCCAGTAGGCACTTAATACACATTCCTCGAATGAGTGCACGGCAATATCAATGATTAGAGATGAATAGATGTCTGGGAAAAGCTGATCTCTTGGGTGAGGCTTCAAGGATGGCAGAGCCTTGGTGTGGTCACCATATCCCATGGAATGACTCTCAACTTTGTAGGTTTCTGAACCTGAGTTGTATGTCTGTCAGGACTCAGTGATTGATTGACCCCCCTAAACTTATGGGAGACTGTGGTTTAAACTAGAATGCTGATTTTAGAATTCATTATAAGACTGGGCCCAGTGGCTCAGTCAGCATTTTCGGAGGCTGAGGTGGGCAGATCACCTGCAGTCAGGAGTTCAAGACCAGCCTGGCCAACCTGGTGAAACCGAGTCTCCACTAAAATACAAAAATTATCCAGGCATGGTGGTATACACCTGTAATCCCAGCTACTCAAGAGGCTGAGGCAGGAGAATCACTTGAACCTGGAAGGTGCAGGTTGCCTGTGTGACAGAGTGAGACTCCATCTCAAAATAAATAAATAAATAAATAAATAAATAAATAAATAAATAAATTCATTATAAAACTAAAACTTCTCTTATATCTGAATGCTTAGGTCAGCCCACCGACGTATTTTCTCATTAGACATTGATAAACATGGAAGAAAAATAGATAGTGGAAGAATTAGAAGAGAATATGGAAGCAGAATGTGATCTAGAGCCCTGTTTGGCCACCACAGCAGGTATGGGATATGAACAGCTGAGTTAATTGAGCAGGTTAATGGGGATGGCCTTGCCTTCAGTGGTATTGGAAGGAACCTGACAAATTATTGATCCATTTCTAGACTCTAGGCTATTGCCTAATAATTTGTGTTGTGTTTCCTCTGAAAAAATAAAAGAGGATACCAAGATTCAATAGATACCAAGCACTCATTTACATTGCCAAGCCTTTATTGAATAGCTAGATCTCCTCTTTCTGCTTTTGACCTCAGAGACATAGTTACTTGTAAAATGATTTCTGCAGATGGCTAATCTAATCTAAAGTAAATTAATTTCAATAAACCTTCAGAAGGTGAACTTACCTTGTCTTTGACTTCGATCCTCTGTGCTAACTTATTAATAATTACTAAATGATTGTTGATGGAATCCATACTGTTTGAAACCAGTTCGTCTTAGTTCTTTCAAGCTGCTACAACAAAAGGCCTGAGACTGTGTAGTTTAGACACAATAAAAATATGCCTCACAGTTTTTTTTTTTTGAGATGGAGTCTCGCTCTGTCGCCCGGCTGGAGTGCAGTGGCCTGATTTCAGCTCACTGCAACCTCTGCTTCCGGGTTCAAGCGATTCCCCTGCCTCAGCCTCTCAAGTGGCTCGGACTACAGGCTTGCACCACCACAACCAACTAATGTTTTGTATTTTAGTAAAGATGGGGTTTCACCATGTTGGCCAGGATGGTCTCGATTTCCTGACCTCGTGATCTGCCTCCCTCAGTCTCCGAAAGTGCTGGGATTATAGGCATGAGCCACCGCTCCTGGCCATGCCTCACAGTTTTAGGAGCTGGAAATCTGATATCAAGATGCCACCTGACTGGGTGTCTAGTGGGAGAATCACCTCCAGGTTGATAGATGGCATCTTCTTGCTGTGTCCTCACATGGTAGGAGGGGCCAAGGTGCTCTCTGGGGTCTTTTCCACAAAGGCATTAATAATCCCATTCACGATGGCTGTGCCTTCCTGACTCAATTACCTCCCAAAGGCCCTACCTCTCAATACCATCAATTTGGGGTTTAGGATTTCTACCTGTGAATTTTGGAGGAACTCAAACATGAGATACGGCCCTGTGCCATTAGGATTTACTGCCCATTACATTACCTGGTGAATGATGATGGGGAAAGAGGGGCCACAGTATTATCTAATTTTGGCTTATTTAAGTTGAGATCAGTTTTCCTGGAGGTATAAAAGCACATGCAAACAAAGAACAGCTCATAGTAGAAGACACAGAAATACAGTACATGTTCAAAGAAGCAAACCTATGTTCTTTTAAAATTAATACAGTACTTCAGCATTTCATGCAGCTACTGGAAAAGGAATAAGCCTTTATCTTTTTAGTTCATGTAAAAGCACTTTGGAATGGATTTTTTCAGGATTGGGAAGTAGCATAAAATTAATGTCCCTTAAAGTCACCTTATAGATTTTCTGTCTGAGACCCCATTAAGGCAACCTGAGTATTGCCATGCTTGCATGCTGACCAGAGTAGAAGTATCACTCATATTTAGAGTTTTAAAAAATGCAATTACAGGAGAAATCAACAGGTGTGGCTTTTGTTTTTTCTTTCTAAACCCCGGCTTAAAGCGCAGGCGCACAATTCTCAGAGCAGGGGACCATGACCATCTCACACTTTTTATAGGCACATACGAGGCTCATCAGCAGATGCCAAGTCTCTGCTGCAAAGGCTGTAGCCCTACAAAGGCTGGAGACTGGCACGGCACATATTTTATTGTGCCAGACAATACAAAGCTGGAAGGCTGCTTTATATAATTGCCTTTTGCTGTTGCATAAAAAAGGGTGGATGTTGGACAGGCAAAAACAATAACTATTTTCTATGGTTGTCTTTATACATTTTATGTAATTTTAGATTTGTCATATTATGCCAAGAGAAAAAGTTGACAGATCAATGTCCAGTAGACTTGTTTTTTTTTTTTTTTTTACATACGGCTAAACATAATTCATATGATTAGTAGAATAATGTCTTTGTTCCCCACATGAAATCTATGAATTCCCAATACCTGCAACTTGCTAATATTATGTTATTTGGAAAAAAGCATCTTTGTAGATGTGATTAAGTTAAGGATCATGAGATGGGAAATTATCCAGGTGGGCCCCAAATGCCTTCAGAAGTGTCCTTATAAGAGAGAGAGGCAGAAGGAGATTTCACAGACACATAGCTGATGTGAATATGAAACAGATTTAAAGGTGCTGCTGAACTGGAACGTGGGAATGATGTGGCCACAAGCTGAAGAACGTGGCCGTCACTAAAAGCTGGAAGAAACAAAGCATAGGTTCTCCCCTAGAACCTCCAATGGGTGTGTGGCTCTGCTGAGACCATGATTTTGGCTCAGTAATGCTGATTTAAGACTTTTCGCCTCCAGAACTATGAGAGAATATATTTCTACTGTTTTAAGTTTCTACATTTGCAGTAATTTGTCACAAGAAACAAATATAAGAAGTAGCCAATATATTGACTGCATTAGCATTTTAGCATTGAAATCTTATAAAGGTGTCATACATCATCAAGATGGGAGAATTTAGGTTTCATTTCCTGCTCTGCTACTAGCAACTTGCTTGCTTCCTGCCTCTAATCGACTATTTTTCAGTTAAGGGAGAAACGATTTAGACAAGCTCAAGACCTTGCAATAACTCTTTTAATGGTCAGTTTTATTTTTCCTTTGGCGCAAAAGGGCATTTGTAGCCTTACTCACTGGATGTCCTCCTATGTGCCTTTGTGCTTTCAAATGTTATATTCTTGGCTTTTTCTAGGACCATCGTGGCTCACTAGTTTCACACTCCTTGACTCGATATTCAGCTCCAATTTTCATTCTGTTTAACTGAAAGAACTGCGTGGTTCACAGAGACCTGGACATACAACCGTTAGAATTAAATTAGCACGCAAGAGTGCCCTGATGATCTTCACAAAGACGCAGAACCCAAGTGCTTTGGAATTGTTTTAGCACCCGGTTTGGAGCCAAACAGTCTCACAACTCCCACGATGACCCAGCTTTTTTTACACCTCTTAAAGTTGCAATATGAGTTTTGTCTTCCCAAGGGTAATTTTGGTTTCTTACAAAGGTAAGAAAGAAAAGTATGGAAAATGATTAAAATAAAAAAGGGGGCATACAAGGGGCAAATATCTTCAAAAAAACCTGTGTCTTTGCTTAAAATGATATAGAGAAGACAGTGAAAGAACCAAACTGTCACAGCAAATTCTTTACAAATTAATGCCATGATTCCTCAGTACTGTCAAAATTACAGTTCTGGAGAGGCTATGAAAACAACTTCCATTCTGATGACATGGAATCATTATATTTTTGTGACTATATAGCTGACAATAAAAGGAGCAATGAAAGCAATTCTCAAGAAATGTAGGTAGATTTGCAGAACTCTAGGTGGACAGGTATCATTCATGCATATTGACAATTAGCAATATGGAGATAGTTCTTATGGAACTTACGTGCTACACAAAATACAACTTAAAGTTGGTTATGCGTCAGTTTCCTTTCAACTGAGATCTTCCAAATTCTTGGATTGAAGTTCTTATACATTACATGGATTCAATGTACCCAATCTGATTGCTGGGTTTTTTTTTTTTGGATGCATTTTTTAAGTCTTATGAAATGAGTATATTATTATTTTTAATAATGCTTTTATATTAGCTAATGGATAATTTTAAACCTTCAATAGAGAACATTTGGAATGATTGTCAAAGAGTGATAACATATATACTATAATTTAAATGTTTGCTTCCTCAAACTCAGATTGAAATTTAATTGCCACATTTAATTGCCAGCATAATGGCATTGGGAGGGGGGCCTTTAAGAAGTAATTGGGCCATGAGGGCTCCACCTTCGTGGTTGAGTTTAATGTCTTAATAAAAGGGCTTTAAGGAGTGATCTCTCTCAGCTCTTTTGCTCTTCTGCCATGTGAGGAAGCGTGTTCCTCTCCTCTGGCGGAAGCAGCATTTGAGAGGACATCTGGGAGCAGAGACTGGGCCTTCACCAAGACTGAACATGTTGGCCCTTAATATTGGACTTTCCGGCCTTCAGAACTATGAGCCAATAAATTTCTGTTAATTATAAATTATCCAATCTGTGGTGTTCTGTTATGGCAATACAAACCAACACAATATGCTTTTATTGACAAGTGTAGTGTGTCACTGTGGTGACATGTCTATTGGTAGACATATCTACTGTTCACATTTTATGCTGAAAAGTGATTCATTATCGAAGGAAAAAATACAATTCTCTCACACCCCGGTTTATAACTAAATATGATTGTATTTAATAAAATTAATTCAAATCTAATTTCTGGTAGAATATGCTGATATCTAATTTTGATTTTGATACTATATGAGTTTGATCATTTCAAATTAATGGAAATGGTCAAGCTATTAGGACTTAAGACAATAGCATGTATTATTCTCTTTCTAATACTTCATCATGGATAAGCTACTATACATTTCTAAATATTTATAATTTCCAGTTATTCAATTAATTAGTGCTTAATTATTAACTCATTTTAAGTGGCCTTTGCATGTGGCTCAGTCATTCAAATGAGGCTAATGTCTATCTTGAATTTGGGGTTACTTTATACTCTATTCTCTAGCTAAATTTTGTTTGCTGTATCTTTATTACATTTCATATATCTGCAAAGCAGACAGCAAAACATAACAATGAAAGACATTAAAAACTGATTAAAGGTCATGAAATCAGTACTCAAGTTTCCGCTCGAATCACTTCATGAAGATTATCTAACATGAGAGGACCCCATCTACTAAAAATTCCTTATCCTGAAGTTATACACATATGTATGAGCTCCTCATCAAATGATCTCTAGTCTCAGGTCTCAGACTACTGTTTAGGTTTCCATTTCATATATCAATAGGTGCAATATGCTGCTTGCTGAAATATTATTCCATCTAGCAACGAGAATGCTGCTGGTGATACAGAATTATTTGCTAGTTAATTAGACAATATCATAAGATAAAGTTTTCTCCAACCATGCTTCTCTCTCAAGACTAGTATAAACAAATGCCAAATATTTCAATGGAAATGAACTGGTATGGTGTTTCAAACTACGTATAAAAGTAAAAAATTATAGTGAATTATTTAAAATATAATCAAGATGAAATCTTTCTTCTGGCAATTACAGAGTAAAATAATCTTGGATCCTTAGAATGAATTACTCTTCTCAGAGACAGAGAAATAAGTTCTTCGAAGAGAGCAGGGATGTATCCAAAACATATAGAGTTGTAAGACAGTTTAAAGGTAATACTAAATGAGTGTTGTGGGCCATTGTGAAATAAATATATCATCAGCCATCTCCAAATACAGCTTGGATTGCTTAGTTTTTATGAGACAATTAGAATGGGTTGTTTCAAAGTTTCAAAGTTAACTGAAAGGAATTAACTGAGGGCATGATATATCTTAGGGTTTCATTTTTTGCGGGCCTTTCAATAGACAATATCGTGTGTTAAATTACTTTCATTGCTGTCTCGATTCTGATGGATAGGTGGGCATAGAGTCTCATTAATGTATGTGCCTAACAGATGTTATTCAAGCTGTCTGTGGCATCGGCACAGATGGGCTGGATATGTGGCCTGCCAACAAGACAATAGATGGATTTTATCTCAAAGACTCTATTCTCATTGACTGGAGAAGTGCAACTGGCCAATAAATGCCTGAAAGTGTCCAATGGAGAAGTTTGAAGTTCAGCATTGGGAAGAATTACATGCAACACATCTTGCCTGAGCACATGCTAAGGGTCAGGCTCCCTGTGGGGCACATGGTCAAGCTCTTTATGATTTACAGTCATGTGTGCAAGTAACTGTAATACAACTCAGAACAGAAGGTGCACCAGAAAGATAAGGACAAAATCCATGCGGAAAATTAAGTTCAACCTGAAGGGTGGGTTTACAGAGGAGGGTGAATCCAAATTGAGCCTTGAGCTATAATGGGGCTTATATGAGCAAATCTAGTGACTGTACACTCAGTGAAAGGAATTTGGGGATGAAATCACACAGGCAAGAAAGATAGGACATGTTCTAATTGGTATCTGTATTACCCTGATAGATTAAGAATGAAGTAGAGCATGAAATAGAAAAAGTATATTAGGCCCAGCTTATGGAAGATGTTTAATGCTAGGCTAAGGATATATATATATATATATATATTTTTTTTTTGAGATGGAGTCTTGTTCTGTCACCCAGGCTGGAGTGCAGTGGCGTGATCTCAGCTCATTGCTACCTCCGCCTCCTGGGTTCACGTGATTCTCCTGCCTCAGCCTCCTGAGTAGCTGGGACTACAGGCGCCTGCCACCATGGCAAGCTAATTTTTTTGTATTTTTAATAGAAACAGGGTTTCACTATGTTGGCCAGACTGGTCTCGAACTCCTGACCTTGTCATCGTCCCGCCTTGGCCTCCCAAAGTGCTGGGATTATAGGTGTGAGCCACCATGCCCGGCCGGCTAAGGATTTTTGTTCTATATACAAAGAGGATCCATCAGAATTTTTTGAGGAGAAAAATAACCCAATGAATCTGATGTGGTAGGAAGATACCTGGGTGGTAATGTAGAGGAGGCATTGCAGCAAGACCACTGAAGGCAGAGATACAATATAGGGGACCGCAAAGCTATTGTACTGGGTTAGGTCAGTGGCAATGAAGGCTTGAGTTTGGGAAGTAGTCTTGGGAAAGTTTTAGAAGAAATGGGAGTCATAAATGAAAGCCATTTTACTATGATGAAGGCATCAAAAATGTTAAGAGACACTGGAGATACTGGAATAAAGCAGAAAATGTCCATCTTTTTGCAAATCCACTCTAGTATTCAGAAAAGATTAACTGAGCTTGACATATTTATAGGAAAGGCAAGTATTATGGGGAGAGAGAGTTGTTCATATGAAGACATGTTTAAAATTTCAGGTTTTTAAGATTTGAAAATGCAATGGATGATATTATTTAAATTCTATATCTTCAGTTTTTGCAAAATTATTGAATTTCTGAGTTCTAGAACCATGTGGTCATCATTGAAGCATGTAGAACACAACACTAGAAAAAATGGAAAGGCTTCTTCTTGGAGGGATGGTAAATATATGCAGCCTATATTCTTGGATTGTGAGGCCTTGCAATGCTCTTCCTTCATCTGGAGAGTCCTCTCCTCTTACCTTTCCCCAGGGCTGAAGAACAAGTAGGGTGTCCAGATAAGTAATTTTTCTGTGCACAGTGAGTTAGAAGGCAAAGAAAATTGCTCAAAAAAATTGGTAAGAGTTTGGTATCTTAAAGACATGGTAATTGTGGTAGCCTCTGTGGATGTAGGGAGAAGGAAAGGGGGAGAGAGAGAGAGGAGAGAAAGAGAGATTGTTCAAGGTATTGAGACTTCAGTACTTGAGTCATGAGAATGTTGTCTAAGTATCCTGGGCATAGCAACTAAACTTTTGTATATTTCTTCTTTATAAGGATCTTATACACAAGATCTTGGACTACTGTTGTGTTTCCCTAGAAATCCAAAGTCTGCTAGCACCCAGCTCATATGTCGTCACCCTGGGATGTCTTCCTGTGTATTGCTGTTGTCTTTGTCTTTCTCGGAGCACCGATAGTGTTCTGTGTACAACTCACTCACAAGACTTACATCAGTGAATCATGTGTAGATTGCTAGCAAGTATTCCTGGAGAAGTTACTGAAACTCTATGATTCAGTTCTGTAAAAGAGAAGATTGAAGTAGTACCCAACATGGTGTCGTTAGAGTATTAAATCAGACAATTCATAGAAATGGCTGTGCTCAGTGCCTTCCACTACATAAAGCTTTGATTCAGCGCTACTGTTGTTACCGTCTGTGTATTCCAGGACAAGACTGGGGATGGAATCAGACTCAGGTATTAGCGTATTCCTTTGAATCTCAGAGTTACAAAGTGAGGGTTATATAATGATTAATTGCACAAATCCAGATATTACCATAAACATTTTAGCAGCGACATATCCTGATGCTCAAATTCTCAACTGATTGCTTGGCCAGGGGCAAATGTAGCCATAAACAATCTTAGAGCAATTTTGACAGTCAGAGATATTTTATGTGACCATCTCCATTGACTTTGGAATTGAAAGATTCTACTGAATTGTCATATGAAGGATATTGCGATTATGTGAAATGGAAGAATGATGTGAAATGAAGAAAGAGAAATCATATAAGCTATAGTTGAAGAATACAGTGTATTCTTTTTTAATATACACATTGCAGCAGGTTTATCATTTGAATTTAAAATCAGAGCCGGATGTCCTTGTATGCCTTTTATTCAATTTTTCAGGGAGAAAATACTACTCTCAAATGTATCATGAAATGACATTACATTTACCACCCACCAGCCTGTGTTGACTGAATAGTCCTGAATATTCAGGTGCAAACTCTGAAAGTAAAACAGAAGTGAAGATATAAATACAATAGGCTCATTGTCTGTAGATAAACTGGAGAAATAATAAACTTCTTTTTCTACATAACATATGACATAGAGAATTTCTGATGCAATATTGAAAATGCCAGAAATGTTAAATCGGTAGGCAACATTAAGAACTATAGGAACGGTTTTGTTCTTGTGCTCGGCCACCCAAAAGAAACAAGAATATAGTACTTTCTCCCGTTAATGGTATAATGAATCCAGAACTGTTCTGTGGGATGTTTCTTAAACTTAGGAGGTGATAATCTCTCTTACCCTATACTTATTTCATTACAAATTAGTTGGAAATTTCTTCTTTAAAAAATTTCTCTTGGATTTATTTTCTTCTTTCCATGCTTGCTTTTGCCATTAAAGTTGAGCTCCTTTTCAAGTTTGGATTATTTTTGTGGTCTCTTGAAAAGTCTTCCCACTTGGAATGCATTCTAGATGATTGTATGGTGTTAATATTTTTACAACACTACTTTTATCATGTCACTTTCCTGCTCTAAAATTAATTATTACTGTCTATTTTTCTCACCTCATCCAATAAATAGCTGTTTCTTCACATTTTCAGGCTCAGCATTCTAGTCCCGCTTTGTCTCTCTCACTTATTTTTTCCCAATCATCAATATCATTGTGATTCACTTGGAGCCCCTGTTGCAAGCACTTCTGCTTCTCTGCGCCATGTTCCTTCTCCCCTTTATGCTTTGACCGCTCTGTCAGCTTCATCTCTTTTCTGCCTCCTGCGAGATCCACCTGTCTAGATCGATTACATCCTCAAAGCCTTCTTGCTGCAAACTTGGTCATCATTTACAAACCCAAATCAGCTCCAGTATGCCCTCTTGCACAGCAGTGGCTGTAAATACCCTGCTGCCATGGTGAGCACAAAGAATGCACAGTCTCTGGCAGCTTTCCAGGGTTGTGAGGTCATAGCTAAGTCTTAATATTCTTGTCTCCCACAGGACTCTTGGGACATCAGGGTGGGCTACCTGGTATCTTATCTGCAAGAGAGCCCCAGGGCTTAGAATGATGAGGGATTTGGAGTGATAGTTGGGTCCTGATATGGTTTGGCTCCCTTTCCCCATCCAAATCTCATCTCGAATTTTAATCCCCATCACCCCATGTGTTGAGGGCAAGGCCTGGTGGGAGGTGATTGACTCGTGGGGCTGGTTTTCCCCTGGCTGCTCTTGTGATAGTGAGTTCTCATGAGATTTGATAGTTTTATGAGGGGCTCTTCTCCCTTTGCTCACTGTCTCTCACCTGCGCCATGTATGACATGCCTTTGCTTCTCTCTCACCTTCCTCCATTATTGTAAGTTTCCTGAAGCCTCCCAGTCATGCAGAACTGTGAGTCAATTAAACCTCTTTCCTTTATAAATTACTGTCTCGGCTGTGTCTTTCTAGCAGTGTGAGAACAGACTAACACAGGTCCTGAGATTCATAGGTTAAAAATGGGTTGGTATATAAGCCCTGTCCCCACTCCCACAGTTGCTGGTAAGAGATAGGGAAAAATAATCAGGGAACAGGTTGACCATTTGCAGCAAGTGCATTTGAAGGCCCCTTCCAGGATGCTCTGCAGACTTTTCAAGTTCTTCAGAGAGGTCTTGGCATGAGTGAAAAAAACACACTCCTTTGGGGACTACAGGAGGAGTTGCCATTACCTGGAAAGGAAGCTTGTCTTCATCTTACAAAGGACAGTAGGATAAAGGATGTGGAGTGGAGAAAAAGACCTGAAAAGAGTAAAAGACTGTGGGCAGGGGATGCAGCAACAACACCATCAAGAAAACCCAAACCAGCAGGTACTAAGGAGCATGAGCCCCTGGGACAAACTGGGCGGGAGAAGGTGCAGAATGAGACAGAGACAGGAGGATGAGGGAGACAGAGGAGGATGAGGAAGAGAGAGAGGCAGAGAGAGAGGGAGAGAAAGAGAGAGGAGAGAGGGAAGACAGAGGCAGAAGGTGTCCTAGAAACTACTTACTATGTTGGTGCCCAGGTTAAATGCTATTGAGAATTATTGTAAACCCTCAGATATTGAGGGCTTTGTGTTCTGAGTCAAGAGATGCAATATTAAAGTAATAAAGACTGCAGTCTTATCTATCAGAAACATAAGCACATCTGTGCTTAGGAAGTGACTAACACATTTTCAGTCCCCGATTTATTAGGACATCCCACATGGGTCAGGCCTTCAGGGCCTTTGCAGCCCCGTCTGGGATGTTTGGCCGGGTGGATACCTTTCTTCTGGGGCTGTTTCATGCCCTTCCTGGGTGAGGCTCTGCGTCACAGGTGCTTGAAGAAGTGTAAACACATCTTGTTTCTTCAGCAGTGTCTTAGTTCATTTGTGTTGCTATAAAGGAATACCTGAGACTGGATAATTTATAAAGGGGTTTATTTGGCTCACGGTTCTGCAGGCTGTACAGGAATCATGGTGCTGACATCTGCTTCTGGTGAGAGCCTCAGGAAGCTTCCATTCATGGAGGAAGCTGAAGGGGAGCCAGCATGTCACATGGCGAGAGCAGGAGCGGGAGAGAGAGGGAGCAAGAGAGGGAGGGAGAAGGGGCCAGCCTCTTTTAAATAACCAGATCTCATGTAAACTCATAGAGTGGGAATTCACTCATTACTGCAGCAAGGACAGCACCAAGCCATTCATGAAGCATCTACCCCCATGGCTCAAACACCTCCCACTAGGCCCACCTCCACTGCTGGAGGCCACATTGTAGCACGAGATCTGGAGGGGACAAACCATCCAAATCACATCAAGTAACAGAATAAAAAATGCATCCTGGTGTGTCCTACTAGTAGAAGCTTGGAGTCCTCTTTGGGCCTTTTTTATGTCAAAGATGATAAATTTCTATTTTTATTTTAGAATCTTAAAAATAATCCATAAGCTGTGAAGGCAGGTTCCAAATAGGTCTGAAAGTGGTTTGAGAAATAGAAACATAAGTGTGTCAGTTTACAAATGGCTACTTTGAAAGAAAAGAAGACTGGACTCAGCATCAGAGCATGGCACAAGAATGTACTTGTCTCTCAGCCATGCTGGGCGCTGACCCCTCTGTAAAACCCAGAGCAATAACACATGTGATCCTTGTTACCATGGGCTTTGTGCAAATCAAGATAGAAGGGAATGATTATATGTGGAATTAATTGTCACGTACCCCGTAAATACAGCATGTTAAATATAGTTATACATTTCTTAAAATCGTTACAGTTTCTAGACAAACCTAGCACTCATTCATTCAAATAAGGTGAAGATAGAGCAAATAGGCTTTCATAGAATGCAAATTCAGAAATTGCAGTAAGACTTATGGCTTGGAAAAATTCAAGTTTTTTTAAAATAGAAAAGTGTTGCATTTTACTAGAATGTTAGAGAAGACATTTCTTCATAAAGGTATGAAGAAATAATGGTTGAAGAAGGAATTCTCCCTAGACAATACTAGAGAATATGCATATTATTCTCATCTTGGGAAAACATGATAGTGGGATTAATGGTTTCTGCCAAACAAATAATTATGTGTTCTAGTTATTCAAGGGAATCTCAAAACTGAAAGTTCATAAAGTACTAATACTGTTCCATGTTTGTTTTTTTTTTTTTGAGACGGACTCTCACTCTGTCACCCAGGCTACAGTATAGTGGCACAATCTTGGCTCATTGCAGCCTCTGCCTCCCAGTTTGAGTGATTCTCCTGCCTCAGCCTCTCGCGTAGTGGCAATTACAGGTGCCAACCATGCCTGACTATTTTTCTTTTGTATTTTTAGTAGAGACAGAGTTTCACCATGTTGGCCAGGCTGGTCTCAAACTCCTGACCTCAAGTGATCCATCCACCTTGGCTTCTCAAAGTGCTGGGATTACAAGCTTGAGCCACCACACCTGACTTTTTTTTTTCTTTTTTTTTTTTTTTAACAGATCAACTATTTTCTTTTAATATGAGGCAACCATTTCCTTGTCCTTGTCCTGAAGTCTCCTGAGGCTTCATTTGCTCTCAACTATGTTTGAGATCCTGTGCTTCTCCTGGGCATCCATTTCTTAAGCGTCCAGAGCCTAGGGGTGATGGACTATTCCTGTTATACACTGGAAAAAGTATTTTTTATATTAAAGGAAAAAAAAATGAGGTGGAGTTTTGTCTGAGGTCCATATTAGGTTTCCTATGAGATGAATCATATTATAGTTATTCAACTCTACTGTTCTCAGCTTTTCCTAAAATTCCTTTCCCCTGACATAAACAGAAACACACACCAAGCCAAGACATTTAGGCAACACAAGAAATCACTCCTTTCTGCTAGGAGGCTGCCAGGTGTGTGAGAATTTCACATCTACAATTTACCTCCTATGGGACTTAGGTCTCCCACCTGGACCAGTCTTCCTTCTGGGGTTGGGAATGGTGTCGTTTCTAAGTTTTGAATAGAAGGACTCACTCCCCACACCTTCCTGCCACTTTCTTCATCTGAATTTGAATTTTCTTTCTTCTGTATTAGAAAGTTCTTACTAGTTTTTTTTTTAATTTTAAAAATGGTCCTTGCCTGTGATTTGCATAAATTGGGGTGACAGATGCATTTTATGTAGCAGCATGCCCTCTCTAGAGTGCTTTTTGCCAGGCAGTTTCTAAGGGCCTGGATCCTAGCCAATGTCAGAAGGAGTGTAATGAACTGATAAAAATAGAACCGGATGGCAAAAGAAGATAACTAGCTCACGGAGAGGCCATTTCTCATGCATTTTTTGGGTGGCAGCAGAGTGCTGGTCAAGGACCACTGTTGATTAAAGAGTATAATTGGATTGTTTGCAACTCAATGAGTAAATGCTTGAGGGGACGGATACCCCATTCTTCATGATTTGCTTATTTCACATTTCATGCTTGTCTCAAAACATCTCATCTACCCCAAAAGTATGTACACCTATGATGTACCCACAAAAATTAAAAATTGAAATTTATAAAGGGCCACTGTTGATAATAGGGGTATATTTGGAAACATCTAATGTACTGAATTTTCCCCCATCAAATGAGTGAAAGAAAAGATTGCAGGGGGTGGTGAGGGCACTATGCATTCTAAGTTTAGTGCAATAGTAAGAAAATTAGTGCATTGCATGGGGTGAATATGAATAATGAGTATCAGCGTGCATGCCATTTGGAATAATCATTCTAGAAACAAATCACCCCCAAAATGAAAGTGATTTCACTGAACAGGGTTGATGGCTTTGAGGTCACCATTCTGTTGGTTCCCTTGAACACAGACTGGGCGACTGGTATGTTGCATATGTCCCTCTTGTATGGGATGGGGATTACTTGTTGGCAAAGACACCATAGATTTTCTAAAAAGAGCCTTGGAGATCATCCATTTGACAGTTGTACGAACTGAGTTCTGAAGATTTGTGAAGCGTGAGCTTTATTCTATTGCTGGAATGCAAGCAATTGATGGGGAGTGTTAGGCCGCTTGCTAGTCAAGCTGAGAGGCTGCCTAAGGCTCTGCAATAGCCCTGAATGATAATGCTCGCTGCGGTCCAGGCCATTAAACCTCTTTGCGTTAACTTTGGATCATGTTTACGGCATACCATCAGATGCCCATGTGATGATTTTAATCACAACCATCATTCACTTTTCTCCCAAAATTAGCCAAGTTTTAAGTTAATTGAGAGAAAGCACCTGTCCCAAAGTGGTACCTTTGATTTTTCTGGTTGTTCTAGTCATTTTGGGGCATTCATTTAATTCCATCTCAGTCTCGGATGGTGTGCAATAACTTACCTTGTATTTCCCTGCTCTAAACCAGGAACTATTGAGTGGAGAAAATTCACGGAATGCTTAACAGTCTCTAGGTTAGTTAAAAGTAAAAAGGTTACTTGGGGGTGGTGGGGGCTAGTGTTTTTATTTTTTTATGGAAAAATCTGAGATTAAAACATAAGCCTCAACCCTCAAAAAATGATTTTAATGATGTCAGTACTTGGAAGTGTGGAAACAAGTCTTGGTACTGTACTTTTTTTTCTTCTCTACATAGCTGTAGTATTGTGGGATAAGGAGTGTATTAGAATTCAGAAGACCTGGGTTCACATTCACACCCTTCCCCTATTAGCTATTTGATCAGGATCAACTTACTCCTTTGAGTTTCAATTTTACTGCCTCAGAGGCTTGTTATGAAGATAAAATACAATGGTATGAGATTAATGTCTACTTAGGTGTTTGTTGAATTTATCAATTATTGAGACAGCCCAAGATACCTGCATTTCATAACCTTAATAGTAAAGTTCGTTTTTTAGTGTGCTAACAAATGAAGAATCTAGTTTCTCAGCAAGTGTCTCTTCTCAGTAGATTGTCATCTTTTCATTTGTATAAACAATACATCTTTCTAAGACAAAAAATATTCCCTTCCTTTCTTCCCTTTCTTTCTCCCTTCTTTTCTCTTTCTCTCTCTTCCTTTAAGTCCCGTCTCCTTTCTTCCCTCCTTCTTTCTATTTCATTTTTTTTTTTTTGTGGGGATGATGTGTAAAATATTTTGTGTCCTCATGAGAAGATATTAATTCAAAGAGTATGGGATAAGTATAGGATAAATCATTCTTACAGCTTAGTTATCATATTGACTTGTATCATTTTAACTATTTTTTCATTTAAAGACTTTTAAATACATAGAAAATAACACAACAGAGTCTAAGTTAGATGTAACGAATGTATTTTTTTGGTATATTTGCTTTAAATGCCTTTTTTGAAAGAAGCAAACTATTACAGAGACAGCCACGTTTACAGATCCACATTGCATCCTTGTCTTTCCTTTACCTGTTTGCCATCTCTACGAAAGTGAAAAAGTGCCAAATGGAGCATTCCCTATTTTGAAAATGTAGAAATATTTATTCTTATTGCATTTCCATTCTGTTGTTAAAACATATGCATCCAATTTATTAGTTTTTACTATTCTATAGCATACAATTTTATTGCCATGCCAGAATTTACTTACCTTTCCTTTATCGATGAACTCTTCAAAGTTATTTCCCAGTTTCTGCAACTATAAATGTTTCTATAGAAAATTTTCTTGCATATATATGTGTGATAACTTTGTCAGGCTATATGCCTAGGAGTAGAATGCTGGGTTATAATGGATTTACGTGCAAAACCACAGTGAATATTCCCTACTGCTTTCAAAGTGGCTGCACCAATTCACAGCCCTGCTGGCAGTGTATATGTGTTACTATAATCCCTTATCCTTGCCAACATTTGATATTGTTAAGCTTTGAAACATTTA
Source organism: Homo sapiens (assembly GCF_000001405.40). Classification (NCBI taxonomy): domain Eukaryota; kingdom Metazoa; phylum Chordata; class Mammalia; order Primates; family Hominidae; genus Homo; species Homo sapiens. The sequence continues at coordinate 6,015,447 of NC_000008.11, read as the reverse complement.
TCCAATTTTCATTGTCATTTAATTTGCGTTTCTGGAATTGCTAGTAAATTTGACCATGCTTTCATATTTATGTTGGCTATTCAGATTTTATCTTTTGTAAATTGCTCATTTGCATCTTTTGCTTATTTCTTCTATTGCATTCTTTGTTTAAAATATTTACAGGAATTTTTATTTTCTCTATACTAATCTTTTGTGAGCTATACGCATTGTAAATAACTTCTCCCTATCTGTTCCCATTGATGTAATCTGATTATGATGCTTATAATGGCTTTTATAATACAAATTTCTTTTTAATTGTAAGGTTGCTAACATTTTCCTTTATGATTTGCTGTTTTGCTTTCGTGTCCTGTTCAAGCATTCCATTCTTACCCTGAAGTCATAAATATCGTTTCCTATATTTCATTATAGAGGTGTCCAAAGGTTTTCACCTCTAAAATCTTTAATGACATAGAAGTTATGTTACATATGGTATTAAATAAATCTGTACCAGAAAAGTTGATGCTAGCTCCTTTAACAAATAAACTCACAAGTATAGGTCATCTAATCTGATAAAAATTTATCAAGTAGGTCCACAATGGACATTTTTGATTGGCAGTTGCCTTTACTGTAAGCCTTGACTCAGGGACCCCAGTTCCTTCCGCACTGTAGATCCACCATTTCTGCACATGGCTTCACGGTTGCCAAAAGAGTGCATAAGGCTTGGCGATTGTGCAGTGAGTCCTTAGTGGGTCAGGCCTGGAAGTGGGTGCATTAATTCTGCTCACCTTCCATCAGCCAGATCTCAGACACGTGGCTACATCCAAAAGCATGGGAGGCTGGGGAAGGTGGTTTTAGCTGTGTGCCCACGAAGACAAGAAAAGAGGGTTAGTGAACAGGGAATCTGTCCCTGCCCCAGGTCTAATTAATTATCATTATTATTATTATTTTGAGACAGGGTCTTACTGTGTCTCCCAGTCTGCAGTGCAGTGGTGCAATCTCAGCTCGCTATAGCCTCAACCTCCTGGGCTCAAGTGATCCTCCCACCTCAGCCTCCTGAGACGCTGGGATACAGGCACGTGCCACCATGCTTGGCTAATTTTCGTATTTTTGGTAGAGATGGGGTTTCTCCATGTTGCCCAGGCTGGTCTTGAACTATTGAGCTCAAATGATCAGTCTACCTTGGCCTGCCAAAGTGCTGGGATTACAGGTGTGAACCACCATGCCCAGCTTATATTTATTTTTATCCATAAAGATAGCACATATTGTACAACTTAAAAAAAATTGATATTATTCCAGGTTCCCATACATAAGCTAGTTTAATTGTTGACTCTGTTTCGTTCCATTTTTCTATTTGTCTGTCTCTAAACCTCACTGTTTTTGTTAATATAACCTTACAATAAGTTTTGGTATCTGGAAGAGTAATTATCAGTTCACTTTTATTCAAAGTATATACTTTATATACCTAGATAATTAGAAAAATATAAAATCCAAAGTAGTGATAATATACTTGCTTTTTTTCTTGGGGGTGGGGAGGCTTTTGTGTGATCTGTGCACATTCTTTGCGCAATCTGTTTTTATGTATCTGTGCCCCAGACAAGAAGTGTTTTACCTCCAAAATGGACTCCATTTCATGGCTAAGAACCACAGTACTATTTGTTCAATTTCATAAGGTGTCAAAGTTGCCCCTGGTAGTGCTTTGTTATCATCTTTCAGTGTAGACAGAACATCTGAAAACCCTGGGAAAACAAGATTTTCAGGAAGTTGGGTTTCTGCTTCTTAGTCCACTTCCTAATAAGTGGAATGCAACCAAGGGAAAAGCAAATTATTATGCCATGTCTTTAAATAGCTATGATTATGAATGCAGTCATTGGTATCCATAGGTTTAAATCATTTATTTTATTTAATTAATTAATTTATTTTTTGAGATGCAGTTTCCCTCTTGTTGTCCAGGCTGGAGTGCAATGGCGCGATCTCGGCTCACTGCAACTTTCTCCTCCTGGGTTCAAGGGATTCTCCTGCGTCAGCCTCCTGGGTAGCTGGGATTATAGGTGCAGGCCACCAAACCCCACTAATTTTTGTATTTTTAGTAGAGATGGGGGTTTCACCATGTTGGCCAGGCTGGTCTTGAACCCCTGACCTTGGGTGATCCACCCGCCTTGGCCTCCCAAAGTGCTGGGATTACAGGCGTGAGCCATTGCCTATAATCATTTAAATACAAAAAGGCTTCCTAATTTGTTTTTTTTTCAATGTAAAAATATATAAGAAAAACCACTTTACCTAAGAATAGCTTTTTGGTTACAAATGGTCTACGGTATATTAAACATGGAAAACCCAAATATTCTAAGCAGAGAACGAGAATGGAATTCAGTATTTTCAAAGGAAACAATGCAAATATGGGCTGATGTAAACAGTTAAGAAAGGCTACACCAGTCACATATTTTATTTTTTAATTTTCTCTCTCCTTCTTTTTCTACCAGAAGTGTAACTAGCTAAAGCAGGAGTAAAACAGGCTAAAGCCTCCCTCATCGTGTTTGTGTTCCTCTCTCTCCATTACTACCCTCTGAGATTCTCACATTCCTGAGCATCCAGGCTGGTTTCCTGCCCGATTACAATGTCCCTGTGGTCTTTCACCTGCCCACGGACCCTGCCTTTAGGACTTCTGTTAGCTCACTTGATAAACTAAGCCACACAAATGACCTGGGGATGATAACTAGCTAAGGTCCTAGGCAGCACCCCTGCACTGACGAACCCAGAGCTGCTGCGGTGGAGATGTCACACACTGAGGCAATCAGCAGGACAGCCGTTTCCAGCTACCACGGCAGCTACTGAGCAGTTGCTAAGGTTGGTGCCACCTATGTGAATATTTCACCTCACTTTTAAAATAAACAAACACTGTCAGATATTAGGGATACAACCTCTAGTTGCTCACATGCTAGGTGATACAAATGACCATTTTTAATGCTTCAAGTATTCATCAAGCAGCTACCATAAGACAAGAGTTTGCTAAGTGGTGGGGTTTCAATGATAAATGTTCAGGTTTGAAAAAAAATTGACATGGTTCTTGCTCTGATGGAGCTTAGGATTTAGTGAGGGAGAGAAACATTGATACAGACACATGCGCACCCTCTCTCATGGATCAGAGTTTGAAGGAAAAGAACAAGGTACCACAGATGAGGTCCTGGGAGGCTGGAGGAGACTTTCTTAGGAAAGGATTGTGTGTGGAGGGGAAGACAGTCTTGGGCTGAGGGCGTGGGTTATGCGAGGCTGTGGGGAGGGGTGGAGGCGTGTGGAACATTGAAGCTACCGGAAGAGCACATCTTTCTTCCAGGGAAGAGCACATCTTTCTTCCAGGGAAGAGACTGAGAAGAGACCAGTCCCAGTGAGGTGGGAGATGTGAGTAGAGCCACGTGATGCAGGGCTTGAAAGAATGTTGGAAACCTGATATTTCTTCTTTCAGTGCAGCCGAAATGAGAACAGACTAGAGGTCACAGTAGCAGATTTGGGTAAATCAGTGCAGCATGATGGGATCGGACAGCAGCTCAGCCTGAGGACGTGGAGATGAGGACATGGAAGAGCAGATGGGTGGCCGTGGATGAGCTAGTTGGGTGTCACAAAATGAGACTGAATTGGACATGGGAAGTGAAACGGGGGAATATCAGCAATGACTCACAGAAGAAAGGTACTATCCAGCAATGGAGCAGAGTTAAAATGAAGCTAAATCAGTCAAAGCTTTAAAAGAGAAAGCTGCTTACTGCAGAGCTACCCAATGAAAGAATAATGACCTTCTTGTCGAAGTCATAAAATAAAAAACAATTCACTTTTTAATTAAGACTTTGGGTAAGCAGGAAATGGTTGCATAGAGTGTAGGGAAATAGCAGGCAACCTCCAACCATTTCTGATACTTTCAACAACAACAAAGTTCTATTCTCTGCTGCCATTTCTATTTTGGGATCTAATTAATTATAAACATAGGTGCAAGACTGAACTTACATATAGGCAGCTTAAGAAATAAAATATGACAGGCAGAGTAGGACATTGCAATTATAATCCACCTCTCAAAGCACTATGAGGATAAAAGTCAGGTGATTTCTTTCCTAGGAGAATTTGAAAACTATCCTGAAGCAAGTCATTTAGAACTTTCCATTTTAAATAATCCTAACATAAAGCTACAATTCAGAGCATTCATGTACGTAATTTAAAACATGTAAAACAATATTTCCTGATGATATAGGTACATATAGAATCTGTAAATTAATACATGTAAACATTCATAGATGTCAAACTGAGGTTTGGGGTACCTCTGGGAAGCTAGGGAATGCAATGGGTAGGTACATGGGGGTGATTGGCTTCATCTACAATTTTTAAACTATAAACAGTAAAAATATCAGAAACATATGGATCAAAGTATCAACAGCTAATGGATTAAAATGTTAACAACTAAGGAATCCAGGGTTCTAAGAATCTAGGATAGAGCCCGTTGTATTATTTTCAATATTTTCTGCATATTTGCAGTATATTATGGTTATAAGTTTAAAAATGAAAGGGGGAATATTTCTATTCATTATAGTAAGGGTATGGAAACTATCTCATGGCTTGGAAAGACAATAAATTGTCTTAAATTGTATTTTCTAATATGTTGTTTTCATCGTCTCTAATCCTGTTTTTATCTTTGTTTCTATATTTCTATTTGAAAAAAAAGACACGAAGGCAAAATAAATAATTTTTTGAAGTATTTGCTGCTTTAAAGTAAATGGTAAATTATGATAAAATTATTTTATGGAGATGACAACTAAAAATAAAGAGTCACATAACTTTTATTTATAGGTTATTTTATTTTTCTATACCTTAATGAGAATAGAAGTATGTGGTAAGAAAAGGGCTAGATTTTTAAGCCAGAATACTAGTTTTAATTTATCCTCTTATGCAAAATAGGACATTCATTTGGTAAAATCAAATAACTTTATTGGCCTTATTCTCATAGTTATAAGAAAAAGAAAGGATTGGAAGTGAATATTCTTTAGGTTATGATCTGGCTTTTACTTTGTAGGATTATTTTTACTAATTTTGTTTATGAAGATACTACTTTATCTCTTCCTAACACTGCGACCACTGCAACAATGACTTAGGACATTTTCGTTTAGTGAGGTGAAAAAAATAATTTTCATGGTGTGTGACACATATGTGAAAAGGTACACACACTCTTAATGTGCACTTTTGTGAGATTTACAAAGTGGACACAGCTGTGTAAACTGTGTTGAAGTCAAGAGTTGAAACGCTACCAGTCCCTGAGGAAGCCAGGCTCTGTGGTCATGCCGATGACACTCAGGATTTCTGTTTTCCTGACTTCCAACATCATGGGTTCACCCTGCCCATATTAGAACCTTATAAAAAAAATCTAGTAGCTCAGTAAATGTCTGACTTGTCTCGCTCATCAATATTTTGGGAGAATCATTCATACATTTTCATAGTTGTTATTTACCCATATTTATTGCAATGTAACAGGGATTGGCAAACTTTTTCTGTAAAGCACAAAGTTGAAAATATACCAAAATGTATTTGTCTATTTTATTGTTGATGAACATTGGATTATTTCCAGTTTTGAATTATAACATATAGTACTGATATGATTACTCTCATATACTTGTTTTAGAGCACATATGTATCTATTTCTATATACTGAGGAATATAATTGCTGGGTCACAGGACACATATATATTTAGCTTTCATTGATACTGCCGTACAACTTACCAAAGAGATTCTAACACCTTATGTTTCTTTCAGTCAATGTATGAGATTTAACAACAGTTGATTTTGTTCATCTTTTTATCAGTTAGGTAAGTATGTAGTGATATCACATCGTGGTTTTAATTTTCATTTTCCTGATAACAAATAAAATTAAGCAATTTATTTTACGTTTGTTGGGAATTTATATCTTATTTTGTGAATTGTTCATTCACATATTTTCCCCATTTTCTATTGGATTGTTTGCTTTTTCTATTGATTTGTAGAAGTCTTTATAAACCATGAATATACATCTTTTGACAAATGTATGTTTTGTAAATATCTTCACCCAATGTTGGCTTTATTTTTTCATTCATCTGAAGGCATCTTTTGATAGAACTTCTTAATTTTAATATGGTCCAATTTTGCCTGCATGGTCAGTATGTTTTTACTTCTCCCAAGATTGTAATAGTAATGCATCATATTAATTTTATTTGTAGTTCTTCTTAATATCGTTATTCAACAAATTAACAAAATGTTAACTCAATAATGATCCACTAGTTCCCCTAGGCCCACGAGAAGGGAGGTAAAAGAAGCTTCAGAAGTTACCTGGCAGGGAACCTAGTGCCTGGATGGGAAGTTTCAAGAGGTCGTCCTGCAGTACGCTTGCTTTTGTTCTTTTAGTTATTTGTCAGGAGGTGAGGAAAAGATGACAGAGCAGACACTTAAAGTTTCTCTATACAAAGTAGAATGCCAACAATATCACTTAGCTCCAGCTTTCCTATTATCTATACAAATCTAAGTGGAATAAATAGACATTATAATTTTGAAAGGAATAACTTGCTGGAAGTTATGGAAATAATCTTGGTAGGATTCTGGGTTATAAATTTTGGTGCAAATATCTTTATGAGTATGTAAGTTTAATACTTAAAAAAACTTAGAAACATTAGAATTGTGATTCTAGATGACAGAATAATTTATGACTTCCCCTTCTCCACATTCTTAATATTTTGGAAATTAAAAATAAATTCACTATAATGCTTAACCCCGGAATTAGAACTGGAATCAGAATTTGGACTGAGGGGAAGAAACAGGAAAAAACTCAACCAACTGAGGCAGCTGCAGCACATATTGGGAAAAGAGAGGCCATCCCTGTCGGTGGACTTTTTCACAGGAACCTCAGGATAGTTCTGGTAGTGAAGGTAGCAACTGTAGACCTACAAGAGGCCAGTCAGGAAGGTAAGGGAGGAGTGGCTCAGACGCACCCTCAGCCTCCCTGTAGAGCCTGCCTTATGGAATTTGAAATAAACAACAAGGGAATGTAAAGAATTCTGATAACAGGCCCCCTTGCCAAGTCCAATCAAATTGGAACAAGAGTGGAGCTGAAGTGTCCTATAATCTAAAAGCACCGTAAGTGATTCTATTGTGCATCCTGAGTTGAGAATGGCTGTCTTTTTGCATTGTGCCTCCACACACATTTTTTATTATTTACATGTGACAGAGGCCCAGGATGTCTCACCAGGGCTGCTTATGACCAGGGGCGTTTATGACATCTGACCAAGGGTGGAAAGAGTTGAGATTTTTTTTCCTGTGTCATTGTGAAAAATAGTACAATAGTTAGAAAAAATGGGTATAATGTCTTCTAACATTTTATTCTAAAAAATGTAAGAAAGATTCCTTGTATGTGTTAATACAGCAATTCCTGTAAATCAATTAAACAGTCAGCATTCAGCTAAAAAATATATTTACAAAATACAACACAATAAACAAAAATTAGATAGAAGAGATCAATGAATATAGTGCAAAACTTAGTAAACTAGAAAACAAAATATTAATCTCACTCCATTTTGACCAAACACACCCAGGAAAATAACTCACACCTTGAAAGGGCCAACAAAATAGATGAATACTGTTGAATAAATAAATGATATTTTTCAAATCTGTTTAAAAAAGAGAAAGCACACGACTTTGCTAACATAAAGAAAATGTAATTACAAGCTTATAGATTTAAAATATAAGAACATATGAATAAGTTATACAATGATGGTGATAATTATAATATGCATATTATTCTCTGACATTTATTGAAGCTATATATATATAGTCATATAATTCTCATATGAATCTATGTGACAGATCTTTATTATCCCTCATAAACTAAATTTTAGAGAGGTTAAGTAAGGTATCTAACAGGGCAGAAAAGCAAAATCTGGACTCAAACCCAGGCCGTCTAATTCCAAAAGCTCTTAACCACTTTGCAATATTATCTCCTGAAGTGAATAAATTGTAAACTGATGCAGAAAATAAGGCTTTTTTTTCCCCCAGTCAAATTGAGCCTTTTTACTTCAGAACCTCATCATCCTGGGATCTTAAATGCTCGAGAATCAAGTCAGTAGGTCCTGATGCAGATTGATTCTTGTTCATTGATGATTTCCTTGGGGCATTGCTCTGTGCTTTTTTCTACAAACTCTCGTTAGTCTATGAGGGAAGATTTCATTGGTTGTTTCTCTTTGTAAGTTTAAAGGTCAAGCTATTATTAAATATAAGATTCAGCTTTATTTTCCTGAAAGGAGAAAAAAGGACTAGCCCAAATGAGATTTTATTAACCCGTCTTTTCCTTTTCTTGGTAATACACCAAAGTGACTTGTAACCAATGGACTACCCCAGTCGTATCATTCATTCTTTTGCAGAAAGGCATTAAAAGTCAAAATTATCTTGAATGACATGAAATAAGGTACTTGTTTGTTTTTCTCCCTTTTTGTCTTCCTATATCAAAATGAAAGGACACCATTGATAATAGTATGTTATATAGAGACTGACTTGAGTGAATTTATTGTCACTTTTTAAGGTTATTGTTAGATTTGTTTCTTTTTTCCTTTCTTTTTTTTAAAGAAAGACGACCATAAGTATGTGTATAACTATGAGATATTCAACTGATTTCCACATGTGCCTTATGGAAAATAGCCTTATTTCTACAAAGTTACATGTACAGTGACCAAGAAGTTATTTAGGTGGCCTTTTGTCACCTGACTCTAGAAGAAAGGAATTGGTTTCAGTCTGTACCTACAAATGTTTTCAGAGTGGAGAAACAATGGTGATTTTATGGTTGTTAAAAGGACTGATATTTTCTATTTCAGCTGGGGCAATCCATTTGTTTTCCATTTAACAAAGCGACTTCGCTATTTCATTATTGACTTCATGTCATTGTCCCTTTAGGAATTCTAGATGGTGGTTGGTGTTGTTTGAGAATTTTACTGGTACTACTGCAACCATCACACAACATATCCTCAAGAGATTTACTGTGAAGAACATAGCTATCTATGTTGACTTGGTGATATGGTTTGGATTTGTGTCCCCGCCCAAATCTCACGTCCAGCTGTAATACCCAATGTTGGAAGAGGAGCCTAGTGGGAAGTGAGTGCATCATGGGGGCAGATTTCCACCTTGCTGTTCTCCTGAGAGTGAGTGACTTATTTTGAGACCTGGTTGCTTAAAAGTGTGTAGCACCTCCCCCTCCTCTCTCTTCCTCCTGCTCTGGCCATGGAAGACGTACCTCCTTCCCCGTGGCCTTCACCGTGATTTAAGTTTCCTGAGGCCTTACCCAGCCTTACTTCCTATAGAGCCTAAGGAACCGTGAGCTAATTAAACCTCATTTCTTTATAAATTATGCAGTCTCGGGTATTTCTTTATACCAGTGTGAGAACAGACTAATACGCTTGGCTTTGGGTTAAGTTGTAAGTTAATTCCAGCATAAGGAGATAGAAAATATTTGTTTTTTTGTGATAATGGAAACTGTCAGAGACAATTCGAGTTTTTATAGTGTTACTGAGGACAAGACCTAGTTTTTAACTTAATCTTTGTACTCTAAGTATTTTGCAAGTGCCTGGTAATTAGTATGTGCTTAATGATATTTATGGAGCAAATATATAAAAGTTTGTGGAAACATCATTGTATCATTATATTAAAGCCTTCAATATATGATTGTTATTTGGTGCAATTTACAAAACTAGCATTTCTTAGTAATAATTTGTGTCTTGAATTGTTCGTTGGGTTTGCAAGTAAGTATTTTCCAGAAATTGCTGGGTATGCATTATTACCATTGAGAGCCAAGAGCTAGATCAATTCTCAGATGCTGTGTGAATGCACACATTACACACCATCTGTATTAAAATTCATTTTAGCTCTTCTACATGAACACAATTTTTTGCACAATGAAGTTTACTTCTTTGGGAATGAAAATTTATTTTGATAATTCTAAATGAGAGTCATTATAAAATTATTTCATGACAAACTGCCAATTCTTATTCTTTTTTATTAAGTTTAGATGTTGGCATAGTTGAAGAGCTAACAGTATTAAAATCATATAATAAAAACTGGCAATTGTTTACACTATACCTCCCTCATCCCCATCTGGATAATAGATTTCAGTTACTTTTGCTCTGTAGTTAATTAGGTCTTTACTTCTAAGTATTATACTGCTTTAAAAATATATTCATTTAGGCATTATTTATTGGTTTCCTTCTATGATGAAAATTTAACTCCCTTTTATATCTTTCTCACAATTTTTCTTTTCTTGTGCTTTTAATATGCCTGTATTGCATTTTTTTGAAATAACAGCCAGTATTTTACATATGTTCATGGCTGAACAAAGTAATGGGCTCCTGACCTTTTTTTTTTCCTATAGTAAATTGTTACCTCAATTTGCTATAGTTTCCTATGTTCCCATTGCTAAAAAAATAAATAAAAATGGTAGTTACTGTTTAGATACATCAAGGTCAACCACCTATAATTTAGTTGAAACTTAAGTCCTCCCAATTTCCTGGATGTTGTAACTCTAAACACAAACAAAATGCAAATGTTACTTATTTGTCCAACAAATGTTTAAGCATTCCACTTTCTTCACAACCCCATCAGCATCTGGTTTTTTTTTTTTTTTTTTTTTTTTTTTTTTTTTTTTTGCTTTTTATTAATAACCATTCTGGGTGGTGTCAGATGGTATCTCATTGTGGTTTTGATTTGCATTTGTCTAATGATCAGTAATTTTGAGCTTGTTTTCATATGCTTGTTGGCCGCATGTATGCAAAAGACCACTTTCCTAGAGATTTCTGTTGCCCTCTAGGGCAGGTGTTCTGTGGGACTGCCTTCTTTGTAGAATTCATTCTGGTTCTTATTTCTTAGGTCCTTTTTTCCAGGTTTACTACTTCATTTTTTGAAGCAAATGCTCAAGTAACTTCTTTGGGAAAGGTGCAAGGAAGGTAAAATATTGCATGTCAACATTTAAAAAGTTATACCCTTACTCTTGATGGAAGGTCTAGCTGAATATACAATTTAAACAATTTAAAGGCAGAGGTTCCCAAACTTTTGGGCACCGGGGACTGGTTTCATGGAAGACAATTTTCCCACAGACAGGGTCGGGGGGCATTCGATTCTCATAAAGAACGTGCAACCTAGAACCCTCGCATGCACAGTTCACAATAGGGTCCGCGCTCCTATGAGAATCTAATGATGCTGCTGATCTGACAGGAGGCGGAGCTCAGGCAGTAATATTTGCTCACCCTGCCCCCCATCACCTCCTGTTGTGCGGCCCGGTTCCTAGCAGGCCACGGACTGGTAGGGGTCCACCACACCCCCTGGGGGTCGTGGACCCCTGGTTTAAGATGTTTCTTTACTGTTTTTCTGCTCCTTTTCCTGCTGTTGAGAATTTTGATTTCCCTTGTTTTCGTGGTCTTGTATTCTCTTTCTGGAAGCTTTTACTATTCATGATCTTTTATCTCTGCATTTTAAACCTTCACAATGACATGCTTTATTGTGAGTCTTTAAATTTTAACTTGTGCTGGGTACTCAGGAATTTCAACTTGGAAAGTCATATCATTCAGTTTAGGAAACTTTTTGCATATCATTTTTAGATAATTTCATAACCTCCATTTCTCTATTCTTTATGGAGCTATTTTTATCCTCAAAATTTTCTGTTCTCCTTTATTTTCACCTGTCATTTGATTTTGTTTTGTTGTTGTTCTATCTCTCATGTCTTCTGGTACTACTTCTATTTTCTTTTGTGCCCAATTTGCCCATCCATTGAGGCTGTAGTTTTAAATATTATTAAAAATATTTTTCAGGTATAGAATGTGTATTGATTCTTCATATCGTAGATTACAATTTCATCAAAATCTTCGTCTTTTAGTCTCTTCTGTATTTTTTTTCTGGTTTTTGAACATATAAGTCATACATATTTTTAAATCCTTGTCTACCAATTCCAATATTGTTATCTCTGTGGGTCTGCTTTTGTTTTCTGTATTTTTCTCTTGATTATTGTCCCTAGGGTTCTATCGATTCACACGTATAGATTTTTTTTTTGAATGTTAGACATCATGTATGAAAGAGCAGTGGAGAATACATATGATTTTATCTCCTTTCTTCTGCTAGGTAGAGGGAGTGGGGGCTGATCTCCACGACCCAGTAAAGGACATGGCTGGTTGTGCTTTGCTAATGTTCATTGTTCCTGAGCTTCATGTGTGTTCCTAGGAAAAGGGCCTTGGTGACATTTCCATTGTGAGTCTCGAGGGGCTTTGTCTCCTCAAGACAAAGAGACTATGAAAATTTTTCCTCTCTGTACTACTCTACAGCCTTGTTTTCAAACTTACTCCCTAGCCTCCTGCTTTGCACTGCTTCAGAAGTTGGCAAACATCTTGAGGGAAGCCTGGCTCTGTTGACACTCCTGGTCTCCAGTTTTGACATCCTAGCCCCAGGTAAGCAGCAGAATCTCCACTGTTTGTTTTCTGCCTCCAGCTGTGGCTTCTGCCTAAACTAAAGCCAAATTCTTAATGGTTTGGCAAATGGCTTCAGGGAAATGTTCTGCAAATTCTCAGCTCACCTTTGAACATTTCTTCCCTCTCTGGACTTGATGCCTCTGTAGTCCCTGTTTATTCTGAAGCTCTCTGATGCCTTTAACACCACACTTTCTGTTGTAACTCTCCCAACTCTTCTTTCTACTTGTTCTAAGCTATAGCTTTCACTTGCTGTACATTGTTCTGTATAATTGGAAATGGAAATTCTATGTATTGGGAAGGTTCTTAGGTCCAAGTAAGACTATCTTGAATGTTTACATTTATTTTTCTCTCTCTCAATATCATCATCTGTCTCGCTCAGATATGCCCAATTTTCCAAAGTTGCTATATAGGGACCCTCCCACCAAACACATGCTTATTGTCCTATGACATACCATCTTTGATATTCTTCTCTGATGTTATGATCTGATAAACTAAATGGAAGAATCTGGGTAGAATGCTAAAGGGCTTTAGTTCACATTTCTAGATTTTAGAGTTTAGTGCCAGATAGAATTTCTAGCTTCAAGCTCCCTCTTGGACCCACCCTGGCTCTTTTAGCTTCCCAGGGCTCCAGTGAAATGTAACTCAGTGGTTGGAGCCAATATGCCTCCCTGAGAAGACCCTAAAAGCCTGTGTTCTAATTTTTTGTCTTTCACTTTCATCATTCATGGAGTTAGAAATAACTACTTTCAAATGCCACCCTTGAAACTTACTAAGTGTGGCTTTTGGCAATACTCTGAGACTGCTTTCTTATTGGGAAAGTAGAAATAATGTACAGATCATTAACTGAAGATGAAACACAATAATTTAACCCCCCCAGCACAGGGCCAGGAATACAGTCAGCACTCAATAAATGCCCATAGTTCCACAGTCCCTGTCCCATATGGACAAAAGGGAGGAGATTACAGAAGATGTGCGAATGACACAGATACTGCAAGGGTGCCTGCCAGTTTGGTCCACTACAAACTCTCCATATGTAAGGCAGCCCTTGATATCTCTCCCAGACTTAAGCTAAAACGGGAGGAGAGGAGGACATGGACAACACCGACAGCACTTTCCTATCTTGTCAAAAAGAGAGATTGGGCCAATGCCTTTGCCTGAGTAATGAAAATATTGACAAGAACCCATCTCTTGAGTGGTTTAAAGCCCAAGCTGAAAGCAATAAATGAGAACAGAGGAGTTCCAGAAATTTCTCTGCTTTTTGTTTGCAGCCTGTGAACATATGGTCAGAGACGTTCTGCTCCCTTGGCTGAATCACAGTGCTAACGAGGCGGAGATCCCTGAATGAGTCACTTAGCTTCTAGCTGGGGTGGGGGACAAAAAAACAAAAAAACACAAAAAACTATGTTTTTCTTTGACAGATGATGCACCTAAAGTTGAAAAGCTGACTTCCACCTCCTGGGCAACGTGGCTCAGGTTTGTGCGCAGGTCAAGACAAAACTGATGTCAACACCAGGAATGAAGGAGAAATCTGTGGCTTAATGAAGGTGAGTGACAGTACCTTCTCAGATAGGTCACTGAGTACTCCTTCATTAATATCGGCAAGGACTATTTACATCCCAAACAATATGAACCATAGCAATACCTATAGCCTCAGACATTTTTATTGTATGTATTTTTAAACCTTATAGGGGTTAGATGTTACTTACGGGTAAGGGGCTAAAGCTGGCTGAGGTTCAGGGTTTACACGCTCTGGCTTTGAGATGATCCTTTGAGTTTGCCTGCAGTGTGGACTTTAGCTTTAACACTGTTTATCTTTATAACTGCTTTGGGTTTAGTGCTCCAAAAAGTACTGTAATTTGCATATCATTTTTAGCTTGAAGACACTGGATGTAGCCACATTCTTTTATCTCATAACTTAGATGAACAACTTGAAAGTTTATTTATAATTTTCCATTTAACTTTCTGTGTATCTGTATTAGAACAAACAAGATTTTATGTTATTAGAACAAAGTAAGTGCAGACTAATTCTAAGGTTTTGTCCAGGAAGGAAAAATGGAACCTTTACTTAATTTTTTATTTTTACTTGGCTCGTGTTATCTCCACACAAAACCTGCTAAACAGCTATTTCTTATTTTCAAATCTCGTTAATGCCAATAAAGACCTTGGGAGAACCCGTGGTTTCAGATGTAACATCTCCCAGCACGTTGGAGTGAATTCTGTCACATTTGTGTTACTTTTCTCAGAGTGCAAGCCACGCATTTGACTCTTTGGGAGAATTTTGGCTTGAGTTCATAGTAACTCAGTTAGGGAGACTGAGGCTCAGCTCCTAGAGACAGGACTGTGGCATTGCTTGGCACAGTTGACAAGGTGTCAGAAGTAGTCGACTTGTGGTCTTCTGGAGAGTTGACCTTGGGCATCCATCTTGGGCCTCAGTTGACTTTGTCTTAGAGGGGGATGGTGCTTGTCCACCTTGTCCAGTCTGCCTGACAAGGGTGTTATGGACGTTAATAAAGTAAACTGAGATGCCTGGAATATGTGAATATGCTAAGGATAAGTCATTATTATAATTCCAGTCAACAATAGGTGGGTAATTTATCCATGGTGATAAGGAAATGAAAAGTATTCAGGTTTATGCAAATGTGTAGTGTTGGTAATATGAATGTACATAGCACCATCTATATGGCTTGGGCTTCACATTATCTCTGTGGTGGGCCTTTCCAACTCCAGCTGTTAGTATCATGTGCAAGTCAATTCCATCTTCCCACTGAGCCATGGATGACACAGGTGCCCAGACCCTTGCTGGTGATTTTCCTGCCACTTCCGATCCAACCTGTCCTTCAAAGTCCATCTTAAATGCCACTTCTTCATTCATCTTCCTAGGTTTTCTTCTTGTCTCATCCAGAGGAGAACATTTCTTTGTCCATCAAATTCCCATTGCAAATTGTCTATAATACCTTTACAGCTCTTACCACTTCCTGCTTTATATGAGTTAAACTCTTGCTTTGCTGTTAGACCATTGGCTCCTGAAATGTGTAAAATAAATAAACTGAATAAAAATAGAATGCACTTAGTAAAGTCTGTGCCAGGAGCTGTGTTAAACTTTATACACTAATTACCTTGTTGAATCCTCACAACGATCCTATGCATGCAGTCCTATTATGATCTGTATTGTATAGATGAAGAAACTGAGGGTGATTGAATTTAAATCATTGGTTCACTGTCGCAAAATGGTTCAATGGTAAATTCAAACCCAGGCAGTCTGTCTTCACAATCTGTCTTAATCAGTTTGGGTTTTAATAACAAAACTGGGGGGCTTATAAACAAATGAAATCTATTTCTCACAGTTCTAGAGGCTGGAAGTCCAAGTTCGAGGTGCTAACAGATTTTGTGTCTGGTGAGGACCTACTCTCTAGTTCAGAGTTGGTCATCTTTTCTCTATGTCCTCACATGGCAAAAGGGGTGAGGGGGCACTCTGGGGTGTTTTTTGATAAGGGCACTAATACTATTTGGGAGGGCTGCACCATTATGACCTAATCATGTTCCAAAGGCCCCACTGTCAAATACCCTCACACTGGAGATATGGTAGCAACATATGAATTATGAGGGAACACAAATACCCTCCAGCTTTCACATACATAATGTTCTCAGCTGATAATTATTTTGTCTTATGAAAGAACACAGCTATCGCTGAGTAGTCTCTAATGAAAATAAGGTTTTTTTTTTTTGAGATAGAGTCTCGCTCTGTCACCCAGGCTGGAGTGCAGTGGCACTATCTTGGCTCACTGCAGACTCCTCCCCCCAGGTTCAAGCAATTCTCGTGCCTCAGCCTCCCGAGTAGCTGGGACTACAGGCACACATCACCACACCTGGTGAATTTTTGTATTTCTAGTAGAGATGGGGTTTCACCATGTTGGCCAGGCTGGTCTCGAACTCCTGACCTCAGGTGTTTCACCCACCTTGGCCTCCCAAAGTGCTGGAATTACAGGCGTGAGCCACTGCACTTGGCCATAAATAATAATTTAATAAAAGATTTGCCCTTAGGAAAAATGTGGTAAAGTTTAAAAAAGGCAAAATATTGAATTTTAGCTAATTATAAAATAGCATTTTATACCTTGAGAGTAGATCAACTAAAACAGCTTTACTGTGTGCTTTAAACTATCTTAAGTTGTCTTGTTAAACTATTCTTAAAGTACAGAATTCTATTTTATTTTCTGTTTTTGAATTGTTCCCTCTACCAACTGATGTTTGGCTTAGTCCAGACACAGTGGATTTGACTTTGTGTATAAACTTAAGGATCTTTCTTGGCTACAATTTTCTCAGTCATGTTTGTGATTTTTTCCCCTTTATTTCCTGGGACTAGAGGCCTCACAAAGAAATAGTTGATTTCTCTGATGGGGGATTTTTGCTTCAAAAATTTTTAAGCCTTTTTTTTTTTTTTTTTTTTTGAGTTAGGGTCTCTCTCTGTCACCCAGGCTAGAGTGCAATAGCACGATCAAGGCTCACTGCTTTCACTGTGACTCTGTCTCTTCCCTTCTGTCTGTATCAAACCACGCTTTGCTTTTCGCCTCTGAAGAATACATTGGCCCCACCTGAATAATGCAGGATAGTCTCCTCTCAAAATCCTTAATTTCACATCTGCAAAATTTTTTTTTTTTTGCTATCTAAGGTAACATTCACCAGTTTCAAATACTAGGGCATTAATATCTCAGGAGTCATCATTCAGTTCTCAGTGGAATTAAGCCACATGGCAATATTAATTAATGTGACTTTATTAGTTAATACAGATTAGTGGGTTGTCTTCCCTTATCTAGCCTACTTCTTTACTTCCTCATAAAGTTCCCTGGGATCATCTCCCAAAGAAGCCACTCCTACCTAAATCTTTGTCTTGGAGCTTGCTTTTAGGAGAAGCAAGACCAATGTAATATCATAAAGAGTGATTTTAAATCTCTTTTCTCAGTAATTGGTGAGTAAAACAAAAAATCTTAATAAGAATAAATAATATTTGAATGATTCAATTAGCTAGATTCCATGGATTTGTATTATAATAGCTAATACTTATATAACATCTAATATTCACTAGGCATTTAACCGATATGCTAATGGAATCTCAGAGAGGTTAAAGTAATTAGTCCAAGATCACAGAGCTGGTGAATGTGGGAGTTATGATTTAGAGTCTGTGTCTTAATCATTTTCCTATATTGCTTCTGAAAAACCACAATCCTTGCACAAACGATGACTGCACAAACAATTTCACAACACAAAGGACATTTACAAAGATCGAATATCTACTAAGTCGCAATGAAGACCCGATAAACTCCAAGAATCAATACTGAAAGAACACGTTCTGGAACCAAAATGGATTATAGAAACAATTTACGAACAGATTCAAAAGATCTCATAGTTTGCGAGACACACACAAACAAAACTACCACGTTCTCATTCATTTATGGTAAAAAATACCATGTATGTAATTAGAAAATACCTGTAACCTAATGATGATAAAAGCTGTGCACATTAAACATTACAAGATGTGGCTAAATTGCTATTTGTTTAGAAATTTAAATTTCTAAACAGAAAAGTAGACCAAGAAAGCACTGGAGGATTTTGTATTCCAGTTTTTATAAATAGAATAAGAACTAGAAACAGAAAGAACCAGCAACAAAAGTATACAGTTGAGGATATGGTAGCACATTAATACTGGAATAAAAAAAATCTGCCAGGCAGAAGCAGATACCTATTAAAAGAGGAGGTAAGAAAGTTTCCTTCGACTATGCTGTTCTTAATGTTGGTTAATCAGGAACTTCCAAAGGAAGGTAAACATCCTCCATTTCATAGATGATAAACAGGAACATAAGAACTAGATAAAGTATCAGAGTCTATTATTGAACCAGTGGAAAGAAATACCCAGGACAGCAGGTGATTTCCCCCAGGGCTGTGGATCCAGGGCTATGGTGTGACCACCGAGAGCTGGGCTTGCCTTCTGGATGAAGAGCTGGCCAGTGGGGGTACCAAGGACCCTCAGACTTGCTGACTGCTTTCTTATTTTTCTATTTTCCTGATACAGGTGGGCACAACTGATGCTTCCAGAATAAATCAGATAAAAAGCTGAAGGGCAACTGGGGAGCAGGCAGTATTTTCTTATATATTTCCAATTGAGGGTTGGGACTTTGGAAGAACAGGGCATTAGAATTGATTTTTATATATTTAATACGGCTAGAGTTAATGGCTTATAGATTTTTGTAACATTAGGCTCAGTTTGAGGTGTTGGCTTTGAGCCACAATTTCAAAGGACTTGGGAAGAATGCTGTTTTTCCCCCCTCAGTCAAACTGAGAAATGTCTTGGTAGGTTATTTTAGTTTACATGTGCACTTGAAAGACAAGATTTTCAGGTAACCATCATGTAAGTTTTGTATTTTTTTTTTTTTTGGGCACTTTACAACAGCATGCCTGGGATATTACTAATAGGAATATCAGTGAAGTATTCTGTGCTTGCCCAGAGAAAGTTCCTGCTCTCTGCTGCATCAGAGGCAATATGTATTTAAGAGTATATTTACATAGAAGAGATTAATTAATTTGTGATTACTTCAGTCTTTTCCTACTCCAGATCATTTGAGTAACGTCCCCCATTTTTTTCATGTTTTTGGGTTTGGAGATCTGTGTCTGGTGTCTGAAAGTGCAGATTCTAGTATTTCAACTCACGTGCATTCAAACTCTAGGAAATGATGGGAATTCACATTTCATTTTGTGAGTCAGATTTTAGGACCTTGGAATGATGGTTTTAAGCTTAGGAGAACTATAAAGAATGTGTTTATAAGAGAGATGCATATCTAATCCAAAGGTCTTATAATTGAAAAGGAATGGTGAAGAAAAATGACCAAAAAAGTAAAAGTAAATGATATGGAGATCATTGTTAGGATGCTGAAACAAAGAAACAACTACCACTAAAATAAAAGAAACAATAACAATGGAAGAAATGCACCAGTAATTCATAGGAACCATAATTAGGACAAGAATTGTATGTGGAATAGGCAGAAAGGACTGAAGATTTTACAAATACATTAATGGAGGAGGAAACACTTTGTTTCTTATTTTAACATTGAGATATAATTAAAATACAAAATATGTACAAATATTGAGTGTATAGTTCTATGAATTCACACAGACACAAACACACACACACACGCAAACACACACACACACACACCAGATTATGTTAAGAAGCATTTCCATCACTCTCAATGTTAATTGCTTATTTCTATCACCCTGGAACAGTTTTGCCTGTTCCAAACGTCATGTATTTTAAGAAGGCATTCTTTTGTGCCTGAATAAAGCCACTAGGAGCATTCTTGTGTACGTCTTTCAGTGTTCATATACACTCATTTTTCTAGCCTGTATCCCTAAGGTGGAATTGCTGGGTCCTTACGTGGACATACGGTTCACCTTTGTAGAGCCTGCCAAGCAGTTTCTCAAAGTTCTTCAATCAATTTACACTCCTGCCAGCAATGTCTGAGAGTCCCAGTTGCCAACAACCTTGCCAACACTTGATCTTTTTGGTCTTTTTAGGCATTCTGGTGCATTTGCTTTAATAGCTCCCTCTGTTTTTAATTTGCATTTACCTGCCAAGCACCTTTTTATGTGAGTTGGTTATATGGATATCTTCTTTTATGAAGCAACTGTCCAATGTTTTGGCAATTTAAAAAGTGAATTATCTTTTTTGTTTTCATTGGTAGGTGATATTTATGTGTTCTAGATATGTATTCCTTCTCAAATATAAGAATTATGACATTTTCTCCATTGTGTTGCCTATCATTTATCCTAATGGCATCTTTTGATGAACAGAAATTCTTAATTTTAATGAAGTCTTGTCATTTTTTTCCTTTGATGGCTAATGCACTTTTATATTCTTCAAGAACACTCTATTCACCCCAAGTTCATGAAGATATTCTCTGAAGCTTTCCTCTAGAAGTCTGCACATGTCAACTTCATATTTAGATAATGATTCACCTCTAATTATTTTTAAAATATGTATTGGGTAGGAATCCAGGTTCACTTCTTATTTTAGAAAGACCATTCAGTTTCTAGAGCGCCATTTACAGAAAAGGCCAGTCTCTCTCCATGGAATTGTATGGTGCTCTTGTCATAAATCAAGTGACAATACACGTGTGTCTATTTCTTTATTCTATTTTTTCCATTGGCCTGCTTATGTACCTTTTCTACCAATGTCACATTGTCTTTATTAGAATAGTTTTTAGTAAATCATTAGCTCTAGTGGTGCATGTTTTCTGATATTGTGTTTCTAGTTCAAGATTTTCTTGGTCATTCCACATTCTTTGCATTTCCATGTGAATTTTAGCATCAAATCTTATTAACCCTTACGGAAAAAATCTGCTGGAAATCTGTTTGGAATTACATTGCAGGTTTCGGTCAACTTGGGCAGAATTTACATCTTAAAACATTGAGTTTTTAATCCACAAACAGAGACTATCTCTCCTCTTATTTGTGCTTCGAAAATTTTTCTCAGCACTGTATTATATTTTTTGTATAGAGATGTTTCACATCTTGCCTTGGATTTTTTCAGTAGGTATTAGATATATGTAATGCTTTTATCAAAGCTATTGCTTTTTAAGCTTCATTTTGTATTGTGTGTTGTTATTTTAGAAAAATGTAATTTATATTTGTATATTGACTTTGCATGGATTAATTTCCCTAAAATCACCTATTAATTCAAATAATTTTTATAAATCCTTTTTTAAAATTTTGCCATGTTAAATAAATTTTGCTTCATCAAGGTGTGTTATTTGAAAAATATGTCGCTAGATTATCTTTAATAATTTTTGATGGATTTTTGAGATTCCATTTATGAAGATACTGGCTTATAATCTATGTATAATCATACTGTCTGTAAACAGAGTTTTACTTCTTCCTTTTCCATTTTTGTCCTTTTCATTTTTTCTTGTCTGATTGCGCTGGTTACAGTCAATACGACTGTGTTGAGTAGGGGTGGGGATAATAGCATCCTTTCCAGCCCACTGTTTCAATATTAAGGTATTAGCATTTTATTTTATTTTCTGAAAGTGTATTGTATTAGATTGGGGGAGTTTTCTTATACTTCTTTTTGATGATATGTTTATTATAAATGGGTGTTGAATTTTTCAAATGCTTATTTTCTGTATTTATTGAGGTAATTTATGTTTTTTATCCTACATATTGTTGATATGATCAATTAAATTGATTTGATTTTCAAATGTAAAACTAAACTTGCCACCTTCCTGGACTAAATCTCATTTGATTATGGGGTGTGTATGTGTGTGTATGTGTGTGTATGGTGTGTCTTCCCTGATTGTCTGTTCTATATTTGGGGGATTTTATATTTTATGTTCATGAGGCTGTTGATATATAATTTTCCATTTTGTAATTCTTTTGTGAGGTTTTGATATTATGGTTATCTTTGAAATGACTTCTCACATTTTCTATCTCCTAAAGGAATTTGTCTATGTTTCTTATTATTTTTAATTAATTTTTTTTAGTATCGCCCAGTTAAGCATTTTGGTTCTGAAATTTCATTTGTGAAAAGAATTTTACAAGCTGGGGTTGGTGGCTCACTCCTGTAATCCCAGTGCCTCAAGAGACTAAGAAGGGAAAATCACTTGAGACTAAGGGTTCAAGACAAGCCTAGTCAACTTAATGAGACCTCTTCTCTACAGAAATTAAAACAATTAGCAGGGCACGGTACACACCTATAGTCCCAGCTACTTGGGACGCTGAGGTGGGAAAGATCTCTTGAGCTCAGGAGTTTGAGGCTGTAGTGTGCCATGATCTTCTTGCCACTGCCTTCCAGCCTGGGTGACAGAGTGAGATCTTCTCTTTAAAAACAAACAAAAAGCAGAAAAAAATTTATGTATGATGTAATAGACTGCATGTTTCTATGTCCCCCAACCCCGAAATTCATCACCCCAAAGTGATTGTATTAGGAGATGGGGCCTTTGGAAGCCGTTTAGCTCATGAGGATGGAGCCCTGGTGAATGGGATTGGCATCCTTGTAAAAGAGGGGTCAGAATGATCCCTCGCTCCTTTCACCATGTGAGGCTGTAGCAAGGTGGTGTATGAGCCAGGCCAGAGGCCCCCCCTTGGCACAGAATCTGCTAGTTCTTTCATCTTAGACTATCCAGCTTTGGAACTAAGAGAGAGATTTCTGTTGTTACTAAGCCACCTAGTCTATGGTATTTTTGTTATAGCAGTTGAACAAACTAAGACATATAGATTCAATTTATTTAACAGATATAAAACTATCAAAATTTTCTATTTTGTGTTCTAAGTTATGTTCTTCAAAGAATTTAAAGAATTTAAGTCCTTATATTGGTAGGCAGACTATTTAAAATTATATCCTCTCATGCTCTATTTCATGTAAGTAGAATATTAGTGATGTTCTCTTTTACATACTTCATGCTAGTAATTTTATTTTCTTGACTAGCATCTTAGAGGTTTATTAGTTATTTGAAGAACTAACTTCTGGTATTGTTGATTTTCTCATCTTATTTTTTTTTACTATTGTTTCCAACTCTTCTATCTTCTGAGCTGGAATTTTAGATCATGTATTTTATATTTCTTTCTTTCTAAACTATGCCTTTAGTGCTATAAATTTCCTTCTCATCCATGCTTTATCTGCATTTCACATACTTTATGTTTCATTTTAATAATCATTGCAATTTCAATTGTGAATTTTTCTACAACTTGTAAGTTGTTTAAAAGTGTGGTGGCTAAGCATAGTGGCTCACACCATAATTCTAGAACTTTGGAAGGCTTATGCAGGAGGATTGCTTAAACCCAAGAGTTCAAGACCAGTCTGGGCAAAATAGTCAGATCCCATCTCTACAAAAAAACAGAAAAATGCCCAGGCGTGGTGATGTGCACCTGTGTGGTCACAGGTACTTGGGAGGGTTGAGGTGGGAGGATTGCTTGAACCTGGGAGGATGAGACTGCAGCAGTGAGCTATGATTGTGCCACTGCACTCCAGCCTGGGTGACAGAGTTAGACCCCTATCTCAAAAATAAAAAAATAAAAGTGTGCTGTTTAACTTCCATACATTTGGGGATTTTTAGTTATCTTTTTGTTATTGTTTCTAATTCAATTCCACCGTGGCAAGGAAACATAAACTGTATGATTATAATCCATTGGAATTTATTAAAACTTGTTTGATGACCGAATATGTATAGTCTCTTCTGGTAAAAGCTTCATAAGCAATATATAGGTTGAGAATTCTATAAATGTCAGCTAGGCCAACTTGGTCAATAATGTTCTCATTTTCTGTTTCATTATTAATTGTTTTTTAATATGCTTCTTCTATTATTACTGAAAAAATGTGTTAAAATCTCCAGCTATTATGGTGTATTTCTCAATTCTTTTGATCAATTTTTCCTTCATCTATTTTGAAATGAGGTCATGAAAGACATATTTTTTTAGGATTATTGTTGCTTCCTAATGCATTAACCTTTCTGTTATTAAGCAGTGTTTCTCTTCACCTCATTTTATGTTACTTGCCATGATGTCTATTTTTTTCTGAATTATTATTATCGCAATACACTGTCTTGTTTTATTTTCATATTCTGTGTCCGTTTTTCTCCATTTTAAACTGTCATTTGCTCTGTGTCCTTATGTTTTAAATGTGTCTCCTATAAATACATGGTGGCATCTTAGTTTTTTGTTTAATCCAACCATGTCTGTCTTAAATTTGCACTTAGTCTGTTTACATTTAGTATAATAAATAATATGGTGGATTTAAGTCTACCGCTTTGTTATTTGTTTTTTATTTTTTATGTTTGCTCATTGTTCTTTTATGTTGCCTTTTCGCTTCTTTCGTTTTAATCAGTGTTTTATTGATATACATTTATCTCATCTATTGACTATGTAGAATTCTTTTTGGGGGCTATCATTCTGTTAGTGGTTAATCAAGAAAGCATAACATACAAGTTTAACTTACAAGTATCTTAAAAGTATATTTTCAGCACATCCCAACCAATGCAAATTCTTAAAACACTTAACTCCATCTTCCTTTTAAAATTTTTTATTGCTATAGTTTCATACATTTCACTTCTACATCTACTATAAACCCTAAAGGCATGTGAATATTAATGTCTCTTTAAGTAATCACTAGTATTTTAAGTTTCTGAAGCTCAAAGACAAAGAGGAAATGCCAGCAGCCTTCTGAGGTATTTTTTGTTTGTTTCTTGTTTTTTGTTTTCTCTCCAGTTCTTCCTTGTTTGGAATCCTATCCCCGAATCTTTGCTGCTTTAGTAGCCCCAAACTAAACTCTGTCTTCTCCAACCAGTGAGACCTCTCTGAGCCATAGCCTAGAAAGCACACCCACAGAGGAAGACTGAATGTGGGCAAGCCTCACGTCTCCTGTTTTTCAGGTGTTGCAGCCGTCTTGACAGGCCTTGTCTTGAGGAAGCAGTTGTTTCCTCCATTTTGTTTAGGTTTTACTCTTGTTGATGGTGGGAGGATGTCTAATGCCAGCTAAACTGTACTGGAAGCTAGCATTACTTTGCTTCTAGTTACGAAGACTTGATTGTGCTTGTATGCTATTGATTTTCCTTACATCAGTGTTTGTATTTTCATTACAACTTTTATCCACTGAAGAAAATGAGTGAAGGCTTTCAATGTTTTGTAACCATGGTGATCTTCATCTCCCTCCAGCTGAAAGGCTTGGATTCTACTGGGATTCTACTGGGATTGACTACATTTGATTTGATATGAGCTAATAATAGCCAAGTATTATTTCAGTCAAAATAGCCCAGACATTGATAACTAAACTAATGATTAATTAGAGATTTCTTATATTTATTGTCTTGCTGGGGTCAGAGGACAAGATGTTACTCATCCACATGCAGTTGTCCTAGAAAGTGGTTAATCCCAGGACAGGGAATTGTTACTTGGAAGTAGCCCTTAGACTGGGGAAACAGCGTAATGCTCTTTCTTCTCTTTGAGTTTCGTGACTGTTGGAGCTGAACTCTGGGTATGGTGGATCAGTTTAAGGAAGCTTCCTTTGGAAGGGGGTAGGCTGGTCTCAGCATATGATGAAAAATGGTGACTAAATATTGAACATCCTTTCTGGGATTTCCTGATAGTGGTCTGGGTCAGGACCTATGAATTTATATTAGCAGTTTTAAGTTACTCTGTCTGAATTATTCCCAAGCCAATAGGAAAGCCTTGGTAGAAGACAGATCCTGATTTTTCTTATTGTGTGTAAAATTAAGGGAAGGCATTCTTCCATCTTTTAGATAAAGTTACAGAGGGGAGGGAAGAGGCTGCTTGAAGGAAGGCAGTTCAGAGGTGTAGGCAGTTATCAGCACAACGAACAGTGGCCTGAGGAGCAGAACTAAGAACTAGAGTAGAAAAAATTATGACTAACATTTGAATAGGGCCTGTGGGTACATGCTTCAGAACCCAAAAGTTCCATTCCTTGATAATATCTTTGAGGAAGTCTCATGTTCATAAACAGGTCAAAGATTATTTGTAGCAATGTGTTTATAAAAGCAAAAACAATTGTGTATGCAAACAAAAGCCAAAATAATAAAACAAATATAGAAATAAAACGACAGTAAAACAAAAAAATCAATGGACAAAGGATTAAGTAGATAGAATTGTGACCTATTTATGAAATTGAACATCATGTGGCAAAGAGTACAAGTGAGCCCGAGCTACGTGTTTAAAATAGAAGCAACTGCTAGGAAAATATGATATTACATGAAGAAAGTTAGTTGCAAAACTCTATGTTATATAGGATGCCATAGATTGTTGGGGATAGAGATAAGTATGTATATATTATATATACTTGTGATATAAACTATAAGGAAATGTATATACATAATAAATGCTAACTGTGGGATAATTTCCTTTCTTCACCTCTGGGAAATAAAGAAAGAGAATGGGACTGAAGAAACCCAAGAAAGGAGGCATTAATAGCATTTACTAGGTTTTAATCTTTAAAAACATTTCTAAGCAAATATGACAATATTTTGTGAAGTGAGTAAGAAGTATAGGAGGTTTACTAAATTATTGGCTGTACTTTCTGTGTATTTTAACTATTTAATAATTAGAAATTATTTTAAAATGTAAATGTGGTCTGATTTTGCCACTAGAGATATATACTTGTTCCTGGAACAAAACAGCAATGAGGAAAAGGTGTGCGTACAACTTGTATCTAAAAAAGTAATACTGCAATGACAGCTGACCGAAAGAGTGGAAGCCCAGGTCTTGCATTTTTGGTCTTAGCGATCAAAGCCAAGTAAGACCTCATTTCTGTTCTCAAGGATCCCTCAGATTGGTAGATGCTGTGCATATTAGATCCTTGAGGATGTGAAACCATGAGGAAGAAATATTGACAGATTCAGATTCCCAAACTTATGTACAGGCAACAACGGTGAGTCAAATTTAACAAGATGACACTTTGCAGCAATAAATGCAGTTCCATTCCTGGATTCAGAATGAAAGTTGCTCAACACAGGATGGGGGGTCCTAGGTATTGGCAGAAGCCTGAAGTCCTAAGGATGGAATAATGTGTTGGCCAAATACAAAAAGGGCTACTGTAGAATGTGGAGGTGAGCCTTTTTCTGGGAGCTCCGGCAGGTTAAAGTATGGTCAGAAGTCGAAGGAGGGCCATTTAATCAGAGAATGTGGAACTGCTTGGACTTTTGAGCTCAGCGTATAGCAAAGGCATCCAGGTTCCCCTTTGTGTTCTCTCCCTGCTGATTTCAATCCACATAACAGGTGAACTGCCCTGATGAACTGCACCCCAAGCTGGCCAGTGTCAGCAGTGAACCACTGCTAAATGCACCTTCATTTTAACCCTGAGTCTACCTTGGTGAAGATAAAGAAGACTGTGCTTTGTGCGTAAAGCACTAAGAAGCAGCCCTTGGCCTCAAGCAGTAAAAATGATCGATGGTTATAACTCCCAAGGTGAAACTTTTGGAAGCCATGGTGATTATTTCAAAATACGACTACACTTTTAAAAAGTGCAGGATAAGTTGTTGGGAAAAGAATTCTATCCACTTTCTTTTGTTAATCAAAATGATTCATGAAAGGATGTGGGGAGGCAAGAATATTAAGAAAATATCATATTAAAAGTGGAAATTTAACCTTTTGTTAAGGTGAGACAGTAATGTATTACAATTCATTGGGATATACATACAATAAATATGGGAAATATATGCATGCATTTTTTTCATAAAACTCTGACTCTTTGAGAGAGAAGAGAAAGACTCCAGAGCACTGTTTTCACATTAATTAAAGAGTTCAATGCCTCTGTTTTTTTTAATATATATATATATATATCAACAGGCAAGATTAGAATAGATAAGACTGTTGCGGGAAGTCAGGGACCCCGAGTAGAGGGACTGGCTGGAGCCGAGGCAGAAGAACATAAATTGTGAAGATTTCATGGACATTTATCAGTTCCCAAAATTCATACTTTTATAATTTCTTACGCCTGTCTTTACTGCAATCTCTGAACAT
Organism: Homo sapiens; assembly: GCF_000001405.40. Lineage (NCBI taxonomy): Eukaryota > Metazoa > Chordata > Mammalia > Primates > Hominidae > Homo > Homo sapiens. The sequence continues at coordinate 5,987,470 of NC_000008.11, read as the reverse complement.
AAATGGTGAACATTTCATGGACATTTATCACTTCCCTAACAATACTCATAATTTCTTATGCCTTTCTTTAATCTATTAGTCACGTTATCTTCGTAACCTGAGAATGTACATCACCTCAGGACCACTATTGTACAAACTGATTGTAAAACATGTATGTTTGAACAATATGAAATCTGATTGTGAAACGTGTGTTTGAACAATATGAAATTAGTGCACCCTGAAAAAGAATAGAATAACAGTGATTTTCAGGGAACAAGGGAAGATAACCATAAGGTCGGACTGCCTGCGGGGTCGGGCAGAATAGAGCCATATTTTTCTTCTTGCAGAAAGCCTACAAATGGATGTGCGAGTAGGAGAGATATGGCTGAATTCTTTTCCCAGCAAGGAATAATCCTGGGGAAGGAATGCATTCCTGGGGCGAGGTCTATAGACAGCCGCTCTGGGAGTGTCTGTCTTATGTGGTTGAGATAGGACTGAAATACGCCCTGGTCTCCTGCAGTACCATCATACTTACTAGGATTGGGAAATTCCAGCCTGGTAAATTCTAGTCAGACTGGTTCTCTGCTCTTGAACCCTGTTTCCTGTGAAGATGTTTATCAAGACAATACATGCACAGTGGGACATAGACCCTCATCAGTAATTCTAATTTTGCCTTTTCCTTGTGATCTTATTGTCCTCTGAAGCATGTGATCCTTGTGACCTACTCCCTCTTTGTACACCCCCTCCCCTTTTAAAATCCCTAATAAAAACTTGCTGGTTTTGCAGCTCAGGGTCGGCATCACGGTCCTACCAATATGTGATGTCACCCCTGGAGGCCCACCTGTAAAATCCTCTCTTTGTATTCTTTCTGTTTGTTTCTCAGACTGGCCGACACTTAGGGAAAATAGAAAGAACCTACGTTGAAATATTGGGGGCTGGTTCTCCCGACATTAGACTGTATCCCAGGATGGAAGAATAATTCTGTTTCATGAAGCTTTTATTCAGTGCACGAGTGTGTGCATGTGTACATGTGCTCCTGTGTGCATGTGTGCATATGCATCTTGTAAAATATAGCTTGTTATGTAGAGGCATAATTTATATACAGTAAAATGCATAAATATTAGGGGCATAGTTCTACCATTTATACATATATGTATACACTCATGCAATCACGCCTGATTTAGATGTGTCCATTTTCAGAAAAAGTTTCTGATTTTTTACAACAAATTTATTCATCTTTAAATTTTAGCCCTCTTTCTTTATCTGCAATCACTTGCTGCTCTTTTTAAAAATCTCTGTTACTCAGCATCCTTTATCTTCTCTTCTCAGTTGTGTTTCTTTTTTTTTTTTTTTTTTTTTTTTTTTTGAGACAGAGTCTCGCTCTGTCTCCCAGGCTGGAGTGCAGTGGCGGGATCTCGGCTCACTGCAAGCTCCGCCTCCCGGGTTCACGCCATTCTCCTGCCTCAGCCTCCGAAGTAGCTGGGACTACAGGCGCCTGCCACTACGCCCGGCTAATTTTTTTTTTGTATTTTTAGTAGAGACGGGGTTTCACCGTTTTAGCCGGGATGGTCTCGATCTCCTGACCTCGTGATCCACCTGCCTCGGCCTCCCAAAGTGCTGGGTTTACAGGCGTGAGCCACCGCGCCCGGCCCTCAGTTGTGTTTCTTTTTTCAAATTTTAAAACAATTGCAAAGTTACAGCTGGTATGTTTAACACCAGCTGAACCTTTCATTTTAATTAAGATAAAATTCACATACCATAAAATTCAGCCACTGAAAGTATGTAATGCAATGGTTTAACATTTTTATCTTTTTTAAAATTTATTTTTAATTGACAAACAATAATTGTATAGATCTGTGGTGCACAATGTGAGATTCTGATATATGTTTACAATTCAGTGGTGTTTGGTATAGTCACAAAGTTTGAAATAATCACCACAATTTAATTCCAGAACAGTTTCATTGGTATAAACTCCACATTACACACCCTCCCTCAACCTCCTGACCCAGACCCTGGTAATTACTTATCTGTTTTTTAAAATTACTCTTTTGTTTATTTATTTATCAATTGGTGAACAGTTGGGTTGTTTCTACTTTTTGGCTATTACAAATGGTGCTCCCATGAACATTCATGGACAAGTTTATGCTTGGACACATTTTTATTTCTTTTGGTTCTATACTTAGCAGTGGATTTGCTATGTATGAACTCTATGTATAGCTTCTTTTAAATTTTTATTTTTAAAAATTGACAATAATTACACACATTCATGGGGTACATAGTGATGTTTCCATATATATATTTTATAGTGACCCGATCAGCATAATTAGCATATCCATAATCTGAAACATTTATTATTTCTTTGTGTTGGAAATGTTCAATGTATTTATAACTTTTTGAGTCATTACCAAACTGCCTTCCAAAGGGACTGTACCATTTTGCATTCCCAGCAGCAATGAAGGAGGGTTCCAATTTCTCTACATTCTCATTGTTCTTGTTAGTGTTCACTTTTTTTGATTATAGGCATCTCATCTGATATGGAGTGGTATGTCATTGTAGTTTTAATTTACATTATCTGAATGACTAACACATTGAACATATTTTCATGTGCTGATAAGTTACTGGTATGTCTTCTTTTGAGAATTCTCCATTTACATCCATTATGCATTTTTAATAGAATTATTTTTCTTTTTGTTGTTGAGTTGTAAGAGTTAAAAATACATATTTTTATATATTCTGCATAATAGTCCTTTAAAAGAGAGATAATTTACAAATATTTTTCCCATTTTGTTGGTTTTATTTTGAGTTTCTTGATTATACACTTTCAGGCATAAAAGCTTTAGAATTTGAAGTTCAATTCATTCATTTCTTTCTTTTGTTGCTTGTGTGTTTGGTGTCTTCCCCTGGGCTTTTCTTTGTGGAAAGTTATTTGATTAAGAATTCAATGTTTTCACATGTGTAGCCCTGTTCAGATTATCTATTTCTTCTTGACTCACTTTAGGTAGTTCATGTCTTTCTGGAAATTCATCCATTTTAATCAAGTAATTTAATTTGTTGTCATAAAATTGTTTATATGATAGTATTGCCTTATAGGCCATTTTATTTCTGTAATTGATAGTAATGTTCCATCTTTTATTCTTGAATTTAGTGTTTTGAGTCTTCTCTTTTTTCTTTGTCAGTGTAGCCAAAAGCTTGTCAATTCTGTTGATCTCAAAGAACTGGTTCTTTGATTTTCTCTATTGTGTTTATATTTTCTATATTGTGTATTTCTACTCTAATCTTCATTAGTTTTTTCCTTGTGCTTGTTTTGGGTTCAGTTTGCTCTTTGTTTTTTCTTTAAGTTTTAAGATGGTTATTGATTTGAGATCTTTTTTTTTAATGTAGTTGTCCTATAAGTTTTGGTGTGTAGTGTTTTCATTTTCACTCATGTTAAAATATTTTTATATTATCTTTGTGATTTCTTATTTGACCTATGATTATTTTAGAGCAGGTTATTTAATTTCAGTGTATTTTGAGTTTTTCAAAATTCTGTTTATTAATGATTTCTAATTTCATTCTAATATAAAGAAAATGCTTTGTAAGATTTCATTCCTTTTGTATTTATTGATTTATATTATGACATAATACATGGTCTATGCTGGTGAATGGTCCATGTGAATTTGAAAATAATGTATATTCTGCTATTGTTGGGTGGAGTGTTCTGTAGATGTCTGTTATGTCTAGTTAATTGTTGGTATTATTCAAAATCATCTATTTTCTTGTTAATCTTCTGCTTAGTTGTCCTATTCATAATTTAAAAAGTGAGGTGGTAAAGTCCCCAATTACTTTTTTTTACATTATTTCTCCTTTCAATTCTTTCAGTTTTTTCTTCACATATTTTAGGATTCTGCTGTTCAGTTGTTTGGTGCATAAATTTTTATAATTTTTATTGATTTTTGATGAAGAAACAAACATTTTGAGGCTTTCATCATAATAAAATGATAACTTTATTTCTGTCTTTGTATTTATTGACAGATTTTGGCTTAAGGTCAATTTTTTCTGATTTTAACATAGCCACGATCTCTTTTAATTATTGTTTTAATGTATGATTTATTTATTTATTTATTTTACTTTTAAGTTTATTTCTGCCTTTGGACCTAAATCGTGTTTCTAAATTGAACCCAGGAGGTGGCTCACTGCAACCTCCATCTCCTGGGTTCAAGTGATTCTTGTGTCTCAGATTCCTGAGTAGCTGGGACTACAGATGTGTGCTACGATGCCAGGCTAATTTTTGTATTTTTAGTAGAGATGGGGTTTCACCATATTGACCAGGCTGGTCTTGAACTCCTGACCTCAAGTGATCTACTCACTTCAGCCACCCAAAGTGCTTGGATTACAGGCATGAGCCATTGTGACCAGCCCAATTTTAAATCCCTGTCTTTTGCTGGAGTATTTGGTCCATTTACATTTAATGTAATTAATGACATAACAACGTTTGTATCTAATTTTTTGCTATTTGTTTATTCTATGACATGTCATTTTTGATCTGCTATTTTTTCATTGTTGCCTTCTTTTAGGCTAAAACTTTTTAATATGCCATTTTAATCTCCTTGTGCTTTCTTTTACTGTATCATTTTTTTGAGTAATTTTCTGTCTTTCTTTCTTTTTTTTTTTTTTTTTGAGATGGAATTTTGCTCTTGTTGCCCAGGCTGGAGTGCAATGGCATGAATGTGTGATCCTGACTCACCGCAACCTCCACTTCCTGGGTTCTAGTGATTCTCCTGCCTCAGCCTTCCGAGTAGCTGGGATTACAGGCATGCACCACCATGCCTGACTAATTTTTTGTATTTTTAGTAGAGACAGGGTTTCTCCATGTTGGTCAGGCTGGTCTCGAACTCCCAACCTCAGGTGATCCGCCCGCCTCAGCCTCCCAAAGTGCTGGGATTACAGGCGTGAGCCACCACGCCTGGCCTTTTTTTGAGTAATTTTCTTAATGATTTTCCTTAGGAATATAATTAGCATTTGTATTTATAACAATCTCTATTGAATTAGGACAAACTTAATATATACAAAAACTTTGCTTTATGTTAGCTCCAGTTTCTTTCTCCCTTGTTTGTGCTATTGTTGTCATACATGTTACATCTTCATACATTTTATGCTGATCTACATAGATGTGCAATTATTACTTTGTGCAGTTGTCTTTTAAGTAAGATAGTAAAGGAAAAGTATTAGAAACAAAAAAACACATTTATCCTGTCTTTTATATCTACCTATGTGCTTACATTTACAGGTGCTTTTTATTTCTTCATGTAAATCCCTTTAGTATTACTATTATGGAAGTTTAGTTAACACATTCTCTCACATTTTGTTTATCTGAAATATCTTCTAGTTTATTTTTAAATATTAATTTTGCTGGATATAGAATTCTTCATTGACAGTCTTTTTCTTTATGCACTTTGAATGATACATCACTGTGTTCTGTAGGGCTTCAAATGAGAAATCAGCTGTTTATCTGTTAAAGGATCTCTGGTATATGAAGTCACTTCCATTGCCCTTTTTGAAATTATCTTTTTGTCTTTGTCTTTCAGCAGCTTAACAATTATGTGCCCAGGTATGTATATCTTCAATTTTCTCTCATTTGGAGTTTGTTATGCTTGTTGGATGTGCAGATTAATATTTTTCATAAAGTTTGGACGTTTTTAGATATTATTTCTTTAATTATTCTTTTTGCTTTTCTTTATTTCTTCTCTCCTTCTGCAAATCCCATTGTGCTTATGCTGATATTCTTGACTGTGTCCCACCGGTATCTAAGATTGTTCATTCTTTTTTTTTTTTTTGGATCATCAGACTGGCTGGTCTCAATTAATCTGTCTTAAGATTAATTTATTATTTTGCCCACTCATCTCTGTTTTTGAGGTTCTCTAGTTAATTTTTCATTCCAGCTATTGTGCTTTTTGACTTCATAATTTGTATTTGGTTCTTTTTATAGTTTGTTTATTGATATTCTTTATTCAGTGACACAGCCTTATAAATAAATTCCTTTACTTCTCTAAACATGATTTATGTAAGTTCTTTGAACACATTTATATTAGTTGATTTTGAATCTTTCTCAGGTAAGTCCACATCTGAACTTCTTCATAGAGAGTTTCTAATCTAGACCTTTTCAGGGATAGTTTCTATTGATTGTCTTTTTTTCTCCTGTATATGTGCAATATTTTCTAGTTTCTTGGTTTGTCTTATTACTTCTTGTGGAAAAAAATGGACATTTAAATAATGTTCCAGCTCTGGAAACCAGATTCTTCCCCATTCCAAGGGTTTGTTGTTATCATTATTTTTTCTGTTTGTTTAGTGACTTAACTAAGCTAATTCTTTCAACTCTGTATCCTTTGTCGTATGTGGCCACTGGTGTCTCCGCACAGTTAGCTGAATGGTTAGCTAGTGTTGGGACAGATATTTCTTAAATGCTGGACTCATGAAGCTTCTCAGTCTTTGCTGAAAGGTTCTGTATATGTATTGGTACATGACATCAAAACTCCCCTAAGCACTTTCCAACTCTGCCTTACCCTTCACTTCCTGTTCGATCAGAGCTTCAAAATCAGTCAGTGGTGAGGACTTAGGGCTTTGCCAGCTCTTTTTTAAGCATTCACATATCCCTGGGCATGTGCAAAGCCCTGTGCATTCACATGGCTTCTTTGATTCCCAGAAATATGTTGAAGCTTTTCAAAACTCCCTATGGACATCTCACTCCCCAACTCTTCTTTTATGTTTATGAGTTAGCTTGTTGTTTGTCCCAACTATTGTTACCACTTTGGGCACCTGAGGTTAAACAATTCCTTTTTTTTTTTTTTTTTTTTTTTTTTTTTTTTTTAACAAACAGCACTGAGGTAAGGGCTGTTTGCATGTGGAGAGCTCTGAGCCATGAAAAATGCTCTGGAAATGAAAATGGAGTTTCCAGGGAACTTCCAGTCATGTCAAACAATGACAAATCTCTGAGAACAGGGATTTGGAAAAAGTCCAACCTTGATCAAACCCCTCCATTGGCTGTGAGGCTGCTGTTTTTCACGTTGATTGTGAGCTGTTTGTTTTCTAGGCTACCATGGAGCTGGAGAGAAGGTAATGGGTTTAGGGTAAATTAAAATGCCACAGAAATTCCTTATGCTTACTGAGATTCAGCTATTTTGGTTGAATAAATGTTCCCTACACTGTTTCAAGCCTTTGGTTAATGCTACGAGTCCAGAAAAAGTTGATTTTGGAAATTTTGCTAGTGTTCTAGTTGCTTTTATGGAAGAGAGGCTTTTTGGAGGTTTTCACTACTTCATTTCTCCTAATGGTGTCTGTTTATTTTATTTATTTATTTTTTACTTATCCCTGTTTCTTCTTCTCTCCCTCTCTAAATTACCTGACACAAGAGAACAGTAACAGTCATTTACTAGACTCTGCTATGTAGCAAGTCACCTGCCATTTGACCTACACATACTAGAAGGGTTAGCATAAACTACAGCTTACTCAGCATCCTCTCTTCTGACCAAAAGTGAATGTAGAGGCCAGGTGTGGTGGCTCACACCTGTAATCCCAGCACGTTGGGAGGCTGAGGCGGGCAGATCACTTGAGGCCAGGAGTTCGAGATCAGCCTGGGCAATCCAGTGAAACCCCATCTCTACTAAAAATACAAAAATTTAGCTGGGCGTGGTGTTGCATGCCTGCAATTCCAGCTAATCGGAAGGCTGAGGCAGGATAATTGCCTGAACCCAAGAGGCAGAAACTTCAGTGAGCTGAGATCACGCCACTGCACTCCAGACTGGGCAACAGACCCAGACTCTGTCACAAAAAGAAAAAAAAGTGAACGTAGAAAATCTTTGAAATCATATTTTCTGCTTTATTTTTCTTCTCAATTTTTAATTAAAAATATTTGGCGATTTCAAATGCCTATCAGTGACAGACTGGATAAAAAATGTGGTACATATGCACTATGGAATAATATGCCGCCATAAAAAGGAATGAGATCAGGTTCTCTGCAGGGACATGGTTGAAGCAGAAAGCCATCATCCTCAGTAAACTAACACGGGAATGGAAAACCAAACACCGCATGTTCTCACTCGTAAGTGGGAGCTGAACAATGGGACCACGTGGACACAGTGAGGGGAACAACACACACTGGGGCCTGTTGGCAGGGCAAAGGGGAGGGAGTGCATCAGGACAAATGGCTGATGCATGTGGGGCTTCATACCTTGGTGACAGGTCGATAGATACGGCAAACCACCATGGTACACATTTACCTATGTAACAAACCAGCACTTTCTGCACATGTATCCAGGAACTTAACACAAAATAAAAAAAAATTTTGAGGACTGTTTACTTCATATATTTATATATGAAAACTACTATATAAATGTAATGTATAAGATATCTTACAAATATATATTCCATAATATATTTCTTATATAGTATATAAACTCATTTTATATAATTGTTTGAATTTAAATCTTTTAAATTTAAGATAGAAATTTATAAATATTTTTTCTTAGTTTATTTTCTTAAGTCATTTTTTGAAAGGAAAAAGGAAGATAATTTGTAAGTGAAAAATGATGTTTTAACTCATATCAGCATTTTTATTTTTAACATCAGCATTTTACTTTTTAAAAGTTACTTCTAATATGGAGAAGGTTTTCTACTTCAAGATATCAACTAGTTATAACATACACATACAAGTATACTTCAGTACTTTTTTATCATGGTAAAATGTACATAACATAAACGTTATCATTTTAACCATTTTTATGTGTACCGTTCAGTGGCATTAAGTACATTCACAGTGTTATGCAGCCATTACCTCCATCCATCGCAAGAACTGTTTTCATTTTCCCAAACTGAAATTCTGTACCTATTAGATAATTTCTTATTATCTCCTTCCCACAGCCATCAGAAAACATCATTCTGTTTTCTGTCTCCATGAATTGGACCGCTCTAGTACCTCCTATAAGGAGAATCATACAGTATTTGTCTTTTTGTGTCCGGCTTATTTCACTTAGCATAATGTCCTCAAGGTTCATCTACGTGGGATTTCTATAAATTTCATTCTACATTGCTTATTTATATATATCACTCCACTACATAATGTGTTCCCTGAGGGCAGGGATTACATTTTTAATTCCTTTGTGTCTTCAGTGCAAATGCAAGTGTGATTAATGAGTAAATTAACACTTATAACTTTATTTTTCAGCAAACATTTTGTCAGCATTCACAATGATTTTTTTTAAACAAATTTTTGTTTCCTGAATTGTAAAAGTTTAAATTGTTCCTTGATTGCCATCTCAAAACTCTTCATTCAGCAAAATTCAGACACCAATTTTTGCTGTTTGTTTTTAACATTTTGGCTAACAGAGCTATTGCCCATTACAGCAGAATGATTTCTCTGTATTGACATGCTGTCAAGCAGGACGGTATCCTTAGGCTCACTTCAATGGCCACAGCTTAATGGATGCCAAAAACTATCCACATTTTTAGATAGATTTTCTTATTATTTTTTCCAGCTATACAATTCAGTTTGAGGAGTAATATTTCAAAGTGAGTATAATTGTGTTACAAATTATTCACTAACTTTTTCTTAAATTTATTGCAGAGGCTTGCCAGCTAAGATGCTGTTTTCTTATTTATAAAGCATGCCTTTTTCTTACAAAGTTACTTTCTGTAAATATTGATTTTATGAATCCCTTCACTTTTGTTCTCTACTAGCATCAACAGACAATTCCACAGGACTGGAAGAGCCTCATGTTCTCTGTGTTTTAGCAAACCCGGTTGTATCACTTGACAGAGTTAAAAGCAGTGGATCATTTCCCAGACAGGGGCTGGGAAAATACAAAGGAGTCCACTTGAAATCCACTCAGTGACTGGGCAATGTTGACAGTATTCTCCGTGGTTTAATTTCATATTTCACTTCTTTTTAGAATGCCTTCTGAATTCTTTTTTTGTACAGTTATAATGGAAACAAACTTGTCCATTTTTTTTACAAATCTTAGCACCTACTTGATTCCAAAAAGTTATTAAGGATTTATGATTCTTTTAAATAAAATTCTTCCTTCTTTTCATTCCTGTTGCACATTCTCTTATGTCTTATCCCTAGCAGATGTAAACGCTTTACACTTTCTTTTCTTTCTATTCTGTCCTGAAAACACTGGGCATCCTCCTGGATGCTCTTCATTTTCATATTTGCAAGATTATTTGTTTACGGTTCATATTCCTAATAGCCGTGTGAGTTTGGTTAACTTCTTTGAGCCTTCTGAATCTCTGAAACCAAGCAATGATATCTGTCATGATATTTTTTCAAAGAAAGAATGAGAAAATAGATTTTTAAAAATATGTGCCTGATAGAAGAAAGTAAACTTTTTTCTCTTTTCAATTCCAATAGAATTTGAAATATTAAAATCACACCTATTATTTTCTATTTTATTTACTTGCATAGCTTTCTATATCTGCCTCTTCAAAAATATAAATTGCTAAGTCTAAACAATTGAGTTTCCCTGTATTTAATCTCCTGCAGTTCTATGCTATATGTTATAGAGAGTAATTTTGATTTATTTAATAACTCAGTAAATCTTAATTATTCAGTAATAACATAAAGTGATTCAGAAACATGCCATCAGCGTTCAAAATTTCTACCATTCAGTCACTTAATGTTAGTTCTCATAACAGATGGGCAAATTATAGTCCTTATAGATTTAAAGACTTATCATGATACTGGCTTTTTAGCTCTCAAAGTCACATTATGAGATATTTTCTATTTTTTAATAAAATATTGCTATTAGTTTTCAAGAGAGCTAAGGCCAAGCATTCAGTATCTCAAAAAATGTGGGTTTTACTGCATCTTGAAAGAACAGTTACCTAGAAAGTGATGGCAAATATTATATCTGCACCGAATAGTGTATTGTTAATAAGCTAATTCTGTACTCTTAATCAGCAAATATGAACTTGCCGTCCACTTGGGTGGATATATCTTTTCACCATAAATTTCATACACATTTAAACTCAACCTTTTCATATTCTGAAATATTATCACTCTGGCAATTTTTTCATAGATGATGAGGATGTAAAATTCTTTATATAAACATCTTACATGGACATGATGCCTATTAGTTTCAAAAATAATTTATATACATTGTAATTGTTTGGGCACTCTATATAACTGTCAATTTGAATTGATAGCAAAGTGATTGAATCCTATTAGTGTGTGCATTATTGTTGGAGAAAACTGATAGGAGCATAATGCATGTGTTCCATAAATTTTAGTTTAATCTGCACATTCTAGGTGTGATGTATTATAATGATCTTTCAAGTGTCAGTTTATTAGACATAAAAAGATGGGCATTTGGGTCAGTCTCTGTGTTAGGCCTTGTCAAATGAATTCTCTCAGCATTCTCTTTATCCTATTTTGCAGATTATTTTTATTGTGGTAAGAACACTTAAGGTGAGATCCACCCTCTTATCACATTTTTAAATATACATGACAGAACTGCTTATTACAGGCACAATGATATGGAGCAGATCTCAAAAACATACTCGTTTTATGAAACTGAAACTTTCTAACTGTTGAAGAGCATCTCTCCTTTTTTCCCTCTCTAAGCCCCTGGCAAATACCATTCTACTCTCTGTTTCTATGAGTTTGACTACTTTATATACCTCATACAAGTGGCATCATGCAGTTTTTGCCCTTTGATGACTGGCTTATGTCACTTAGCATATTGTCCTCGAAGTTCATGTTATATCTAAAAGAACGAAGTCAGGATCTCAATGAGGTGTCTGCACTCCCACGTTCACTGCAACATAATTCACAATAGCCAAGATTTGATAGCAACCTAGATATTCATCAATAGGTGAAAAGGTAAAGAAAATGTGGTATACACATACAGTGGACTATTATTCAGTCATAAAAAGAAGAAAACATTCACGATGTCTTGTGATATTTGTGTATTTTCTTTGCCAGTCTTCTCTGGCATATGTTATACCATATGTATTCTTGTAAACTGTCTCAAAATATTTTTTGGAATGAGGCTGTGTATATATAACTATAATAAATCCATGAATGTTAGAAGATATCATGAATGTTTCCTCCTTTTTTATGGCTGAATAATATTTTATTGTATATTTGTACCACATTTTCTTTATCCATTTGATGTGGTTTGGCTGTGTCCTCACCCAAATCTCATCTTAAATTGTAGCTCCCATAATTCCCATGTGTTGTGGGAGGGACCCCGTGGGAGATAACTGAATTATGGGAGCGGTTTTCCCCTTACTGTTCTCATGGTAGTGAATAAGTTGCATGAGATCTGATGATTTTATAAGAGGTTTTCTCTTTAATTTGGCTCTCATTCTCTCTTGCCTGTCACCATGTAAGATGTGCCTTTTGCCTTCTGCCATGATTGTGAGGCTTCCCCAGTCATGTGGAACTGTGAGTCCATTAAACCTTTTTCTTTATAAATTACCTAGTCTTGGGTGTGCCTTTATCAGCAGCCTGAGAACGAACATTTATCTAATACACCATTTATCTATCTGTGAATATTTAGGAGACAGTTTACCAAAATATAAATCGTGCAACCTGTGTATGAACTTGATTGATCAAGTTGATTTTAGTTAACAAGGAAAAACTTTTAAAAGGAAAAACATTTCCAGTAGGAACTGGCATAACAAAACAAAACAAAAAAGGTAAGCCCTCAAAATAAGATAAAAGTATTTATGTCTATATACCATTGACAAATAATTTCTCAATGGTGCCACTTCCTAATGATACAATATAATCACAACATCAAAAGCATAAAAAAGTACACCACAACAATATCAAGATTTTCTTCTTAATTATCACAGATTGGGCTTAACTTCTTTTTTATGTAACCCTTGTAAATTTTTATTTTTTATTTTGATTCAATGAATATGTATACAAGGTAAAAAATTGGAAAAGTCATAAAAATGTCACAAAATGAATGCAAAGCAGTTTTCCATTTACTTCTCTTTCCCATCCAATTGGTAACCAAATTTGTATATTTCCTGTTATCTTGTTATCTACTTCTGGAGATATTCTTTGCAAATGAAAACACCTATGGATTTTTTTTCTCCTTTTTCATTTATCAATATAACTTTAAGATCATTTGAGAATTGCTTTTAGAGGATATACAATATTCCATTGTGTGGAAGTTCCTTGACATTTCTAGTAATTCTCTTATTTTAAAAAAATTCAGAAACCTTGAGTTCATACTTTTCTCCGACACTATTTATATGACCTTGGGGAAATTATTTTAACCTTTTTGGGTTTAAGTTTCTCGACTTGCAAAACAAATATTGATCTGGAACATTAGGACTGGGACTATTTATGTTGTAAGAGATTTTCAGGATGTCACAGAGTCCATTTTCTTGACACTATCTAGGGACCACACTTACCTCAACAACAGTGTCTCTGTTCTTAGCATAGAATAGAAACAAACATCTGAGTGCTGGCATAGTTACAGGCTTAGTTATGAGTCTAGAAAGCAGGATATTAGAGCTGACCCTGTTGCTAAATTACTCGAAGTCTTGATCCTTTACGGTGTCCCTGAGCCCTATTGGGCACCTAGGGTGAGTCAGGCATCATGCTGGAAGTTGTGGTTAAGTGTTAACAGTTGTTACACACAATTTATGGAAATTACACATAAAGTGTTGACAGTCCAAAAATGTACACATATGTGAGACATAATGTAAAACTCATACCTGAGTGTAGATAGCCGAGAGAAAACTCCCCACAAACCCAAAGGAGATACAAGATCATTATGGTTGTGATAGGTGAAGCTAGAGAGAGTAATAAAGTGATAATAGACTGCAGTCCTCAGACTTTGCACTGTGTTACCCTGGGCGCAGAACCACAGGTCTGCCTGTGGCATTTTAATTTTTTGAGGGAAACAGGGCAAGAGCCAACAACTGTCAGATGCCACACAAGCTACTTACTTGAGAGAGCTCACTGTTTCAACCTCAGACAGTGCTGCATCTCTTCTGATGACATATCTCTACAAAATTGCTTTTTTATTCTTTCTGTGACAAAAGGTGAGACCCTTGTGAAAATGAATGAATGTGGAAGGGAAATGAGCATGGAGGTTCCTGGGAGTGAGGAGTTACGAAGCCTGAATAGAGGTGCATTTCCTATTAGTCAGTTATTGCTATGAGTGGTTGTTGAAGGATGGAATAAAAATATCATCTTTCTCTTTCAATTTATATCTATTGCCTTTTCAAATGGTGACTATGTTGTTCATCTATAAATAGGCTGAGTCTCACTGCTTAATAAATGAACCTGCAAGGTCTTTCTCTTGACCTAGAGGTGCTCTTGCCGGGAAAGTCGCAGGAGCTCTGTGGCAGGGAGACACTTTAAATAGGGTGCTAGATGAGGGTTCTCTGAAGAGAGGGCACGTGAGTGGAGTCCTGCAGAAAGAGAAGGAGGCCTTTGAATGGAGAGCGAGTGCAGGGGTCCTGAAGACACACTGACCTTGGTGTTTTAGGGGAAAAGAGGAGGTAGGTGCGTCCAGACCACAGTGGGTGAGAGGCGAGGGACATGGGATAACAATGAAGCCGGAGGCAGGCGCCTGGTGTGCAGGGCTTTGAGGCTCACCATTAGGAGTGTGGATTTCATTCTAAAGGTAACGGGAAGCAGCTGAGAAGTTTTAAGATGGGGAAATGACTCACATGTGAGTTGTGCGTGGCAGGTGGATGGATGGTGAGGAGATGGCGGCACGAGGGTGGCGGACGAGTGAGTGGTACCCAATGGCTAGAGATGGAGATTTGTGATGGTCCAGGGTGGAAATGGTGACAGCCTGAGCTAAACTCATAGAAATAAATGGAATTAGGCAATTAAAAATATGGGTTGGGCATGGTGGCTCACACCTATAGTCTAGTACTTTGGGAGGCCAAGGCCGGGGGGTCACTTGGGGTCAGGAGTTTGAGACCAACCTGGACAATGGTGAAACCCTATCTTTACTAAAAATACAAAAAATTAGCTAGGCGTGGTGGTGCATGCCTGTAGCTACTTAGGAGGCTGAGGCAGGAGAATCGCTGGAACCCTGGAGGTGGCGGTTGCAGTAAGCTGAGATTGCACCATTGCACTCCAGCTTGGGTGACAGAGCAAGACTCCGTCTCAAAAAATAAAAAAAATTTGGGGTAATAAAATTATCAGGGCTATTGTAGGAATTTTTATAAAGGAAGAATTGAGGGAAATATCTAGGTTTGCATCCTCAGCAATGTGGTAGATACTGCTGCCATTTACTGAGATGGACAAAAGCAGGAGGACAGCAGTTTGTGAGGACTACCAAAAATTCCGTGTAGAAATGAGGGCTTGAATGGAAATGTAAACGCTTTTTGGTTCTAACATACAATAGGGCATTGGTCTGAAGTGATGTCACCCAGCTCGCAGAAGGGAAAGAACCTGAGGACATTGGGTCTATATTGGCCAAGGGCCGGGAAACAGAGCGGTCATAGATGGAGTGTATTCAGCCTCAAAACAAGTTCCTAGGGGCGCTCACAGAGGCAATTGGGTGAGCCAGTCTCGAGGTGTTTTTGTAAAATATAACACAGGTCGGGGAGAATGAAGCCAAAGAAGTCCACGTTCAGGGACGCCTTCAAATCTGAAAAGGAGTTTCAGTAACTACAAGTTTAGCAAGCGCCCAGGAGCCATGTGTGAGGAATTCTATAATCTCAGTCAGCAGATAGACATAAAGTACTGCCAATCTGCAGAATGGAAGATTAAGACTAGAAAACAGGTGGTAAGGTTGTTTTAAGAGATTTTGAAGTTATTTCTTTTGTTTTCTTTCTTGCTTTCTTGTTTGTTTTTTGAGATGGAGTCTCACTCCATGTCGCCCAGGTTGGAGTGCAGTGGCACAATCTTGGCTCACTGCAACCTCCACCTCATGGATTCAAGCAATTCTCCTGCCTCAGCCTCCCAAGTAGCCAGGATTACAGGACCTGCCACCATGTCTGGATACTTTTTTTTTTTTTGTATTTTTAGTAGAGATGGGGTGTTACCATGTTGGCCAGGCTGGTCTTGAACCCCTGACCTCAAGTGATCCGCCCAGCTTGATCTCCCAAAGCATAGGGATTCCAGGCGTGAGCCACTGCACCTGGCCTGAAGTTATTTCTAATAGAAGAAAACCTAAGCAAAATTCAGCAACAGCAACAACAAACTGATACTTTCAACTAGGTAAGAATCTGTGGCTTTGTTTTCTTAATTTTACTCCTGTGACATGGTTAAACTTTGTGTCCCCACCTAAATCTCATCTCGAATCACAATCCTCAGATGTTGAGGGAGAGGCCTGGTGGGAGGTGATTGGATCATGCGGGCGGGTTCTCCCATGCTGTTCTCCTGGTAGCGAGGGAGTTCTCACGAGATGTGATGGTTTTATAAGGGTCTTTTCCCCCGTTCGCCTTTCTCACTCTCTCCTCCTACCTTGTGAAGAAGTTGCCGGCCTCCCCTCTCTCCCTCTGCGGTGATGATAAGTTTCCTGAGGCCTCCTAGCGGTGCTTCCTGTTAAGCCTGCGGAACTGTGAGTCAATGAAGCCTTTTTCCTTTATAATTACCCAGTCTTGGGTAGTATTTATTATAGCAGTCTGGGAACAGAGTCATACACCCTGAACTCAAAGGAAATACGCCTTTTGCATCGTTAATTTTTCCCTCCAAATCAGAAACAAATAAAAGTATTAGAGAAATATTGGAAAGCTATAAAATGTACTTTGTGGTTGTTTTTAGACACAGGGCAATGGAACTGAAAACTCTTTCCTAATGACTTGCTTTTAAGAAATATCATTTTGATATTAGATGTGTTATTTTGATAAACCAATGTCATAAAAGAATAAAATGAAATAGGGCCTTATGCTCATACTCATGTGCTCCCTGCCAAGGTAACGCAGATCCCTAGAAATCCACGTGGCCTTGCTTTTTATCCACAATCATGCAGAAAGTGAAATATTGATGCTGGTTTTCTTCAGCGTGAGGTGCGGGGGGATTCATTTATTCCATTCACTGAAATACTTCCCATATTCACTCACTGCCAAGACAGTTCCATGGATGTGATGTTTCCTGCCTTTTTCTCCCCTTTTGAAAGCTAATTTCTCTTCTGAGCACTATTTTGGGAAAGCTCCCTGACCTCACTGGAGAAGACCAGAGGAAGCAGCAGCGAAACCCAAAACCACTTTGGACCCCTGAGCCGCATGTTGGAGTGTGTGTTGGTGGGGCTGGGGGTGGGAATTCAGTTAGGAGGAGCAAGGGAGACACTTACTAGGGCTGCCAGCTGTCCAGCCGGCTCTCAATCTTTATCACCAAACCTGGGAGTAAAAGGCAAATCTGTTTTCCTAAAAATCCACAGCACAGAGTTATGATTGCTCCAGATTGTATCTTTGTCTCTCTGCAGCTGGAATCTTAATTGGCTGTGCTATTTCTGTACCAGCTGCTGGAAATTCTGCCCTTTCTCAAGCTGCTCTGCCTCTTCATGTCCACAGCACTTCAGATGCGTTGAGGTTTTGTCATTGGAACAAAATTGTTGATTGGTGCACTTCTCATTGATGATGAAGCCTGCCTGCAGGGGCCACTCAGGAGACCAGGGAAAAATGAGCTGCCGGAGGAAGAAGACTTAAAATAAAAGTTGAGCAAAACTGCACTGGAAGCCAGGGAGAGCCTTCTAAAGAGGTGGCTTAAGGCAGGGGTTTGTCTAATAGGATGCAGGTCTCACAGGAGCTAATTATTAGGAGACAGTGTTGAGGCTCAGTGGCAGGTGAGCTGGGGCTTCTCTGATATCAGGTGAGGCACTTCTGCAGGTGCCTGGCCATGGAAGGCAGATGCAAAGCCCAAGTGATTTCAATTGCCTCCTTGATGACTTCTGAATCTGTGTGTGGGGCTCATTTCCTGATACCAAATGGACTCAATGTCTTAGCTCACCAGCAAGGACGGAGAGGTCAGGTGGACAAGGTTCAGTTCTGGGTGCTTTCTAAACTGTAAGATCTGCGTCCTGCTTTTGTGGAGTGGTTGGCAATTCCCTGGGTGAATGCCAAGTTAGAAGGTCAGTGTTCCCTTGGGTTGTCATATGGGCTTCAGTAGCTCATTTCCCCACCGGGTTCCAGTCTCTCAAATTGGATGGATTTAGATGAGATTTTCATTAAAATCTTCTCCATTTCTTACATTCTGAAAGCCTTACCTCCTTGGAGTTTTTTTCCCTATCCATATCGAGATTTGGTATATTGTAAAAGTTGATTTGGAGGGGGGATCTTAGTGCAGAGTGGGCCAACCATCTGTCGCCAGCATTGAAGGTAATAATTGTGTGTCGACTTAGAGTGTATGGCGGGTGCAGAACAAACCCATTCAGAAGATGATTTCGGAGACCCACCAGGTCGTAGGGTGCTAGATAAGAACCATAGTCCATCTAGAAGAAGCCAGCATTTTCACCATTCCTTAATCATTTGATTAGCAATCAAGAACTTTATTTTTCAGATTTGGCTCTTTTGCTCAAATCTCCCTTACAAGTCCATCAGATGCCTACTAAAACCTTAACACATCTTAGACATTTTAAACATTTTCATGTTTTTACTAGTTGTTTACTTTTGTTAGAATGTGCTTTTTTTCTTTGTGAAGTGGGTTTTTCCTACTATATTTTAAGATAGATTTTTCTCCATTTTGAAAAGATATCTATAATTGATCTATAATTGAATAAAAAAAATCTAGGGCTTATTATTAAAACAAATTATGCAAGCTAACTTTAATATTTTTAGGGAACATTTTATCATTTGCAAAGAGGAATCCAGTCAGTTTATATCATAGTATATGTAACAGAGAATAGGATTTAAGACATTTGAGATACATGGAAAAGGAGAGGACTAAACATTACTTTGCTGTGAGAATGAGATGAGACAATTCTGTTAAATTGCTTAGGATATTGTCTGAAATATGATAAACGGCCAGCAGGTGTTAGTACATAAATGGGCTTTAAAAACATTAATTATTCTATTTTATTTGGAAGGTAAATTCAAAACTGCTTGATGGTTTTCAGGCACATGAAAAGGAAGTTGGGTGAAATATTAGATAGTAATATAAAAGTGTCAACTACTAAACTGAACAGAGAGGGTGGCGAGGCAGTGGAGTATCTTCTGGGCTGGAGCCTGACCCCCTGAATATGAGCTTGCCTCTCTAGTTGCTGTGCCATTGTGGAGGATTTATTTGCCCTCTCTGTGCCTAGGGGTTCCCATTTGTAAATGGAGGTGATAATTACATTACCTTTCTCATGGGGTTGTTGTGACAATTAAATAAGTTATTAGAAAACAGTACTTAAAACAGTACCTGGCATATATGAAACATGCAAATGTTTCATATATGCCATTTGAAAAATGCCAAAATGATAGGAATAGATTGGGCAGGAATAAATATTGAACATTTTCTAAATTAACAAAACTCTAGATTCTAAGATGGAATTGTAAGCCAGTGAGTTCATTCCCTACTTTATTGGGAACAAGCCTTAAGAATCCCTGGTAGACCTAAGACAGTGTTTCCATTACTCCGAAGTCAAATTTCCGTCTTCTGCATTTGTAGAATGTAATGATCTACCTGGATGCACATGAACTCTCTGAGATCATGGGAAGTGGCAGCTCCACAGTCCGCATGCTTTTTTCACAGGGAGTTGAGGAACCTGCAGTCACTCTCGTCCCAGGTGTCTGCGACACAACCCTCTCGGCTGAGCATCTGTTCCGAGGGGCACCTGCACGGCACTAGGGACTGTTAGGGGAAGACTCTGTCTCTATGGTTATGGAGCTTGCACTTGAAGGAGAAAGAGGAGGGGGCACAGGGGGAAACAATCAAATAGGACAGGATTTCACAGAATGTCAGCCCGAGAGAATGCACCAGGGGGACACCTGACCAGGCTGGAGGGTGGCAAGGATAGATCTTCCACCTAGGATGGGACACACAAGCCAGGAGGGGCAAAGAAGGAGTTCAACGAAGCCTGGCTAGACCAGGTCCCTGGATGGTGGCTCACATTCCATGGCGCTGGGCCTGGGCTGTGGGTAGGGAAGAGCTTAGGGGTGAAGGGGTAAAGAGGTACCTGGTGTGATGTCCTCGTGAATCATTTTAGGGGAGCTTGATTTCAGCACTGGTGGAAAAGAGGACTCATGGGCAGATTTTAAGCTGAAACATGCATGGTGACCCATGTTTGGAAAGATACTTCTGGCGGTCAGGTGGAGATGGATGTCAAGGGAATTTGACCTGGGGCAGAGGATCCATCATGAGACTCCTGGTGAGATTAATCTAGGGGAGAAATGACGTGGGCTTTGTCTCAGGCGCTGGCAGCGAGGCTGGGAATGGATTCATAAATGCTCTTGTGGTGTCGTGGACAGGGCTGTGTGACAGATTTGATGGGAAACCCTTAAGGGGTTTGGCAGTGTTATAGGAAACTGGTTTCCAGTGTGAGTAGGAAAAGTAAGTTTTTGTGTAAAAGAAAATCTGCTGAGTCTTAAATATGTTGGGTGTGAGCTGCATCTCCAAATGTAAGCGGAGAAGCCTGTAGGCAGGGCTATAGGAGTGAAGAGTGTGGGGCAGAGACTGGGTGGGGTGGGTGGATCAGCACAGAGATGCTATTTGATGGCCCAGGAGGAATGAGGCATCTCAGGCTACCCACAAGGGAAAGCCTGGCAAGGGCCTGGAGAGCTAATCTGGGCCAACCTTGCCTTTAAGGGATGGGAAGGAAAGGGTCGCACCCAAAGTAAACCCAGGGGCAAAATCCAGAGCCAAACGGCAACACAGAGCCACGTGGGAAAGAAATCATAAGGTCACGGATGGAGGCAATCATGACCCCAGTGCAAGTGTTTGATGCGGTTTAGAAAGATTTACAAGCCCCGCCATATGAGAGCACTTGAAAAGTCTCATGTTAGTGAGGCAAGAAATCCCATTCATGGAAGACCTCGTTTCGATGTCCCTTGGTTAGCTATGGGTTCATTAAGGATTGAGCAAGGAGAATGCTGAAGAGCATATTTATTATTAAGAGATCAAATTAATCACCTACTAACAAGCAGAGTGAATTTATTAAACTTTCTTGCCAGGAAGTTCATGTGATGGTCCCCGTCTACCTTTATGGTATGATTTTCACAAGTTCCCTAAATAAAACATAAGATACAGCCTAACACAACTACTGACCTATTACCTGACATTTCCTGCTACTTTCCAAGGCTGGGCCATAATATCTCCTCTAGGAAGTCTTTTCTAATTCTGTTTAACCGGGAGTAAGGATTTGAGAAAACCAAACGTGTGTGTTTCCTTTACCTGTCCCTCACACGTCCCTCAGTACAACACTTCTGACACCAGATGTGTGGGGGGATTTTCCCACCAACCAAGGGGACATCAGCTGGGTGTCCTCTCATTCAGTTTAATTCTCACATTGACTACCTGGGGATAGCACCCACCTCACAAGTTGAGGGCTCAGCCCCACAAGACTGCCCTCCCTATCAGATGCCAGTTGCAAGGAGGAGATGGTCACCTATACTTCTGATCAATCGGCTATAAATTGGGGATTCTCATGACCCCTTCTTTGGGTTTCATTAACTTGCTAGAGCAGCCCAGAGAACTCTGGGAAACACTTGACTTACTCTTCTCACCCATTCACTATAAATGATATTACAAAGGACACAGATGAATAGCCAGTCGGAAGACATGGACAAGACGAGGTATGTGAGAAGACCTATGGAACTTCCATGCATTCTCTGGGATTCCCCATGTTCAGCTGCTTGGAAGCTCCCCTGCTTTTTGGGGGGGTTTTATGGAAGCTTCATTAAGTTGGCATAACTGATAAAATCAGTGGCCGTTGGTGAGCAACTCAACCATCAGTTTCTATCCCCTTCCCTTAGGCTGGAAGGTAAGGCTGAAAATTCCAACTCTCTACTCATGCCTTGGTCTTTCCAGGGACTACCCTCCATCTTGAGGCTGTCTTGGAAAGCCCAGCCACCAGTTATCTCATTGGCTACAAAAGACAGGCTTATCATTAGGTATTTTCATCCTTATGTGAACATCATAGAGTGCACTTACACACATCTAGATGCTACAGCCTATTGCATGCCTAGGCTCTATGGCATAGCCTATTGCTCCCAGGCTACAAACCCGTATAGCATGTGACTATACTGAAATGCTGTAGGCAGTTGTAACACAATGGTATTTGTGTATCTAAACATAGAAAAGGTAATACATTGCACTATAATATGACGGCTATGAAGTCACTAGATGGTAGGAAGTTCTTGGCTCTATTATGATTTTATGGGACCACCCTTGTAGATGTGGTCCATAGTTGACATAGTTGACAGAAGTCGCTATGCTGTGCATGACTGTGTGTATCTCACAATATCACACTGGGCATTATTTCTTCCTTAAAACCAGCAGAGGATTCACCTGCATAGTTCTTATAATACATTCACATTCTTCTTTGTATTAATGGTCTGTGAAACTGCCATCATGTGTTTTTTAGATGGAAATACCCTAATGGCCTGGGATTTTGTTTTTCCAGGATGTGAATGACACAACGCTTAGTTGTAGAATGTCCCTCTGGTATACAAGAGTCACTCTATAAATATGTCTCATTGTAAGCTAATGTGTATGTTGAGTGTGATGTCAAGGACGAGGTCAAGATTGGAAATAAGGAAGAAAGGAACCGTTGTGATGAATTAAATCCTAGTTGATGCACACATGGAGAGGAAAAAAAAGGTAGAAGAATAAACAATTTCTTCATAATCAGGTAACATTAGGTAGCTGATTATTTGAAAATTTGGCTGTGACCAGTGTGGTTTTTGAAATGCCAGGAGGGGCAACTGTATAGTGGAACAGGGAGATGACATCTTTGAACTCAGTTCCCAGACACAGAGGGCCCCTCAGTATTGGGCAATGGAAGGACCTCAGCAAAAGGCAAAAAGTGGCTCAAGTACTGAAACCTAAAGGTCTTACTCCACCAGGATTGGTGTGTGACAACACACGTCGATATCAAAAGAAGGAAAAAGAAGAGGAAAAAATAGCTTGATTTAGCGGAAGTGTTAGTTGTAAGCAAGTTGAAAAGCCGGTGTGTGTGTAGAGGATGAAGAGAAGTTGGTTAATGGGTACAAACATACAGTTAGAAGGAATAGGTTCCCAGGTTTGAGAGCAGAGTAGGCTAACTAGTTAGCAACAATATATATTTCAAAATAGCTGGAAGAGAGGACTTGAAATGTTCCCAATACATAGAAATGATAAACCATCGATGTGATGGACACTCCAAATACCCTGACTTGATCATTTCACATTCTATGCATGTAACAGAATATCACATATACCCATACAGTGCACAAATATTAGGCATTAATAAACATTAAAAATTAACACTGTAGGCAAGTAAATTTTGGGCCAACATTTTGATGGAGAATGGTGAGCGTGGCTGAAGACCATAGTTATTTCAAACCAGAGAGAGTTAATTATTCTAAAATATATAATGAATTTAATCAAGTTTGAACATGCAGAAGTGGGTGTTAGACTTGTTCTGCTTTTCCAAAGGTTTGAATTCCAATTCTTCACTTCTTTGTTTTCCTCTTTGGCTTTGAATCATGGGTCGTTCTGAGAATCTGATAAAAGAGATGAAATCCTTTCTCAGAAAATGCACATAGACGCAAGCTTCTGACTACAATTCCATGGGCCTTTGAGGTTTCCCAAAATGATGGCTCCTGGCCCTTCTGCAGGCTGCTAAGCTAGTCCTTTGCGCAGGGGCACCCCTTCGGATTCAGTTTCTGGGCTCCATTTCAAGTTTCTCTGACGTTCCCTGGCCTCTGGCCAACAGCATTCACATGGCTCTGCCCATTTCCTTATCTAAAAAAGCAGCACACAAAGGCTGAAATGCTCAGGCAGAGCTAAGTTCCTATTTTCTTTTCACATGATTTTTCAGTGTCATCAGCAAGCAAAACTCCATCTCTAGAATCGTGTAGAAGCTTCAGGTAGGATTATTTGGGAACCAACCGGCACTTAGCATGTTCCACCTCAGGCTTGCAGTTTTGAGTCTGTCTGGATGGAGGGAGCAGAGTCCTGTTGCTCGCTAAGCTTCAGATGAGTTTACTCGCTAATGAGATGGGGCTCTCAATTCCAAGAGCCAGTGTGCTGGGCAAAGCCATTTAACTGTAAGATGCTCTATAAAATTCTGAGAATAGAGGACAACATCAGAGCACCTCAACTTCAATGAGAGGGAGCACTGGAAAACCAGGAATTGGTGAAGTGTGGGAATGAATATTTATTGGATAGCAACTGCATATCGTCAGACTCTATACCCAGCAACTACAAGCCTTTCAGCAGCTCTCTGAAGCGGATAAAATTATTTCCATTTTGCAGTTGAGGATCTAGTTTAACAAAAGTTAAATCCTATTCAGAAGGCATGTAAGGTGTTTTTATTTTGTTTTGTTTTTTGTTTGTTTTTTTTTTTTTCTTTTTTTTGAGATGAAATCTTGCTCTGCTGCCCAGGCTGGAGTGCAGTGGCATGATCTTGGCTTACTGCAACCTCCACCTCCCAGGTTCAAGCGACTCTCCTACCTCAGCCTCCCTAGTAGCTAGGATTACAGGCACGTGCCACCACGCCCGGCTAATTTTTGTATTTTTAGTAGAGATGGGGTTTCACCATGCTGGTCAAGCTGGACTCGAACTCCTGACCTCAGGTGATCCACCTGCCTCGGCCTCCCAAAGTGCTGGGATTACACGTGTCATGTAAGGTGTTTGGTAGGGTTGAAACTATATCTGTTGTGTGACTTGGGAGCAGCAGCCTTGGGAAGGTGCACAAGAGGCTGTGACCGGAAGCAGTCTGCCTGTCTGCAGGTAGCTCAGTCAGGCAGCTGATGCTGCAGTTCAGGAGGCCTGAAGGGTGTGCCCTGTAGGAGTGAGTGGGGTGGTGGAGAATCCCACTCTACTCAAAGTGACAGCCAGAAACAACTTTATATGGTCGATTTTGTGAGCTGTACTGCAGCCCTGTGAGAGAGAACTCATTTTATTTTTAGTCACCCAGGAAAGGTTTGGGTGTGGTTATTCCTCCCTGTCTCTCTGCACCAGTAAGTCACACCCTCATGTAAATGTTCTGTAGTAGCCTTTTGGCATCACAGCTGTAATTGCAGGCCCTATTTTTTTTTTTTTTTTTTTTTTGAGACTGAGTGTTGCTCTGTCCCCCAGGCTGGAGTGCAGTGGTGTGATCTCAGCTCACCACAACCTCTGTCTCCTAGGTTCAAGTGATTCTCCTGCCTCATCCTCCTGAGCAGCTGGGATTACAGGCATGTGCCACCACACCTGGCTAATTTTTGTATTTTTAGTAGAGACGGGGTTTCACCACGTTGGTCAGGCTAGTCGAACTCCTGACCTCGTGATCCGCCCGCCTCGGCCTCCCAAAGGGCTGGGATTACAGGCTTAAGCCACCGTGCCCGGCCACTGCAGGCCCTATTTTAAGGCATTCTGACCCCCCTAGTGTTTATGAGGACCTGTCATAGAGCTACTACTATATAAGCATTTCATCTAGTAACTGTAAGAACTGGCCTGTTAGAGCAAATGGAGTCATACAGCCATTATGACCCACATCTCACTCCTCCTGGCCCCACGTGTTCCTCTGGGCCATCTGCCCCTGTGTGTATGGTAGACTCCAATTTTCCAGGAGGCTCCATGGGCTGCACACGCGGTTTGAGCTTCTTCACGCTATTGTTTCTCTCAGGCATTTTAACAGGAAACATTCTAGATCAGGAGTCCCCAGTGGGCCACAGACCATTACCAGTTTGTAGCCTGTTAGGAACCAGGCCACACAACAGGAGGTGAGTGGAGGACAAGGAAGTGAAGCTTCACCTGTATTTATAGCTGCTGCTCCCCATCACTCGCGTTACTGCCTGATCTCCACCTTTTGTGGGATCAGCAGTGGCATTAGATTTTAACAGGATTGGGAACCCTATTGTGAACTGTGCGTGTGAGGGATCTGGGTTGCACGTTCCTTATGAGAATTGAATGCCTGATGATCTGTCACTGTCTCCCATCACCCCCAGATGGGATTGTCTAGTTGCAGGAAAACAAGCTCAGGGCTCCCACTGATTCTACATTATGGTGAGTTGTGTAATTATTTCATTATATATTACAACGTAATAACAATAGAAATAAAGTCCACAATCAATGTAATGCGCTTGAATTATCTGAATATCATCTCCTTCGCTGGTCTGTGTAAAAATTGTCTTCCACAAAACAGGTCCCTGGTGCCAAAATGGTTGGGGACTGCTGTTCTAGATTATTATAATGGTCTCTCTGTTGGCCTGGCTTCTATCTTGAGGGAGAATTGGGATGGGGCCTCCAGCCAACCCAAGAAAAGCATGTAATCTGACTGAGAAACTTGAAGCCACTGAGATTTGAAGGTGTTTGTCACTGTATCATGAACAAGCTGATAATGATACTTCCTCTGATGCTGTTCTTAAAAGACTACTCAACTTTCCAGCTTGCATTTAGTTTACACTGATACTACTTTTTTCCTAACAAACACCGCATTTGAGTAATAAATGCATGGCTTCTGCCTTTAAGCTCTGCCATTTGAATCCATGCTCTACTCCAGAGTAAATGGTTAGCTGCTTTGAAGCACATAAGCTTGTCTCTCCTGGCTCTTAATTTCTAGAGGCTTGCATATGAAGCCTGCTGGTGTATGAGGTAAAATGGGGTATCTTTTACACGGCCCCTCCCCACTCAAGGCATAAGCACTGCACTGGGGTGCTCTGGATGGGATGAGTAAGAGTGGCCATGCCACCCCACGGTCTGCTCTTTCTCTCCTGGCCATTGCCAAGTCCACTTTCTTCTGCCTTCTTCACTTGGGAGGAATTTGCTTTCAGAAGCCCAGCGGTCACTCCTCGACATTTTCCCTCTGTTGCCTCTCATGGCTATTGTAGGAGTTAGCTTCGTAGACACATGGAGACTTTGAAGCATTTTCCCAGGAGACCCTTCTGCTCCTGTATAAATCAGAAGCTGCAAACGGAGGCGAGAGTGCAGAGGTATCCCCTACTACCATGGCCTAGATGATTCCTGACTGCTTTAAAAATGTCACTTGGCTATTTGAAAATTCATAAGTGTTAGCAGGAAGCAGTTGGCTCCAAACAACGGGTTAATTTGTGTAGGCCTCAAAGGTTAATGGCATTGATAATTCGGAAATGAATAGATGGTACCCTCTCTAGGGAAAGGCATACTTCACATGTGTGAACGGTGTGTCTCCGAGAGCACGGGGGACTGAAAGCAGGTGTTGTGATATCCAGGGAACACTGAATTCCAGACTGACTTTGACATTTTATTTAGAGTAGGGTAGATGTTGCAAGAACAGCCAATTGGGAATCAAAGATTGGAAAGGCCAAAAGTGGGCTCTGTGGACCTGGCCATTGACAGGGGCTCATTGAAGCTGGTCAGTGGTTTCTCTCTTTTCCTGTCTCCTCACCCTCTGGCATGTCTGTCCTTTTAACCAAAGGCATTATCTTAAACGAGAGTGTTGGCGAGGTGAGGAGTGAAATGTGGCCACAAATTGCTATTAATAATAAACTAATAAAAGTAATAATGAAAATTGTAAAAATAATGCAATGACTATTCCTCAGTGAGTATCTAAATTACACCAGACACAGTCTATTTTTTTTTATAGGATCTGTAATCGTTACAAGAAACCTGAAAATAAGTTATAACTCTCATTTTACAAATAAGGTAGTGAAAAGTCAAAAACTTTAAAACTTGCTATAGGTCACAAGTTAGGGTCTGAATTTACAAATCTAGATATATTGTCTCCTGTTTGATAGTCAAAAAAATATTGATTATATTCTTATTAAAATAATTGCATTCTTATTTATGGTTTCATAAGTCACAATATTCTTTTGGTTTACTGCAGTTATATCTGTTACCGTTATTGCTATTGGGTTATCTTAATCTTCTTGGACCATATGACTTCACCTTTACTACTCAAAATAATTTTATTGTATTAAGTTTTCCGACAAACATGGGCTTAATTGACCTGTGTTCCTCTCACTCAGGAATCAGAACCAGAAACCTGGGCCTCATCCCATCTCCCTTTCTTCTCTACCACCACCTGCAGAAACTTCCTTCCTTTTCCCCATCCAACGTTTCCATCCAGATCACTGTATTTGGGATATAACCACATTCCCTTAACTCAATTTTACTCCTTTTATCCTTCTGTAAAGAGGCAGAGAACGGATTCATTTGAATATCCAAGGATTCTAATGTACCAAAGGAATTTAAGCGTGGGGCTGAATTAAGCCACTACAATTGCACAGTCTCATTTTTCCCTTTTGCTTCTGGGCTCCCTGCATGTCCTGACCCTCTATCCTTGCATTCATTCTGACTCCCATCCACCCGCTCTATGGATATTGCGCTCTCAGTGACCTAGGTCTTCCAACTTGTTAGACCCAATGTGCTTTGGAAAATCCACAGCTTCACCCTCTCTACATTGCAGTGGTTCTTGTCCTTGAACCAGCAGCGTCAGCAACACCTGGCTCTTATGAATCTGTAATTTAACAAGCCTCCCCAATTACTTGGCATGTGAAGGTTTGAGAACCACAGCTCTAAGGCATTTACAATCATTGAACAGGAATTCCCCCTAAAAATGTCTCCTGCCTTGTTTATATTCTAAAGCTTACATTTCTTTATTGCTATAAATTAATACATTAATATTCTTTTTTTTAATGTTGTTCTGTTTTGGCTTTCTTCCTGCCTGGGTCATTTTTTCCCATCTCTTTTATAAGTACCCCTTTCCTCTCTGTTTTTGGACTTTTCCAGGCCTCTATCCTTGTTCCTATTTTTATCTTTTTCTACTCTCACTCTCAACTATTCTCATTACTTTGTCTCTGCTGTTATTCATGCTTCAGCATCTCTGATCTGAGCCTCATGTAACTTGATATTACCAAATGCCCAAAGGTTATTTCTGCTTGTATTTTCTTAATATTTTAAAGAATTTGACTCTTTACAAGAAGGTCTACCACTGTGGAACAAAATAAAGAGAATTTTTTGGAACATAAACAAACCAAGTGGAATAGAAGCAGTGATACATTGGTTCATAACACAAGCTGAAAAACTGCTGTAACCTAGGAGCAAATTCAGAGAAATACCATGATCGGACAGAAAAACAAAAAGAGCAGGAAGTTACCCCCAAGGTGATCTGTGGAATAACTGATTAAGTAACTGAATTTGCAGGAGTTGGACCAGAAGTCAGTCTTTTATCTCTCCCTGGTAACATGCATGTATGTCACATAAGCCCACAAAAGAAAAACTGCAGAGAAAAAGTGAACCATCTGCTTGATTTTGAGTATATGAGCTTGAGGGAATTCAGGCCAGAAATTGGGATAATTCAAGACCTTCATAATAAATATGGAAAAGAAGAAATGAAAGGAGGCCCTGACTGTCAAGTCTACCAAGGAATGAAATTCACTCTAATCCTTGAAGTCTAGGATAAATATTTCATCCTTTGGGCCATCTGGAATTAGAACCTAGGTGCTGACTTCCCTCCCACGTGCACTAAGAGGAAGCAGTCCAACTCCAGAAAGACATCAGTTGAGAAAACCAACTCACATAACCTCAGAGGCAGCTTATTCATCTTCTTAGATAAGGAAGGTTAGGCCTATTAAAGTGGGAAAAAAGGAGGATGATCAAGTTGTTGAAGAGAACCAAGTTCATTAAATGTAAGTCAAAAATGAAAAAAATAGGCTGATTCCAGATAGAAAAGAGAGAATTCAGGGATCAGCAGAGAAGTTAATACTTTTGAAGACATTTGACAGGATTGTACTTCCATACAATGAAAAGGATGCCATTAAAAAGGAATAATTCAGATAACAAGAAGAGTTAGCCTTCGAAATTAAGCATGTTATTTCTGTAAAAAATCAATACGTGGGATACAAAATGGATATACTGGACAAAAAGTACTCTAGAAGATACCGAGGAATTGCCTCAGACTGTAGAGCAAAAAGAAAATATAAGTTATAAATGTAAGATTAAAGGTATAAAGATGAATCTTGAAGTCATATTATATGTTATCTACTAGGGGTGTCATATGGGGGAAAATGGAAGTTAAGGAAAGAAACAAGTTTATATTTGTAACCAAAATAATATACGTGAATTAAATTCCACAGTAAAACAAAAGGATCAGTAAAAAAATTTCAGTGACAGTGTGTAAGAAATATACTTAAAATAAATTATGTTAGAGAACTTTTGGAAATAAATGAAAAAATTTTTTTTTCCTTAAGACAAATACAAACAAATGGGAAAACAATAGTGATAATACAGGAATGAAAAGCAAAACCCAAAGCCCTTAACGTGGTTAAAGATATTTCATGATGAAAATCTTAAATGTACTTCAAAACTAAGAGTCATCAATTTTAATTAAACTATGTAGATAGCAAATCTATGTAGGCATATATCCGATATTGCAGGTTCGGTTCCAGATGACTTTAATAGAGCAACTACTGCGATTGAGTCATTCAAATGTTCAGGTTCCCAATGCACGTGAAAGTTATGTTTATAGTGCATTGTAGTCTGTTAAGTATAGAATAGTATTATGTCTAAAAAACACTGCACACCTTTATTAAAAATACTTCATTGCTAAAAAATGCTAATGAACATTGGAGCCTTCAGCGAGTCATAATCTTTTTGCTGATGGAGGGCCTCCTCTTGATGTTGATGGCTACTGATTGATTAGGGTTGAGGTAAGCTGAAGGTGGTGGCTGTGGCAGTTTAAGACAACAATGAAGTTTGCCACATTGATTCTTCCTTTGATGAAAGATTTATTTGTAGCATGCAGTGCTGTTTTGATAGCATTTTACCTACAGTAGAACTTCTTTCAAGATTGGAGTCAACCCTCTCAAACCCTGTTACTGTTTTATCAACTAAGTTTATATTCCAGTCTAAATCTCTTTTCATTCAACAATGTTCACATCATCTTCACTAGGAGTAGATTCTATTACAGAAACCACCCTTTTTGCTTATCCATAACAAGCAACTCCTCATTCACTCAAGTATAATATTGAAATTGCAGCAATTCAGCCACATCTTCAGACTTCGCTTCTAGTTCTAGTTTCCTTGCTGTTTCTACCATATCGGTAATTTTTTTCACTGAGGTCTGAAACCCCTCAAAGACATCAAACAGGGTTGGAATAAACTTCTTTTGAACTTCTGTTCATGTTGATATTTTGACCTCTTCCTATGAATCAAGATAAGTCTTAATAGCATCTAAAATGGTGAATCATTTTCCGGAGGTTTTTAATTTACTTTGCCCAGGTCCATCAGTGGAATCACTATCTATGGCAGCTACAGGCTTATGAAATTTGTTTCTTAAAGATTTGAAAGTTGAAATTACTCTTTCATGGGCTATAGCATGGATGTTGTGTCAGCAGGCATAAAAACAACATTCATCTTCATGTACATCTCTGTCAGAGTGCTTGAGTGAGCAGGTGCATTGTCAATGAGCAGTAATATTTTTCACAGAAATCTTTCTGAGCAGTAGGTCTCAACAGAGGGCTTAAAATACTTAGTATACCATGCTATAAACAGATATGATGTCGTTCAGGCTTTATTTCCAGAGCACATGCGGAATAGATTTAACATAATTCTTAAGGGCCCTACGATTTTCAGAATAATTAGTGACCATTGGGCCGGGCGTGGTGGCTCATGTCTGTAGTCTAAGCACTTTGGGAGGCTGAGGAGGGCAGATCACTTGAGGCCAGGAGTTTCAGACCAGCCTGGTCAACATGGCAAAACCTTGACTTTACTAAAAATAAAAAAATTAGCTGGGCATTGTGGCGCATGCCTGTAATCCTAGCTACTTTGGAGGCTGAGGCAGGAGAATCGCTTGAACCCCGAAGGCAGAGGTTGCAGTGAGCTGAGATTGTACCACTGCACTCTAGCCTAGGCAACAGAGTGAGACTCCATTTCAAAAAGAAAGAAACTAAATGACCATTGGCTGCATTAACCCTTACCGAGAAAGTTAGCCTGAAATTTTTAGCTTCGAAGCTGGTCATTGACTACTCCTCTCTAGTTGCAAAAGTCCTAGTTGACATCTTATTCTAATATAAGGCTGTTTTGTCTCTGTTGAAAATCTGTTTAATGTAGCCACTTTCATC
Organism: Homo sapiens; assembly: GCF_000001405.40. Classification (NCBI taxonomy): domain Eukaryota; kingdom Metazoa; phylum Chordata; class Mammalia; order Primates; family Hominidae; genus Homo; species Homo sapiens. The sequence goes on along the minus strand of NC_000008.11, from coordinate 5,955,385 downwards.
AATTATCTTAACGAGATTTTCTGGATAACTTGCTGGAGAATCTACATCACTTGCCGCTTCCCCTTGCACTTTTTATGTTGTGGAGATGGCTTCTTTCTTCAAACCTCATAAACCAACTTCTGCTAGCTTCAAACTTTTCTTCTGCAGCTTCCTCACCTCTGTCAGCCTTTATAGAATTGAAGAGAGTTTGGGGACTTGCTCTGAATTAGGCTTTGACTTAAAGGAATGTTGTGGCTGGTTTGATCTTCTATCCAGATGACTAAAACTTTCTCCATTATCAGAAATGAGGCTGTTTCACTTTCTTATGATTGTTTTAACTGGAATAGCATTTTTAATTTCCTTCAAGAACTTTTCCTTTGCATTCACAACTTGGCTGTTTGGCTCAAGAGGTCTAGCTTTCAGCTAGTCTTGGCTTTCAACATGCCTTTCTCATTAAGGTTAATCATTACTAGCTTTTGATTTAAAGTGAGAAACATGTGACTCATCCTTTCATTGAAACACTTAGCAACCTTTGAAGGGCTATTAATTGGCCTCATTTTAACATTATTTTGTCTCAGGGAATAATGAAGCCTAAGAAGAAGAGAGATGGGGGAACAGTCTAAGAACTCACACAACATTTATCAACTAACTTTGCTGTTTTATATGAGTGTATATTTTGGTGCATCAAACAATTCTAATAATAACATTAAAATCAGAGATCATAGATCACCATAACAGATATAATGATAATGGAAAAGTTTGAAATTTTGTGAGAGTAACCAAGGTGTGATAAAGCAACTGAAAGGAAGCACATGCTGTTGGAAAAATGGTGCCAATAAATAGACTTGGTAATGCAGGGTTGCCACAAACCTTAAAAAACTAGCATCTTCAAAGCCCAGTAAAATGAAGCGCAATAAAATGAAATATGCCTGTATACCAGATACTATTAGAATACAGTATGAAAGTCACGATTGGAGTAAAAGAAAAATATACTTGATTAAAAATTCACATACAAACAACACAATAATACGAATTCGTCAGTGAAACAATTAGCAAGGGTGATATCTGTTCAGCAGAGTAGTCATTTTAAACACTATTTGCTATGAATAATATTGTAATAGGCAAGAAAGGTAAGTCCATATTTCAAAAGGGAAACATTTTATATTTGATATTCACTTAAAACAATGTAATAAACTTAGTAATTACAACAAAGATTGGTAAAAACAAACATAAAATATTATCTCCCTGCCAGATCTCTTTGGAATTAATAACAAAAAAATGAAAACCCTTAAATACATCTAGCATTAAAAAGGAAAAAAATAAAGTGAACAACTTTTTAGACATTAGTAAAAATGACCTAATTTGATATAAAAACTTGTGTGTTGAGGGGGAGGGTGCAGCTAAGACAGTATTTACAGGCAGAATAATGCAGTGGCTGAGCACATGGATCCTGAAACCAAACAACTTGCTTTTGAATTCCAGGTCTGCCATTTACTTGACATTTATTTTACTGTGTGACCTTGGATAAGTTACAGTATCTGTTTTGTTATTGCTAAAATTGGGATAATAGTGGTACATACAACATAGATTAGTTGTATTACATGAATGCATTAAAATCTATACGTATGTATAAGATGCATGCAAATAGCCAAAAATTACACGAAATCACTCCTATAAACGAGACAGCTCTGTGTTAGAACTAAGTGTTCAAGATGATAGAGACTAATAAACCTAAAGAAAGTAAAGATAAGGAACTACCAAAGATAAAAGCAAAAGTTAATTTAAAAAAAAACAATTAAAAGGCATTCTTGATAAATAAAACAAAAAACTGGTACTTCGAAAGGGACCCATAACATGGATAAACCTTCTTCAAATTTATTAAGAAAAAAATGTAACATGGCATAAATAACATTAAAAATGAGTCTGGAGGTGTAGGAATAGTTTAGAAATGTAGTTTTATGTTAGTATTATATCCATGTTATAGATGACTAAAATGTATTAATACAAAGAAGATAAAGATATAGAGCATATATATGTTACCTAAGGTCATAGAGCATTGTCATTGGTCCAATGATGACGTACATTCATTTGCTGGAATACATGTAAATTATAATGTACAGAAACACAAATAATAGGTATATCATGTTCACAAGTAGAATATCCTCAGAATTTTAATTTTTTCCAAATCATAGGTTCCACATGATGCTAATATGATTTCGAAGGATCTTTTTAATGGACCCCTGGCCATCTAACTTTACAATTGATCTAGACTGGTAAATAACCAAAAGAATAGGAAATAAATTTGAGAAAAGGAGAAACAATCACAATTTAAACATGTACTTACAATATTTAAATAATGTGGTATTGACACAGGGACAGATACGTAGAGAAACGGACCAGAATACATACAGTATCTAATGAAATTGTTACCGACTTTGTGGCAAATTGACCTATGCATATTTGCTGTATCACATTTCAAAAAAATAACATCCAGTGTTGACAGGCTGTGTTCATATTGGGTGCATAGATTGGTTCATATTTTCCAAAGAGAATGTTGGCAATATCAGTACCTGTCAAAATGAAACATAGCCAGGCACTGTGACACATGCCCGTAGTCTCAGCTACTCAGGAGGCTGAGGTGGAAAAATCCCCTTGAGCCACAGGAGTTTGATTTTAGCCTGGGAAACATTGCGAGACCCTCATGTCTAACAAAACCAAAAACACATGTACAATTCCATTTTAAGCCTTCTATTTTGGAAAAATGTTTACATAATGTACAACAATGTTCACTGAAGCCTAGTTTGAAATAATATCAGAAAGAATTAACACTCAGTAATGAAAGAATGGTTATGTAATTAATAATGGCTAATGCTTCATAAAAACATAGTCCATCCTTTTTAAGCATTTAGGGCAGTGAAACTCTACTCTGTGATACTGTGATGGTGAATGGATGTTACTCCACATTTGCCAAAACCCACAGAATGCGCAATACAAAGTGAATCTTAATGTTAATTTTGAGCTTAGTGATTAATAAAAACCAATATTGGTTCATCAATTGTAGTGAATGTATGACACTAACACAAGGCCCTAATAACAGAAAATAGTGTGTCAGAGAGAGGGGGTATACGGGAACTCTCTTTACATTTTGTGTAATTTTTCTCCAAATCTAAAACTGATCTAAAAAGTAAAGTATATTAAAAACAATAAAACTCCAAAGAGGTCTACCACATGCCATTTCTGTTTTTAGGATAAGATTTGGGAGGTGGAACAACTGGTATCTTAGAAATGATATTCAGGTATGCCCTGAGCCACTGAACTCTTAGAACTTACCAATGAATTTAGTACCTGAATCTTACTGACATCTTCTGGCCTGAGGGTACTCAACACTGTACTCTAGGTCCAGGCATAATGGTTTAATTGGTACTGGATCCAAGTGACATTGATATTTGTATATTTGTCTCCTCCAAGTCCCACGTTGAAATGTGATCTCCAGTGTTGAAGCTGGGGCCTGGTGGCAGATATTTGGGTCCTGGGAGCAGATCTCTCCTGAATGGCTTTGTGCTGTCTTGGCAGTAATGAGTGAGTTCCCAGTCTATTGGTTTCCATGAGATCTGACTATCGAAGAGAGCTGGAACCTTCCTCCTTCGTCTCTCTTCCTTCCTTCCTCTTGCCATGGCCATGTCATGCTTGTTCCCCTTCCATTTCTGCCCTGAACTGAAGCTTCCTGAGGCCTCACTAGAAGCAGTGCTGATTGTATAGCCTTCAGAGCTGTGAGCCAAATAAACCTCCTTTCTTTATAAATTACCCAGCCTCAGTTATTCCTTTAGAGGAATGCAAAATGAATCAAGACAGATGTTCAGAAAAGTATTACGATAAATAGGATCTCTGTGACCTAATTATAACAAAGACTAGAGTTGGCACAGATGGAGTGCAAAACAGAGAATATGTCATCGGTTATGTGAAGATGGACTGCTTGTTTCTTCCTATTGAGAGGAACGTGCTTACCTCAAGCTGCACATGAGGACCAGAGCATGTGTTGGTCCCTTCTGGTGGTGATGCCACATCTGGCACAGTAGTATTAGGTTGGTACAAAAGTAATTGCAGTTTTTGCCCTTGAAAGTAACGGCAAAATACAAATAGCTCTGAACTATACTTGGTTATGTTTTTTGCTGTCAACCATCATTCACCACAATCCAACTGATTTTTGCAGGAGTCAGAAATGCAGCACATTGCATGGGGATATGAGAGGGGATCCCAATCCTGTATCCTTTACGTCTTTGATGGTGTCAATCTCTGGAATTGCTCCTGGAATGCAATATTGCTTATTATTTAGTAACCTGGATAGTAACCCTGGACTACTATCTTGTCCAGGTTGTAGTTGATACCCAAGTCCCCACCCACTTTTGGGACGAAGGTACTTACCATACCCCCAGCTTCGGGGAGTGTCACCTGGTGAAGGCCAACATCTGAGTTCCTCCCGAGGAATTTCTTCTCTGAAGAAATTTCCTCTCACAACATTACAGCCACTCCTCACAGATTCCCCTTTCTGGTTATTTGTATAGAGAAATCCCACAAAACCAATGGAAAATTTGTTATAAGTGCAGCAGACATTTAGATTATCAAATCAAGGAGAAACTGTTTATAACATGAAAGGATATTATGTATATGGAAATAAAACTAAACAGTTGATATGTAAGACCTCTGCAATGAAAGCAGTAAAACGTTATAAAGAGATCTAAAGTAATATATACGAATTGATTTGTAGTAATTCTTTACAGATAGTTGATACTCTTCGTCCCATGACCCTGTAATAAGCCCGAGTGTTATAAAAATTCCAGTTCTTCCCAAGTTGATGTATGAAGGCAATACAAATCCCATCAAAATCTTTGAGATTTTTTTGTCATGGAACTGAGTGATGTAATTCTAAACTTATAGGAAAAAGAAATGGCCAAGAATGGGTAGGGCATTTCTGAAGAAAAAAAGCAGAAAAGAAAGAAACTTGCCCTAATAGACTTTATTATAAAATTAATTATGAAAGTGTGATGTTGGCTCAGGGTTATGCAACTGATCAATGGAACAGAGTTGATCATAAAAGACCCATGCATGTAATATATCAGAACAGAAGAGATGGCAGGATATATGGAACTAGAAAAACAGCTATCATTATGAAGAAAATGGACCATCATCTCATACAATATACTCCACTTAACTGCAGCAGCATTAAAGAATTACATGAAACACAAAATATAACTACTTTTTAAAATCATAACTATCTTGTACCTTTGAGAAGGAAAGTTGTCTTAAATAGCATGCAAAAAGCTTTGTTTACAAATGAAAAAATAAATATGACTATTAAAATTTAGATCCCGTGGATCACGAGGTCAGGAGATGGAGACCATCCTAGCTAAGATGGTGAAACCCCATCTGTACTAAAAATACACAACATTATTTGGGCATGGTGGTGAGTGCCTGTAGTCTCAGCTACTTGGGAGGCTGAGGCAGAAGAATGGTGTGAACCCAGGAGGCGGAGCTTCCAGTAAGCCAAGATCGCACCACTGTACTCCAGCCTGGGTGACAAGAGCAAGACTCCATCGCAAAAAAAAAAAAAAAAAATTTAGATCCCTTGTATACCAACATATATATGAAAGGAAGTGAAACAATTCATTAGACTTTCACACACAACTTAGTATCAAGTGTGTACGTGGAATGTTTACAAAATATATACTTAGAACATTCATAAAACAATGAGAAAAGTAACTCATTGGAAAATAGTTTCCAAAAGTAAGCAGGCATTTAATAGAACAGGAAACATACTTTGCCAATAGAACATAAAATGAGATTGTTCACATCATTAGTGAGGAGAAAAATACTGTTGGACACCTCAGTGAGACAGTTTTACATGCTTTGGATTTGCAACAATTAAAAATTTGACACTGTATTAGTCTGTTCTCACACTGCTGATACAGACATACCTGAAACTGGATAATATGTAAAGGAAAGAGACTTCATTGGCTCACAGTTCACCATAGCTGATGAGGCCTCAGGAATCTTACAGTCATGGCGGAAGGGGAAGCAAGTATGTCTTCCTTCACTTGGCAGCAGGAAGTAGTGCCAAGCAAAAGGGGAAAAGCCACTTATAAAACCATATCTCATGAGAACTCACTATCACGAGAACAGCATGGAGGTAACTGCCCCCATGATTCAGTTACCTCCCACCTGGTCCCTTTCATGACAGGTGGGGAATATCGGAACTACAATTCAAGATGAGATCCTGGGTGGGGACACAGCCAAACCATATCGGATACTATCAAGTTTTTAGTAGACACAGACCCACAGAATCTCTTAGACATTTCTGGTGATGATCTCAAATGGCGCATCTTTGGAAAGCAGATTGGCTGTGTCTTAAACCTTAATATTTATCTTTTTTTTAATTTTATTATTATTATACTTTAAGTTTTAGGGTACATGTGCACAACGTGCAGGTTTGTTACATATGTATACATGTGCCATGTTGGTGTGCTGCACCCATTAACTCGTCATTTAACACTAGGTATATCTCCTAATGCTATCCCTCCCCCATCCCCCCATCCCACAACAGTCCCCAGAGTGTGATGTTCCCCTTCCTGTGTGCATGTGTTCTCGTTGTTCAATTCCCACCTATGAGTGAGAACATGTGCTGTTTGGCTCTTTGTCCTTGCGATAGTTTGCTGAGAATGATGGTTTCCAGTTTCATCCATGTCCCTAAAAAGGACATGAACTCATCAATTTTTATGGCTGCATAGTATTCCATGGTGTGTATGTGACACATTTTCTTAATCCAGTCTATCGTTGTTGGACATTTATGTTGGTTCCAAGCAATTGCGGTCCTGGATGTATCCAAAAAAAAAGTCATGTACATGTTCAGCAGGAGACATGAATGAAAATATTCACACAAGTGAATGCTGTTCACAAAAGTAAAGACCAAGAAACAACCCAGCTGCCCATCCATGGAAGAATGCAGGAATAAAGTGACAGATTTCACAATGGTACCTCAAACGATTGAACTACAGGTGGTACAAGCAATGTAGATGGTTTTGGCTATAAATATTAAATGAAAAGTAAATTCTGTAAGATTCAACACAGATTTTTAAAAAAAGTAATAACCAAGTTTAATACATGTACTTTTTGGTACTATATATATAGATGCAATTAACCTCCATAAAACAGAATATTATGGATGTGGTTTCAAGATGGTGGTTAAACTGGGTGAGGGAAGGAGAGAAGATGGAAAGTAGCTGGAATATGTTATCTTCATTGTTGTAGCATTTATTTTAGGTGCTGCAGTGGAAAATACTACATTATGAGGGAGAGCAAATTAAATAAAAGGGCCATTTATGGATGGTAAAAGCATGCTGTGAACAAGAACTAGAATCTAATTCTGTTCCTTGAGTTCAAATGATGGCAGAGGGAATACAGTTTCTATCTTTGTGCATGCATTTTTTATATATGTGTAAGTATATCTATAAACTATACCTGAAAGTAGAATTTTTAGTGAAAGAACATTTTGAATTTTAAATGTTGGTAGATAATGCCCAAAACTCTACAGAGATTGAACTTACACTCCCTCCAGCAATATATGAGAGTACTGATTACCTCACACTTCCTTTTTTTAAATTTTATTTATTATTATTACACTTTAAGAACTCACACTTCTATCAATACAAAATGTTGTCAGAAATTTGAGATTCCTCAGTCTGAAAGAAGAAACATGCCTCATTGAAATCATTACTGTGCATTACTGTTGAGAATTCTTTTGAGAACAATTCATATTTCCTTCTCTGTAAAATGTCCATTCAACTTAATTTTTTGTCTTGTTTGAATTATTTCTTATTAATTCTTAGATCTTTATATACTAAAAAGACTAACATTTCCAATATGGCAATATTGCAAATACTTCTCCCAATTTGTTTCTTTTCACCTTGAGTTCTTTTTTTTTAGCTATGAAGAAATTATGTATTTATTTTTGTAGTCAAATTTGTTAGTGTTCACTTTTATAACATTTGGATTTTATGCCACTCAGAAATGTCATCTTGCTTATGACTTCTTGCTTGCTTCTTGATTATTTAAAAAATTGTTCCTCCCTTTTAATATTTTTAATCTCATTTCCCAAGTTTAAAGATTTGTCCCAGCAGGTATTTCTTAGATGTCAGTAGTGCAATCGATACTCATTTTTTCCAACATGTCTGTCTGGTTATCCTAACATCATATTACAATTTTCTCCAGTGTTTTCAAAATGTCATCTTTATTATTTACTAAGATTCTCTATGTACATGCACTTATTTTTGCATTTTTCTACCATGTTTCATTGATCTGTCTATTGATTTTCAGTGTCACATTGTTTACTTTAGGCACTGCTTTACTGTCTGGTAAGCAACAGGTTTTATTACCTGCATTGTATAGATTTTATAGATTGTGTGATAATTGAGATAGGTTTCATTGTTTTCACATCTCCTTTTCATTTAAGGGGCACATAATTTTCTGCTCTCATTGACTGGAATTAGCAACATGACTTGCTTTGGCCCATGAACATGAGTGGTCCTGGGGCGCCCTGGCCAGTCCCACTTGACAGAGGTATCTGTCCAGCCATTGCCTGGCTCCTTGCTATGTCACAGGAAGGGCGTATCTTAGCAGGGAACACGGATGGGGAAGATATCATTTGAGGCAAAGCTTACAAATACAGTGTAGTTCATCCTTACAACTTTTCTTTTTAAGAATTTGGCAGTTCCCTCTCACCTGTTGATGTGGTTTGGCTGTGTCCCCACCCAAATCTCATCTTGAATTGTAGTTCCCATAATCCCCACATGTTGTGGGAGGGACCTGGTGGGAGGTAATTTAATCATAGGGCTATTTCCCCCATGCTATTCTTGTGATAGTGAGTTCTAAGGAGATCTGGGGGTTTCATAAGGGGCTTTTCCCCGTTTTGCTTGACACTTCTCCTTCCTGCCATCATGTGAAGAAGGATGTGTTTAATTGCTCTTCTGCTGTGATTGTAAGTTTCCTGAGGCTACCCTGGCCATGGGGAACTGTAAGTCAATTAAGCCTCTTTTCTTTATAAAGTACCCAGTCTCTGGCAGTCCTTTATAGCAGTGTGAGAACAGACTAATATACCTGTTTATATGGATTCCCTTTTAAAAACATGATTCGAGATTGGATGTGGTGGGGCATGACTGTAATACCAGCACTTTGGGAGACTGAGGTGGGAGGATCACTTGAGGCCAAGTTTGAGTCTAGGCAACATGATGAGACCCCGTCTCTACAAAAAAATGCAAAAATTAGCTGGGCGTGCTGGTGTACCCCTGTGGTACCACGTACTCGGGACAGAATAAGAACGATGAGGATGAGTTCTGCTGTAATCTAAGAAGCAGGAGTTACGATGATGTGCTACACGACTCAGAGCACAGTCACATTTCTCCCAAGGCTTAACGTGTTTTAGGGATTCCAGCAACTTTTAACTTGTACTTGTTTTCACAGGGTCAATGCTGTGTTGCACTTTCAGCTTTTTTCCGAGAGTGCAGACACATGATTGTTTTGATACTTTTCCTAATTACTCTTCATTTCAGTTTCCTCTACATAAGTTTTCAGCACGAGGCCATGGTTTGACCTGGGGACATTCAGAATGACAGCCCTTATCACAGCAAACATCAGAGCCTTGCCTCAGCTGTCAAGCCTCCTCTCTACCCATGGCCTGAGGGCTCTGCCTGCTGATTCTTCAGCCATGCCAAACTCGTCTGCCTCCTGGAATATGCACAGGCTGTTTTTGTTTTTGAGGTGGAGTCTTGCGCTGTCACCTGAGGTGGAGTACAGTGGCACGATCTCAGCTCACTACAACATCTGCCTCCCAGGTTCAAGCAATTGTCCTGCCTCAGCCTCCCAAGTAGCTGGGATTACAGGGGCCTGCCACCACACCTGGCTAATTTTTAGCAGAGACAGGGTTTCACTATGTTGGCGAGGCTGGTCTCAAACTCCTGACCTTAGGTGATCTGCCCACCTCAGCCTCCCAAAGTGCTGGGATTACAGGCATGAAACACTGAGCCTGGCCTATTACAGCCTTCTTAATGCAATCATAAAAATTTTTAGCTGTCCTAAAATACTTCCTATTTTTAGCAAGATTCTATAGAGTACATCATATTCAAAGTTTCATTTTCATTTTTTAATTCATATTTTTGGCTCTTTCTTTGCCTACTGCACTGTTGTTTCCTTGTTCCAATCTGTTTTGTAAGGGTCTTGGGCTCTTTATAAGAGTTTCATCACTTCTTTCAAAGATGTCCCATTCTTTCTGTATGCATGTATTCAAGGGCTAAACTTCAATTAAAATTGTCATCAAAACTAATTATAAGAAGTGCCTCTCATCAATGGGCACTGTAAATTCTCTCACAGTTATTTTTGGGAGAGAGCTTCCAGATGAGGGAGGTACAATGGCTTTGCTACGTGACTGTATCTGCTCTGATGACTCTGCCCTTTGATGTCTGCATTTGAAAGTAGTGATAAAGGTTTAAAGCCCCTAGCCTCTCAGCTGGAGGATCATTTTGGGTTGGATTACAGCAGAAGTTGGCAGAATAATCAACTCTTACATCTGTCCATTGTAACACTATTAAACATCTTCCCTAACTATGGTGGCCTAGAGTTTTAGAAGGTGATGATTTTGTACCTGGTCATGATTTCCTTGTGAATAGAACTTCATGTTTGTGGACATGTAGCTGCTGCATCTTAGGCACTAATTTATTTTGATATTACTTCCTTCCTTGGGCCTTATTCAAGGGCTTTCCTCCCTCTATAGGGCCTTGTCCTTTCATCTTTGGAGATTCTGTAGAGCATACCATATTCAAAGTTCCTCAAAGGGGCTATTTCTTCTGTGATAACTTTGATTATGAAGTAAAGTAGGTTTTCCCACAAGAAAATGATGTGGATTGAGTTTAATATTTCCACTACTATTAGATGACCATCTGTCTTTAATGAAATATGTAAATGCTTAATGGAAGGTATAATTAATAATTATGAAGAGTTTTTAAATTCTTGAATGGGGAATGTTTAAGAACATGTGGTATTGTGTGTATTCCGTGTATTTTCTATTAGTCTAATGTATGCTTGCTGCAGTACAAAAGAAAAAATTAATGACCAAACAAAAATAGTTGTTTTAGTTGTTTCTTACTTCTATTACAACCTAATGCAAGTGTGTGTGTGTGGCCTTCTAGGGTAACTCAGAAATCCAGGCACCTTTTTTTTTTTTATGTGCTGCCATGTAAATATAAGTTCTTCAAAGTCTCTTTGAAAGCAGGAAGAACTGGGATGGTTGAGAGTGTGTTTTATGGGCCGAGTACCATGGCTCACGCCTGTAATCCCAGCACTTTAGGAGGCTGAGGCTGGAAGATCACTTGAGCTCAGGAGTTTGTGACCAGCCTGGCCAATGTGGTAAAGCCCTGTCTGTATTAAAAATACAAAAACTAGCTGGGTGTGGTGGTCTATCCGTGCCTGTAATCCCAGCTAGTCAGCAGGAGGATCGCTTGAACCCAGCAGGCAGAGGTTGCAGTGAGCTGAGATTGCGCCGCTGCTGCACTCCAGCCTGGGCAACAAAGTGAGACTCTGTCTCAAAGCAAAAACAAAACAAAACAAAACAAAAAAAAGTTTGTTTTATGGCCAGGCCTGAAATGGAGCACATCACTTCTGCCCTTAACTCACTGAAGCAGAATCCAAATCAGCTGTGAAGAAGGCAGGCGACAAAACACAATTGGTAATTTTTTACTAACTCCCTGCTACATTCTTGTTATGGGCTGATTTTTGTCATCTGTTCTCCCCTGCAAAATTCATGTGTTGAAATCCTAACCTCAGAATGTGACAATTTGGAGATGGGGCTTTTAAAGAGAGGAGATTAAGTTAAAATGAGGCTTTGAGGGTGGGCCCTAACCCAACTGGAGTTGTATCCTTGTTGAAAAAAAAATGAGGACACACAAAAAAGAGACACCAGATGTGCAAGAGCACAGAAGAAACACCACATGAAGATGCAGGAAGAAGGTGGCTGCCTGCAAGTCAAAGAGATCTCAGGAGGAACCAACCCTGCCGACATCTTGGTCTTGGACATCCAGCCCTCAGAACTGTGAGAAAATAGTCGGCCGTTGAAGCCTCGCAACCTATGGCACTTCCTTATAGCAGGTCTAGGAAACTAAGGAAATTCCATAAAAGAATGACATATAATTTATAATTTGGGTAAATTGACAGTTTTGTCATATTTCTTGCTGTTTAAGAATTTTCCATTTAAGCCATTTCTTAGGACATTCTATATGGATCTGTAGTTTTCTTCATGTAGTTATGCACATCTACTTTAAAGTTTATTTTCTTGTCAACATTTTTTAGTAGTTTTTGGGAAAAGGATATTTATCATCGTGTTTTCCTAATGATTATCTCTGGTATAAAGGGAAGCATCTGATTTTTGTATATTTTGTAATCCATATATCCTACTGAGCTCTCTTATTAATTCAAACACATTTTCATTTGTTTCTCTTGAACGCTGCAAGTAAAAATTATATCATTCTGTTCATGTGGTAGATAACCTATGCTGAATGCATTTTAATAAATTTTCTATATTTTTCTTGTTTAAAATGCAACTGAGTGAGAGTGCACAAGGTTCCCTTTCATGCCTATCGATTTCTCTCTTTTTTAAAAATCAGTTTTTGCGTTGTATATTTCTATGATATGCATTTTTGAAGGGATGTTTTTCTGTTATATATTCATAATGAACTATTATGAATGTCTTTAACTTTGAATTCTACATCATTATTTTTTATACTGTAATCCTTGCCTTTTGGTTATTGCTTGACATAGCTTATGAATATTTAATTTTAACGTTTGTCGATTGCTTTGTTTTCATGGTGTTGCTAGCTTATTTTGGAAATTAAATAATCCAATCTGAGACTCTTGCCTTTGAAAGAGAAGCTTTTCCCATTTTTTCCCTCAGTCTTAACTGACAGTCTCTCTCTTCTGTCATCTTTTAATGCCTTCTTAGTCTTTCCTTATTCCTTTTATCATGAATGAGCTTCCTCACCACTCCTTTCCTCTATCTGCAATATAGAAATAATATATGCTGTTTGTTATGGACTGACAGTTCGGGTCACTCCAGAATTCATATCCTGAAGCCCTAACCCCAGTGTGACTGCATTTGGAATAAAGAAGTCATTAAGATTCAACCAGATCGTAAATATGGAGCTCTGGTCTGATGGGATTAGTGTCCTTGTAGGAAGAGAAGCTGGAGCTCTTGTTTGCATGCTCTCTCTCCACCTCCATATCCCTTTCCACCCACTTCCCTGCTCCTCTCCCGCTTTACCTCCCTCCCGTCTTAGCTCCCTCAGATGCTCCAAAAGAGGTCATGATGACATATCAAGAAGGCAAGAAAGCAGCCATCTGGAAAGCAAATGAGCGCGTTCATCAGAAACCAAACCAGTCAGCACTCCAATCTTGTACTTCCAGCCTTCAGAACTGTGAGAAAGTACATTTCTGTGGTTTAAGCCATCCAGTCTGTAGTATTTTGTTATGGAAGCCCTAGCAGATGAATACAGTGTTGTTACTTAATTATTTTTATTTTCAATCATTTTGGGGAATACAGAACCCCACAGGTGGTTTTGGGTTATGTGGATAACTTCTTTAGCAGTGATTTCTGAGATTTTGGTGAACCTGTCACCTGAGCCATGTACACTGTACACTCTACATAAAGTAGGTAGTATTTTATCCTTCACCCACCTCCCACCCTTCCCCGAGCCTCCAAAGTTCATTATATCCTTCTTATGCCTTTGTATCCTCATAGCTGTCTTGTATAAGAGAGAACATAGAGTGTTTGGTTTTTCATTCCTGAGTTACTCTGATAAGAATAATGGCCTCCAGCTCCAACCAAGTTGCTGCAAAGGCCATTATTTCATACCATTTTATGGCTGAGTAGTATTTCATGGTGTATATATACATTTTGTTTATCCACTCATTGCTTGATGGGCATTTAGGTTGCTTCCACATTTTTGCAACTGCGAATTGTAATACACTGTTTTTACATTATCTAAAGTTTACCTATTTAAAAAAAATCCAAGGCAATTTTTTTGTAATAATCAATATCAGAAATAAACTCTATTGACACCCACATGAAATTCAGGGCAATTTTTACACTGATTAATTTTAAACCAGTACTGGCTGTTACTCATCTGAAAAGTTAGATGAATATTTTTTATTTTAGATTAGAAATCTTATATGTCAACATATAAAATTATGTTTGCATTCTGGTTTATAACCGTACTATAAGAATTACTCAGATAAAAATAGTTTAAATGGCATTGTGTGCTACTCATCAGTCCTTTTATCCTTCGGCCCAATGGCAAAACTTAGCCAGTGCCATTGCAGGTGGTATCTGTGGTTTGAGGCTATGACAGGCAGGTGGGGCTGTGTCTAGCATCTGCAGAGGGGCTCTCTGTAGAGTGAACCTGCAAAGCTCCCTCTAGAGTGAGTCGTACAGCAGCACGTTCTTACTGTGAGGCACGCAATGCCACTTGATCCATGGGAAGTTTTTGGAGGATGGGGCTGGGAAAGGGGAGAAAGAGGAAACATGTCAGGAAAATACAAAAGGAAACTATGCTCCAGGAGGCCAGGGCCCCTCCTTGGGACCCTGGACATTGGATAATCTAGGAGAAGAGTGCTACCCTCTGGGAGCAGAGAGCCCAGTTTTGTTTTCTGGAACCCTGTGGCAGGATCCAATACAGCACCAATGTATCTGCCTTCCACTCCTTAGCAAAGGGCCTCCTGCCATTTAAGGAAAACAGAATCATTTCTCTTCAGCACGTTCCTATTTCCAGCCTTAGGAAAGTATCCCGGACTAATGCATCTAGCTTTTCCTATTAGCCATGGTAAAGGAGGTCAGCTCCCTAAGGCCACAATCTCCACCCAGAGGACTCAGTGTAGCAGATACATGTCTGGTTGATTATTTTCTAGTTATATTACTTTTGCAGATTCTCTTCTTTGGAGTTCCTCAATGTGATTTATCTGGGAGAATTCTGTGGATACTCCCCCATAAAGGGCTGTAGGAGGTCTACTTGCTAAGCCTTTTGATATGCTTTGGCTGTGTCCCCACCCAAATCTCATCTTGAATTGTAGTTCCCACAATTCCCACTTGTCATGGGAGAGACCCTGGTGGAAGGTAATTGAATAATGGGGGTAGGTCTTTCCCATGCTCTTCTCATGATAGTGAATAAGTCTCATGAGATGTGATGGTTTATAAAAAGGAGTTTCCCTGCACAAGCTCTCTCTTCCTTACCACTATGTAAAATGTGACTTTGCTTCTCCTTTGCCTTCTACCATGATTGTCAGATCTCCACAGCCATGTGTAACTGTGAGTCCATTAAACCTCTTATTCTTTATAAATGACCCAGTCTCAGGTATATCTTTATTAGCAGCATGAAAACAGACTGATACACCCTTCTGTTGTCTCCAAACATGAATGAAGACCTAAAAGTATAGCACCCCTAGTCCAGTGTTTGGTACAAGAGTGGTCTTTAATAATGCTTGTTGAATAAATTACTGAATATAGAATTTTAAGTCATATGCTTTTATATTTTTAACTGAAAAATTCTGATGTTAGGAAGAAGAAATCTGCATTCAACAGAATTTTTCTTTCTGTGTCATTGATCTAATTTTTCCACTTTAATACTTCAAGATTATTTCCTTTACTTCAAGTGTAAAACTTTCATCAGATGGGGTCTACATGTTTGATTTTTTTTCAAGGAAATTTTGCTGCTTCAGAATGCTCTTTCTCTAGCAGATTCAGACCTTCCATCCCAGAATTTCTCTTTTCATATTATGAATTTAATGTTGCTTTTTTGTCACTCTGTGTCTTTTCAAGGAACACAAATTACATGCAATTTCATGTTAATTATACCTATTTTATATCTTCTCTCAGATTATGTTTAACTCTTTGTCTTTCTTATTCATGAACATGCGGTGGTTTCTTAAGCTTTTTATCTGCTCTATTGATTGAATTTTCTACAGTATTGGTTCTGTTCAATTGATTCTAGTATATATTTCTGTAATTAAACTTTTGATTCTATTAAATACAAACTATTCCATATTTAATCTGAGTCTCCGTAGATTTCTTTTTGCCTCGGCCATATATTTTCATATCTGTCTATAGCCTTATAATCCAAGATTTCATATAGTTTTTTTTGGAAGATATGCTTTCAATTGGGATTATGAAAGTAGATACTTCAGAAATGTCTTTCTGAAGTGAATCGTGTGTTCTCCTTTTGTATTGTGTTCTCCTTCCCTTTTTTCTTTTGTTTTAAAATCTTAGGCCTTTGTTTTTCTGTTTACTCACTGTAAATCATGTAAATTTTATCCAATTCTGGTACTTCACTGGATCAGTTCTTGTGGAATCTCTTACTGCATGTCTTTAGTGACCTAATCTTTGACTTCAAACATGTACTTAAAACTAGGAAGGGAAGGAACTCAATCTAGTCCAGGGGCCTTTATATGCCTCCTGAGTTCAGAGATGTCTGCAGGGCTTAAAGCTGATAAGCTGTTCTGTGCACTTTGTGATTAGGGACTTAAGTAAAGCATAATCTTTTTATCATCAAATTAAAATCTAATTGCTGAAAATACATGGGTTATTTTATTAAGCACTTGGTTATACTACTTGGTCCAAAAAGAGATATATAAGTTCAGGCTGTATAAAAGGATAATTTATTATGAAGAAATTGCTCTGAAATTATTCAGGGACACTATTCAGTGTGAATATTCACATAAAACAAACTTTATGATAAATAGAGTACTATGGCACAGCTTCCCAGAATACATAATAACTACAGGTCAAGAAAATGTGGTCATGGTTTAAACTGCATAAAATTTCAGCATCGCTATTCTTTTTTATTAATCAAAAAGAAAGGATATGTGGGAATGTTATAATTGTATGAGATAATGAGGAATTCATATATCTGTAAGAGTACCTCTATCTCTACATCTACATCTATTTCTATACTAAAAGATAAGCTGATATCAGTCTGAACTTCTGTGACTTTTAAACTCACCACTTTCTGTAATTTTATAGTAACACAGTGTTTTCAGGTAAAATATAGAACCACCAGTTGAATATAAGTTTCAGATAGAAAATGGATAACTTTTTCAGTATAAGTATGTGCAAATTTCACATGGGACATATTATTTATCCTAACAAAAATACTGTTTATTTGAAATTCTAATTTAACTGTATAGTCTATATGTTTATTTGCCAAATATGGCACCCCTATATTAGAATTATTTTGTAAAATCATTCAAAATGCAGCTTAAAAATTTATATATAAATATATTCCATTTATGAAATTGGAATGTAATCTTATATTTCCAAGTCTAATTTTGAAGTAAGAAAATAGAATTTCTAATGGAGAAGCCCACTGACCTTTGAATTAAAGCAGGATGTCATGAATAGTCAATAATCTTGTATAACAGCATTCTCAATGAGATATGTTTTGCAAGAAAGATATAAAATTATATTATTCTGATTCTGTAGGCCGTCTGTTTACTCTGTAGAGAGTATCTTTTGTTGTGCAGAAGCTTTTTAGTTTAATTAGATCCCATTTGTCAAAATTTGCTTTTGTTGCAATTGCTTTTGGCATCTTCATTATGAAACACTTACCTTTGCCTGTGTCCTGAATGGTATTGCCTAGGTTCTCTTCTAGGATTTTAATAGTTTTGGTTTTACGTTTAAGTCTTTAATCCATGTTGAGTTGATTTTTATATTGATATATGGTGTAAGAATGGGGCCCAGTTTGACTTTTTTTACATATTGCTAGCCAGTTCTCCCAGCATTTATTACACAGGGAATTCTTTCCCCATTGCTTGTTTTGTCAGGTTTGTTAAAGATTAGATGGTTGTAGGTGTGCAGTCTAAACGCCCATTAATGATAGACTGGATAAAGGAAATGTGGTACATATATACCATGGAATACTATGCAGCTATAAAAATGAATGAGATCATGTCCTTTGCAGATACATGGATGGAGCTGGGGGCCATTATCCTTAGCAAACTAAAACAGGAACAGAAAACCAAATACCACTGTGAATATTCAGTGGCACTAATTTACTCAAATTTGTGCTTTATTCTCTAGACATCTTTCCTAGATCCTTCAAGCTACAATGAATCTCTTCTCCTGGCTACCATTTTGGCTTTTTTAGGGAACAGAGGAATCTTTAGAGTGATTAGCTCAGAATGCTTATATTACTAATTTAGTATATTACATCAGTAAATTGTGTGCCTATTTTACAATAGGCACTATGAAGTTAGTTCACTATGGGACTATGAAGTTAGACCATGAGATATTTGGTTCTCTAGATGCCTAGAAATGATAGTGTCCAAAGAATGAAGCGGAAAAAGAAGAAAATCAGTTACAGACATATATAGCAGGGTGGGTAAGGGCTCAGGTGGAGACGACAAGCATAGGGGGCTGGAATCTCAGGTCCACTAGGTACTAGTTGGGTAAATTGGGGAAAGTTATTTGCTTTCTCTGCACCTCAAATATTCTGTATGTAGAGAGACAATACATAATAATGAAGGCTACATATGCATGTATACATACATGCATGTAATATAGATATGTAATGCACTTATAACTAGTAAGATTTCCAATGCCATTATCAATACTTGACTTTAATATAATCAATACTTGTCAATTAATTGGTATGAGGCTTTTAACTCTAAGCTTTCAAACCTGGATGATTTTGGAGTTTGTGTTGTGTGAAGAACTGTTAAGGGTCTGAGGTTTTACCCTGCTTGCAAACTAACAAATTAGCTTTCTATAGTTTCCCAGGTTCTGATAGAAGCCATGAGCCTCTGGAATCAACAGTGAAGGACAGGTTAGTACTCATGGCATGAGCAGTAGTCAGAGCATCATCATTTTTGTGCAAGTTCCCTGAGTCCTGATTCCCTCGGGATGACACAGGAAGTCCAGATGTCACTTGCATGTGTAATGGAACCCTGAGGTTGGGAAACCAAATCTTTAATAATGGGCAGTAAGCCTGCCTGCCCTTTGCTTTATAGAGAGACAATCTGCCTTCTGAAGATGTTGGCTATACAAGCATTCCTGAAACAGTAGTCTGGAACAAGGAGAAGTCACTTCCATACATCGCAAGACTACACAGAGATACAGGAGACCCATGAAAAATTGTCTCCCCACACAGAGGGAACATAGAATTAGGCTGAAGGGAATTAATGAGTGCGGTTGTAAGTAAGCTAGGGTTTGTTACCCATGTAAAAGTGCCGGTCTGAAGATGAAAAGATAAGGGTAGAATAACAGTAACAATTTGAGATTATTGCTTTCTTGCACTACCTCTTATTTTTTAAAATCTTGGCTCCAGGGTTATTAAACCCGATATTCCCATTTTCCACCAATATCTTGAGAAGTGTTTTATCTGAAACACCTTTCCATTTTCTGGATCTAAGAGAAGAATTAAAATGTTCCAGGGGAACTTTGCAGTACGCTAGCTTGTGGTAACACATCTTCAAAAGCAGTGTCTTTTTGAGTTTCCTGTTACTTTATAATCTTGCAGAAGTGTAACTCCACAAACTGTTTTCAGTAAAATAGAACATGCTGTCCCTTTTATGACTGCCTTTGTCAGCATACTATGACTAGTACTAAGTATCAGACAATGTGCTCGAAATCCTGTGATACGAATATTAAGCAAGTTTTAATGGTAATCCATTTTGCTATTTTTTTTCTTTTTATAGAACTTCTAAAGTAATATTTACCAAGCTCGAGGAGTTTAGAAAAATTCAAATTATTATCTGAGAAGGGAAGAATATGATAACATCATTGAAATGTGCTTAGAACCTGCTACTTAGATTGGCACACAATAGTATTCTTCATCACGTGAATGTCCAGGACCAGGCAGGGGAAGAGAACAGCTACCCCAAGCCATTTTCAAATTGCATACAACTGTATCTGTAAGACAACATGGAGAGAACAGCTACTCCAATGCCATTCTCAAATTTCATAAAACTGTGTCTGTAGGACAACATGTCAAACTCCTTATAAAGTGACCAGATACAAAACAATCCTTGCTTAGGGGGAGCAAATTATCCGGACATAATTCTCTGAACCTGGCTTATATTTGGCCCCCATGTCTCCTGAGGACAGAGAAGTATATGTTTCCACATTTAAAAGTGTGGCCAGGAATTTCTTGTCTTTAAATTAGATCACAAGATGGTTATAATTCTAGATAATTCATGTCTATGAAAAAAACTCATTGGTGACAAAAGGTCAAAATTTGTTTTGTGACAAGTATGGACAGAGGGAAAAGTAAACTGAATTAAGTCACAGATCTAAAGATCTTCCACCCTTTCGAAAGACATCATGAGAAGAAAATGCACTGACTTCTAGATAACACTTCAGGGTGCAGGGTGCTTGTACTTCACATCACAGCTACGTCATGTGGTATTATTATTAATAGCTACGTTCTACAGACTTGCAGAAGGTCACACCCACTTAGTGACCTACGAACATTAATCAAGGAATTGAAGGCGAAAAGTCATGCACTTTTTGTGGCTATATTGTTTGCTTTTCAACTGTGTATGTGTGTACGTGCACGTGTGTGTTTATATACATAGTTACACATGAACGGAAAGATGGAAGAACATATGGATAGACAAATAGATATGGATAGGTCAATGGGTGGATGGATAGATAGATGGATGGTTGAATGGACGGATGGACAGATGGTTGAAGGAACAGTTGGGTTGGGTTGGTGAGGAGACGATCACATGGTTGGATAGGTAGATGGATAGATGAATGGCTGAATTAATGAATGGATGAATGATTGGGTGGGTAAGTGGTTGGTTAGAGAGATGTGTAGATAGGGAGATAGATGTACCACAAGCCACTGGAAGTTGCTGTGTTGTACTGACTCTTTTAGTGTCACACATTGAATAGGATGACGGAGAAGGAGGCAAATGGCTTATTTTGCTTTCTTAATGGTGTCTTTTGATTCACAGGTTTTAAAATTGCTGTTGTCCGATACAGTGATGTGTCCAATACACATCACTTAATGATAGGGTTACCTTCTGACAAGTGCACCGTTAGGTGATTTTGTCATTGTGGGAACATCATAGAGTACATCTATATAAACTCAGATGCTGTAGTTTCCTGCACACCTAGGCTCTATGGTATTTGGATGGATGGATGGATCAGTAGTTGGGTTAGGGGATTGGTGATTGGATGATCACATGGTTGGATAGGTAGATGGATACATGAATGGTTGGATTGAGGAATGGATGAATGATTGGGTGGGTAAGTGGTTAGTTGGTTAGAGGGATACAGGGATAGGGAGATAGATCTGGCCTATTTCTCCTAGGTTAAAAGATGCACAGTATGTTACTATACTGAATGCTGTAGGGAGTTGTAACACAATGCTATTTGTGTATCTAAGCATATCTAAATATAGAAAAAGTACAGTAAAAATATGGTATACAAGATTAAAAAGGGTACACCTGCATAGGACTTACCATGAATGGAGCTTGCGGGACTGTAAATTGCCCTGTGTGTCAGTGGATGTTAATTTCTAGGACGTGACCGTACACTACTACAGACTTCATTAACACTATCTACTTAGGCCACCCTAAATTTATAAAAACACTTTTCTTTCTTCAATAATAAACAGCTTACTGTAACTCTCTTTTTGGGGTGGGGGACAGAGTCTCACTCTGTCACCCAGGCTGGAGTGCTGTGGCACTCAGCTCACTGCAAACTCCACCTCCCGGGTTTAAGTGATTCTCCTGCCTCAGTCTCCTGAGTAGCTGGGGTTACAGGCACCTGCCACCACGTCTGGCTAATTTTTGTATTTTTGGTAGAGAAGGGGTTTCACCGTGTTGGCCAGGGCGGTCTCAAACTCCTGACCTCAGGTGATCCACCCACCTCAGCCTCCCAAGGTGCTGGGATTACAGGTGTGAGCCACTGAGCCCGGCCAGCTTACTGTAACTCTTTACAGACTTTTTTTTAAAACTTTTTGTTATAACAGTCTAAAACAAACACTATAGCTGCACAGAAATATTTTTTGTATATATTCTGTAAGTTTCTACTGTTTAATTTTTTTTAAAACTTTTTAAATATTTTGTTAAATATCAAGACACAAACACACATATTGACCTCAGCCTACACAGGGTGAGGATTACTAATGTCACTGTCTTCCACCTCCACATCTTGTCCCACTGGAAGGTCTTCAGGGGCAATAGCACATGGAGCTGTCACCTCCTATGATGACAATGCCTTCTTCTAGAACGCCTCCTGCAAGACTTGCGTAAGGCTGTTGACTGTTAATTTTTTTTATAATTAGAGTAAAATCTAATAACAAAATGTATAGTAATCAGTAACATAGTCACTTATCATTATCAAGTATTAGGTACTACACTTCATTGCATGTGTTGTACTTTTATATGATTGGCAGTGCAGTGGGTTTGTTTACACCAGCATCAAAACAAAAACAAAAACAACAACAATAAACAGATGAAGAATGTATTGTGCTAGAATCTTATCTTTATTGCAAGGCCACTAGGTGGCAGGAATTTTTCAGCTCCATTATAATCTTATGGGACCTCTGTGGTATATGCTGCCCATCATTGACTACAACGTCATTATGTGGCACATGGCTGTATACCAGCCCTTTCATCTATTTTTAGAGTATTTTTGCATTCTGATTCTCCAGATTGCCTTGCCATTTATATGTAGATCTAGAATCACCCTGGAAGTGGAGCGAAGTAGAGGTCAAAGTTATTTTTCTCCTTGTATATGCATTTGCTCCAGAACCATTTACAGAAAATGTAATTTTTTTCCCTACTGCTCTCGATTGAGAATTTTTTCAAAATACAGGAGACTGTATATGTGAGGGCTAAGTTTTGAATTCTTATTCTACTTCTGGCATCCATTTGTCCCACTTTGTGCCAATACCACCCTGTCTTAATTACAGCAGCTTTATAATTATTTTGATAGTTTGTAGTGTAAGTCTTCCATCTTGATATTCTATTTTCTCTTTATTTTTACAATTCTATTATGATTATTATTATTATTATTATTATTATTATACTTTAAGTTTTAGGGTACATGTGCACAATGTGCAGGTTAGTTACATTTGTATACATGTGCCATGCTGGTGTGCTGCACCCATTAACTCGTCATTTAGCATTAGGTATATCTCCCAATGCTATCCCTCCCCGCTCCCCCCACCCCACAACAGTCCCCAGCGTGTGATGTTCCCCTTCCTGTGTCCATGTGTTCTCATTGTTCAGTTCCCATCTATGAGTGAGAACATGCGGTGTTTGGTTTTTTGTCCTTGCGATAGTTTACTGAGAATGATGATTTCCAATTTCATCCATGTCCCCACAAAGGACATGAACTCATCATTTTTTATGGCTGCATAGTATTCCATGGTGTGTATGTGCCACATTTTCTTAATCCAGTCTATCATTGTTGGACATTTGGGTTGGTTCCAAGTCTTTGCTATTGTGGATAGTGCCACGATAAACATACGTGTGCATGTGTCTTTATAGCAGCATGATTTATAGTCCTTTGGGTATATACCCAGTAATGGGATGGCTGGGTCACATGGTATTTCTAGTTCTAGATCCCTGAGGTATCGCCACACTGACTTCCACAATGGTTGAACTAGTTTACAGTCCCAGCAACAGTGTAAAAGTGTTCCTATTTCTCCACATCCTCTCCAGCACCTGTTTCTTCCTGACTTTTTAATCACTGCCATTCTAACTGGTGTGAAATGGTATCTCATTGTGGTTTTGATCTGCATTTCTCTGATGGTCAGTGATGATGAGCATTTTTTTCATGTGTCTTTTGGCTGCATAAATGTCTTCGTTTGAGAAGTGTCTGTTCATATCCTTTGCCCACTTTTTGATGGGGTTGTTTGTTTTTTTCTTGTAAATTTGTTTGAGTTCATTGTAGATTCTGGATATTAGCCCTTTGTCAGATGAGTAGGTTGTGAAAATTTTTTCCCATTTTGTAGGTTGCCTGTTCACTCTGATGGTAGCTTATTTTGCTGTGCAGAAGCTCTTTAGTTTAATTAGATCCCATTTGTCAATTTTGGGTTTTGTTGCCATTGCTTTTGGTGTTTTAGACATGAAGTCCTTGCCCATGCCTATGTCCTGAATGGTAATGCCTAGGTTTTCTTCTAGGGTTTTTATGGTTTTAGGTCTAACGTTTAAGTCTTTAATCCATCTTGAATTAATTTTTGTAGAAGGTGTAAGGAAGGGATCCAGTTTCAGCTTTCTACATATGGCTAGGCAGTTTTCCCAGCAGTATTTATTAAATAGGGAATCCTTGCCCCATTGCTTGTTTTTCTCAGGTTTGACAAAGATCAGATAGTTGTAGATATGCGGCATTATTTCTGAGGGCTCTGTTCTGTTCTATTGATCTATATCTCTGTTTCGGTACCAGTACCAAGCTGTTTTGGTTACTGTAGCCTTGTAGTATAGTTTGAAGTCAGGTAGCGTGATGCCTCCAGCTTTGTTCTTTTGGCTTAGGATTGCCTTGGCGATTCAGGCTCCTTTTTGGTTCCATATGAACTTTAAAGTAGTTTTTTCCAATTCTGTGAAAAAAGTCATTGGTAGCTTGATGGGGATGGTATTGAATCTATAAATTAACTTGGGCAGTATGGCTATTTTCATGATATTGATTCTTCCTACCCATAAGCATGGAATGTTCTTCCATTTGTTTGTATCCTCTTTTATTTCATTAAGCAGTGGTATGTAGTTCTCCTTGAAGAGATCCTTCATGTCCCTTGTAACTTAGATTCCTAAGTATTTTATTCTCTTTGAAGCAATTGGGAATGGGAGTTCACTCATGATTTGGCTCTCTGTTTGTCTGTTATTGGTGTGTAAGAATGCTTGTGATTTTTGTGCATTGATTTTGTATTCTGAGACTTTGCTGAAGTTGCTCATCAGATTAAGGAGATTTTGGGCTGAGACAGTGGGGTTTTCTAGATATACAATCATGTCGTCTGCAAACAGGGACAATTTGACTTCCTCTTTTCCTAATTGAATACCCGTTATTTCCTTCTCCTGCCTAATTGCCCTGGCCAGAACTTCCACCACTATGTTGAATAGGAGTGGTGAGAGAGGGCATCCCTGTCTTGTGTCGGTTTTCAAAGGGAATGCTTCCAGTTTTTGCCCATTCAGTATGATATTGGCTGTGGGTTTGTCATAGATAGCTCTTATTATTTTGAGATGCATCCCATCAATACCAAATTTATTGAGAGTTTGTAGCATTAAGGGTTGTTGAATTTTGTCAAAGGCCTTTTCTGCATCTATTGAGATGATCATGTGGTTTTTGTCTTTGGTTCTGTTTATATGCTGGATTACATTTATTGATTTGCATATATTGAACCAGCCTTGCATCCCAGGGATGAAGCCCACTTGATCATGGTGCATAAGCTTTTTGATGTGCTGCTGGATTCGGTTTGCCAGTATTTTATTGAGGATTTTTGCATCGATGTTCATCAAGGATATTGGTGTAAAATTCTCTCTTTTGGTTGTGTCTCTGCCAGGCTTTGGTATCAGGATGATGCTGGCCTCATAAAATGAGTTAGGGAGGATTCCCTCTTTTTCTATTGATTGGAATAGTTTCAGAAGGAATGGTACCAATTCCTCCTTGTACCTCTGGTAGAATTCGGTTGTGAATCCATCTGGTCCTGGACTCTTTTTGGTTGGTAAGCTATTGATTATTGCCACAATTTCAGAGCCTGTTATTGGTCTATTCAGAGAGTCAGCTTCTTCATGGTTTAGTCTTGGGAGAGTGTATGTGTTGAGGAATTTATCCGTTTCTTCTAGATTTTCTAGTTTATTTGCGTAGAGGTGTTTGTAGTATTCTTTGATGGTAGTTTGTATTTCTGTGGGATCGGTGGTGATATCCCCTTTATCATTTTTTATTGCGTCTATTTGATTGTTCTTTTTTTCTTTATTAGTCTTGGTAGCGGTCTATCAGTTTTGTTGATCTTTTCAAAAAACCAGCTCTGGAATCATTAATTTTTTGAAGGGTTTTTTGTGTCTCTATTTCCTTCAGTTCTGCTCTGATTTTAGTTATTTTTTGCCTCCTGCTGGCTTTTGAATGTGTTTGCTCTTGCTTTTCTAGTTCTTTTAATTGTGATGTTAGAGTGTCAGTTTTGGATCTTTCCTGCTTTCTCTTGTGGGCATGTAGTGCTATAAATTTCCCTCTACACACTGCTTTGAATGTGTCACAGAGATTCTGGTATGTTGTGTCTTTGATCCCGTTGGTTTCAAAGAACATCTTTATTTCTGCCTTCATTTCGTTATGTACCCAGTAGTCATTCAGGAGCAGGTTTCAGTTTCCATGTAGTTGAGCGGTTCTGAGTGAGTTTCTTAATCCTGAGTTCTAGTTTGATTGCACTGTGGTCTGAGAGACAGTTTGTTATAATTTCTGTTCTTTTACATTTGCCTAGGAGAGCTTTACTTCCAACTGTGTGGTCAATTTTGGAATAGGTGAAAAAAATGTATATTCTGTTGATTCGGGGTGGAGAGTTCTGTAGATGTCTGTTAGGTCCTCTTGCTACAGAGCTGAGTTGAATTCCTGGGTATCCTTGTTAACTTTCTGTCTCGTTGATCTGTCTAATGTTGACAGTGGGGTGTTAAAGTCTCCCATTATTATTGTGTGGGAGTCATAGGCTCAAAATATAAGGATGGAGAAAGATCTGCCAAGCAAATTGAAAACAAAAAAAGGCAGGGGTTGCAATCCTAGTCTCTGATAAAACAGACTTTAAACCAACAAAGATCAAAAGAGACAAAGAAGGCCATTACATAACGGTAAAGGGATCAATTCAAGAAGAAGAGCTAACTATCCTAAATATATATGCACCCAATAGAGGAGCACCAAGATTCATAAAGCAAGTCCTGAGTGACTTACAATTCTATTTTTTTAAATGGATGAAATAATAATGGTACATATTCATGGGGTACATAAAGTTGCTTCAATACGTATAATGTATAATAATCAGATGAGGGTAATTAGCATATCCATCATCTCAAACATTTATCACTTCTTTCTGTTTTAAGATCATCTTGAATTTTCTTAGCTCTTCATATATTTGTATAAATTTTAGAATCGAATTTTCATTTTATAAAAAAGTATTCTATTGAAAGTTGTATTGAGATTGCATTGATTATATAGACAATTTGGAGGGGAGGAATATTTTTACACCAGTCTTATAATACATAAATATGGTATATCCCTCTATTTAGGTCTTCTTAGATTTCTCTCATTTATATTTCACATTTTTTGTGTGTAGAGATTATGTGCTTCTTTTGTTATTTGATGTATTTTAGAAGTTTTGTAATGATGACATTTACAATTTATTTTCCAGTTCATGTTACATAAAAATTTCATTGAATTTTTATATTAACACAGTCAGAAACCTTGCCAAATTTATTAATTCTAATACTTTGTTTCCAGTTTCTTTTGGATTTTTATGAATACAAAAATGTCATGTGGGAAAAGTGACATTTATTTTTTTTTCTATTTCTAATCCTTAGGCTTTTCATTTTATTTTATTGTATTGGCTAGACTTCCCAGGAAAAGGTTAACTAATAATAGTGACGGTAAACCTCCTGGTTCACGTTCATCTAGAAAACTTTCTATCACTCATCACTGAATATGATGTATTCTGTAAGTATTAGTGTGGATTTTTAAAAAGATTAAATCAATCGCTTTTTATTATTTGATATTTTGTAAAATCATAAATGATTTTTCAACTTTATGAAGCACTTTGTCTGCAACTATCAAGACATTCACCACAAAAAATTTTGGGAAGTCCTCTCTTTTTTTCCAATTAACTGAACAAGTTGGTTAGATATTATTTCTTCAGTTACTAGAGAAATTTACTGGTGAAGACACCTGGATCTGGAGTTTTCTTTTTAAAAATATTTTTAACTATGAGTAAATTTTTTTAACAACATTATAAACAACAAGACTTTCTATTGTATGTGTTTTTTAAATGCAATTTTAATGGAATTTATTTGAACTATATTTTCAAAATTATGTATAGTTTATAATATGTTCATTATATTTAATGTTTATATTTTGCTGATATTCTCTTATCATTCTTGATGTTAGTAATTTGTGTTTTCTCTGCTTTTCTTGTTGTTGGCTAGGTGGTGTTTTCCAGTTATGTACTTATATTCTCAAAGAATCACCTTTTATTTTTGTTTAATGTGTAATTCTCTTGGGAGATTTTCCAAATTTTTATCTTTTCCTCTCTGGAACATATTATAATTATTTTAAGTCCCTGTCTTTTAAGTTCAGTATATCGATGGATTATGGATCTATGTAAACTATCATTTTTGGTGGTTGGTTTCCTGCTCTTTGCTCCTGGCATGCTTATTCATTTTTATTGAATGAAGAAGACTAAATAATGTAGACTTCCCTGGAGGATTTGCTGTCTCCTCTGCTAGGAAGAAAGACTGAGTCAAAATTGGTACCTGGGTTGACTAGAGATAGGGTTATTGTTTTGGTAGGGCATAGTCTGTCTCTGACTTGCCCCTACTCCTAAGGCATAGAAGTGATGACATTCACTCTAGGGCTGAGTGCCTGGCATGTTCAAGGGGTCTTTCTTGAGCTCTAATTTTTTTGCACAGGGGAAACTGGACAATTCTGCTTGTTTTTCAGAGGCTATCGCCTTAGAGTTTAGTTTCCCACCCGTGCAGCTTCAAAATACATTAGACGTCTTACAGTGCAATGCCAATTTATTTATAGTCCCTCAAGAATTCATTTGTGTCTTTCCAGCCCTGAGAAATGGCCCAAAGCTCCGCTGGTTTCTCAGATGTGCAACAGTAGCCTTGGATTCTTACCCCTTGCTTTGCACTTAAAACTGACAGATGCCCAGGAATGATGTGACAGCAGAATTTATTTGCTATTATTTTGTGGAGGAAATGTGTATTCATGTTCATGAGAGAAAGTTGGCCTTGAATTCCGCTTTATTGTGCTCTCATCCATTTTTAGCAATAAGCTATTCTGGCCTTGCAAATTAAAAATTGGAATTACTCTATTTTTTTTAGTTTCTCTAAATGCTTGACTTTATTTCTTACTTGGAAGTTTGGATGAATTCGCTTATGATGTCCTTTTGATTAAGTTTACTTTATTTATTTAGAGTCTTAATCTGTCACCCAGCCTGGAGTGCAGTGGCCTGAGGTTGGCTCGCTGCAACCTCCACCTCCTGCATTCAAGGGATTCTCCTGCTTCAGCCTCCCAAGTAGCTGGGACTACAGGCATGCACTACCACGCCCAGCTAATTTTTTGTATTTTTATTAGAGATGGGGTTTCATCATGTTGGCCAGGCTGGTGTGGAACTCCTGACCTCAAGTGATCCACTGGCCTCGTCCTTCCAAAATGCAGGGATTACAGGCATAAGCCACCGTGCCTGGCCTCAGACAAGGTTTTTATCAAAATATTTTATTTGAAAAGTTTTAGGCTATATAATTAAATTTTAATGCATAGAGAAAATAATTTCTAAAAATTAATAGTAAGTTTATTTGTGCTTTTCTTTAAAAAGTGTCAATTTTATTGGTTTAAATTTATTGGCAAAGACTTGCTCATAACTATTTTCATGGCAGTATGATACATATGTAGGGTCTGTACTGGTGTCTTTGTTTTTTCATTTCTGGTGCTGGTAATTGATACCTTCTATTTTTGTTTTGCATCAGTTTTGCTAAAAGCATATACATATGAATTTTTCAAAGAAGAAACATGTAGCTTTGGTGCCTTTTTCTATATTTATTTTCTGTGTCATTAAAGTTTCGTCTTTATTATTTTCCCCCTTCTACTTTTTGTTCTTTCTGATTGTAATTTAGTCCTTTGTAATGTATGAACTTAAGGTTGCATGTTTACCCTTGTTTACTCTTTAGCTGCTTCCCATAATATGACTAATTACCATTAGCTTTTTCTAAATATTTTTACATTTCCCTTTAGGATTTTTCTTTGACAAAGAGCTTTCTGAAAATGTGCATTGTTGTATTTCCAATTATTTGGGATGTTTTAAGTTATATTTCTAACATTCTTCTGTAATTTAAGTTCACAGGAATCTGAGAACACACTCTGTGTTATGGTAATCATTTGAAATTTTGCTAATTTGCTTTATGTTCCTAGATAAATCACTTTTGATTAATGTCTTATCTAAAATGTATATTCTGTAATTATTGGATATTATAATTTCTACATGGTACTTATTAATTTTGTTTTTTCAAATCATCTATTTCTTTAATTTCTCTGCTTCTTCCATCAATTACTGTGGGAGGTATGTAAAAAATGCTGTGGATTTGTTAAATTTGCTTAATATATTTCACAGCTACATGATTATATGCATAAAAATTTATAATTTGCATATTTTTGTTGGAATTACTTTTTTATTACAAAATATTCCTTTTTGTCACCAGAATGGTGTTTTGCTATAAGACTACTCTAATGTTAATAGAGCTCACTACCTTTTAAAAAAATTTATATTTCATGGTATACATTTCTATCCTTTTTAATCTGCGTCCTTATATTTTAAGCATGGTTAAGTCTTTGTGGTTTCTAACAGTCTTCTAATCTTTGTATATTAATTAAAGTATTAGGAGATATGCCAGTTTAGACACCTATATATTCAGATCTATGTGCTATTTTGTGTTTATTTTGTTTACCAAATCTGTGTGTGTTTATTTGCCTATCCTTTCATTGACTTCTTTTGGATTAATAAAATATTTTGAAAGTATTTCATTTCTTATCTCTTTATTAATGAATTCTTTCATTATCATTTTAGTGGCTACCCTAGAGGCTATTCCTCAAAACAACAGTCTTAATACTCATCACATTCAAATATAATGAAAAACATAAACTTTCAATATTTCTGTACAATATAAAGACTCCTTCAGTAACTGTTGTGTTCTATTCTGGTTATGTATTTTATATTTACCTAAACTCCATTATTACTATGATTTTTATTTCATTTACTATTTTCTGTTATTGATTTAGATTTAGCCAAATGTTTTCTTTTTCCATTTCTCTTTGGTCTTTAAATTTGTGTGCATCCTTTTGCATTTGAGTTGCTTCTATTTGAAAACTAGTTTTCAGCATGTCATTTAATATGTGGTTGGTGAGGAACGTTTACTTGTTCATCTTTATTTTTTATATATTTTGTAGAATATTTTTTGCTCATCATAGATTTCTAGGTAGGGAGATTTTTTTTTCAGAAGTTAAATTTGCAATTCCATTGCATTCTGGCTTCCATCATTTCTGTTAAGAAATCAACCATAAATCTAACTGTTGCCCCTTTAAGGCCATGTGCATTTTTTTCCTGTGTATGTTTTCACGTTTTTTCTTTGTCTTCATCTGCCGAAACCCCCCCCCGACCATCCCCTCTGCCCCAGCCGTTTGCATGACTTTCCATCTCTTCTTGCTGAAATATCACCATATCAGAGAGAACTTTCCTATGTTTTATGAAATATCAACTGTGTGCATCCTTCAGCCTTGTACTTTTTACCTTTCTCTGATTGATTTTTCTCTATTTCACTAATTTTTACATGGCATACAGGTTGACTGTCCCTTATTCAAGATGCTTGAGACTAGAGGTGTTTTGGGTTTTGGAATATTTGCATATACAAAATGAGGTATCTTGGGGAGGGAACCCAAGTCTAAATATACACCATTAAACACATAGCCTGAAGGTAACTTCATACAATATTTGTCTTCAGGTTTCACCAGTATAATATTCCTTGATGAGAATATGTATATATTATATATTCTGTATGTATGTATTGTCTGTATGAAAATGTATGTGTATACACATATATAGTGCATATATATGTATGTATATGTATGCACAATATATACACACACACAATACATGTATGCACAATATATACACACACACACACATATATTTGTCTCATTTTTGTTCTAGTAGTTCACAGAGCTTCCTCAACCTGAGAGGGCCAATGTGTCAATGTCTTTCTTCAGTTTTGTACATTTTCAAAAATATTTGTGTAATGCTTCTATCCTTTTTTTTTTCTTCCTGTCTGGGACTTTAATAATACAAACATGTTAGAGCATTTCCTTGTGTCCCATGTGACTCAGATTATTTTCTTTATTCTCTCTTTTTTTCTCTCAATGTTGGAGAGATCTGTATCTTTTCTGACAACCAATATTTGAGATCACTAATACTCTGTTTAATCTGCTGACAAATACAAGTGTTGAGTTTCAGTTATTTTATTAAATTCTATAATTACAATTATTTTGTTTTATAAATTTCAGTTACCTGTTGAAATTCTTTACCTTTTTATCTTTTTTTCTGAAGATTAATCAGTGCTATTTTAAATGTAGCTAGTATCTTCAACTCTAGAATGTAAGTCTGTTTCTAATATGTGTATTGTCTGTTGATACTGTCTTGACATGCTTGGTAATTTTAGACTGTTAGACATTGCACATGAAAAATTTTGAAGAGTGTGGTTGTTTATCAAAGTGAATTTTCTTTAGCTTTTGTTAGGCAGATGTAATGGAATACTTCATCTTAATCCAATAAACTAACTTGAGGCATGGTTGATATCTTTCAATGTTTAGTCTCCCATTATCTTTTCAACAATAAAAGCAAATATTTGTTCCAACAGGACCATGCAGATAACTCTTGTAAACTATACTGGTAACTCCATGTTGTGAAATTCTAAGCTCAAATAAATATCATTCTTTATGTAACTTGTCCTCTCTAAAAAATTTTGGCAAGATCAACTACTTCCTCTTTTAACAGGTGTATTGGAGTATATATGTTTCAGAAAATAAAATGCACCAATTTTAAGTGTACAATTCAATAAATTTTATAAAATTTACTGAGTTGTGCAAACATCACCACCATCCAATTTTAGAAAATTTTTATTACCCCCAAAATGTCGTGTGTATCTATCAGTAAGTTACTCCCATTTCACTCCCAGCCCCAGACAGCCATTAAACTACTTTCTGTCTATATAGATTTGCCTTTTCTTGAATTTCGCATAAATGGAATCATATGATGTATGTGGCATTTTTGTCTCTTTTACTTAGTATGTTTTTGAGGTTTATGTATGTTTTAGCATGTATCAGTTCTTTGTTACTCTTT
Organism: Homo sapiens; assembly: GCF_000001405.40. Taxonomy (NCBI): domain Eukaryota; kingdom Metazoa; phylum Chordata; class Mammalia; order Primates; family Hominidae; genus Homo; species Homo sapiens. The sequence goes on along the minus strand of NC_000008.11, from coordinate 5,922,230 downwards.
ATTGCCAAATAGTATTCAATTTTAGACGTATACCATATTTATTTGTCCATGGATTAGTTGATGGACATTTGGATTGTTCCTACTTTTTGACATTTATGAATAATTATGCTATAAACACTAGTGTCTTCCCTTTGTCAACCTGGTGCCAACCTGGTGAAACCCCCTCTCTGGTAAAAGTAGAAAAAATTAGCCAGGCATGCTGGTCTGCGCCTGGAATCCCAGCTACTTGGGAGACTACGGCATGAGAATCATTCGAACCTAGGAGGCGTAGGTTGCAGTGAGCCGAGACAACAACACTGCACTCCAGTCTGGGTGACAGAGCAAGACTCCGTCTCCAAAAACTAAATAAATAAAAAATTAAATAAATTTTATCAGGTAGCTACCTAGGAGAGTAATTGCTGGATCATGTAATTTGTATTAACTTTTCCAGAATATGCCAAACTATTTCCAAAGTGGCTACAACATTTGACATTCCAGCCAGTACTTGCCTCCTTCCCTCTTTTTTTGGGGGGTGGGGGGCTTCTGGGTCATCTCGTAGTCTTACTTCACTGACATCAGCCCCTATTTCTTGGCCTTCTTTGATGGGCTGTTCTCTGATACCTAACATCTAAAATTGGAAGGATCTTAAAGTTCATTTTTTCAGATATGCTTTCTTCTCTATAATTACATAAGAGAGTATTTCATCCAGTCTAATAACTTTAAAAGCTTTTTCCCTGATAATTTTACGTATTTGTATCTTCAGGCCAGACCTTTCCGCGTGAATGGACGCTCCCTTCTGTCTACTGGATATCTTCCCTTCGATATACAACAGACATTTCAAAATCAGCGTGTTCATAACTGAAATCATGATTCCTGCCCTACAGTCTGCCTCCCAAATTCCTCTTTCTATAGTCTACATTCTTTCTTTCTCAATAAATGCAAGCTCATCATTAAAGTTGATCAAGCTAAATATTTCCTTACATTGAAATCTAATCTGTCAGCAAATCCTGTTAATGCTATCCCCCAATATGTTTAATAATCTATTCCTTCCTTCCTTTCACTCTACTTCCAAATAGTCCCACAAATTCCCATTTTACTCAGAATAAAAGTCAAATTATTTACCAAAGTCACTGAGAATTAATACCTTATATGATTTTGATTTGTTGCTAACCCTATTGTCCTTCTCCTGTAACTGTTCACTTCCTCGCTCCATTCCAGACACACTGACCTCTTCACTGTTACTTTAAATTTCCAGTATTCTCACCACTGGCTTCATCTGCCTAAATCCCAACCCTCTGCCCCAGCCATCTGCATGACTTTCCATCTGTTCTTGCTGAAATAATACCATATCAGAGAGACCTTCCCTATCTTTTATGAAATATCAACTACATGCATCCTGCAGCATTGTTCTTTTTACCTTTCTCTGATTGATTTTTCTCTATTTTGCTAATTTTTACATGGCATACAGGTTGACCGTCCCTTATTCAAAATGCTTGAGACTAGAGGTGTTTTGGATCTTGGAATATTTGCATTTACGTAATGAGGTATCTTGGGGGAGGGAACCCAAGTTTAAATACGAAGTTTATATTTTATATATACCTTATACACATAGCCTGAAGGTAACTTGATACAATATTTTAAATAATTTTGTGCATTAAACCAAGTTTTGGCTGCATCCCATCACAAGAGGTCGGGTGTAGACATTTTCTCCTTATGTTGTCATGTCAGTGGTCAAAACATTTTGGATTTTGGAGCATTTTGGATTTCAGACTGTTTATTAGGATGCTCAACCTGTGTAATGTATTTGTTAATTGTCTATGTCCTTCCATTGAAATGTAAGATCTATAAAAGCAGGGTATGTGTCATATTCATTCATTGCTGTATTCTCAGGCCTTGAATGATTCCTGGTATTTTAGGTTCTTAATACATATTTATTGAATAAAACATTAAATAATAAACTATCAGAAGAAGAATAAAAGATAGAATACTCAAGCAAAAGTAGACCCGGGCTAGTGCCCAGGTGATGAGGGCATTTTTAAAAATCAAATTTCTATTCTACCTTCTTTTTCGTAACAGCAGACTAGTTTTTCTTTGAATAAACATTCCTCCTCCATCCTAAAGTGCATGTGGCACAATCCGGAAAGCTGATTCATTTGTAATATTTTTAGGACCCTCTAGACTGTTTATCGTAGTGGCTGCACCAATTTCCAATCCCGGCAACAGTGTACGGGGTTCCCTTTTCTCCACTTAATCATCCCACACTTGTTATCTTTTGTCTTTTTGATAATGGCCATTATAACAGGTTTGAGGTGATATCATGATGGTTTTGATTTGCACTCCCCTGATAATTAGTGATGCTGAGCAGATTTTCATATACATGTTGGCCTTTTGTATGTCTTCTTCGAACAGATGTCTTTTCAATTCTTTAGCCCATTCTATAATTGGGTTATTTGTGTTTTTCCTTTTGGGTTGTAAGAGTTCCTTATATATTTTGGATATTAACCCTGTATCAGATATGTGGTTTATGAATATTTTAAACAGAAGCACCATATGATCCAGCAGTCCCACTTCTGAGCATATATTCAAAGAAATTGAAATCAGGGTCTTGAAGAGATAGCTGCACTGCCAAGCTCACTGCATTATTGTTCACTGTAGGACCTGGAAACAACCTAAATGCCCACTGATACATGAAATTGATAAACTATGATATATACTTATAATGATATATTACTCAGACTTAAAAATAGGGAAATGCTGCCATTTGCAGCAACATGGATGATACTGGAGAACATCATGCTAAGTGAAATAAAACAAGCATAAAATGGTAAATACTACATGATACCACTTATAAGTATCTAAAATAACCAAACACATAGAAGTGCAGAGAGGATAATGGTGGCTGTCAGAGGGACAAATGGGGAAATATTAGAGTACAAAGTCAGTTATGCAAAATGAATAAATCCTAGGGTTGTATCGTGCAGCATGGTGCCCATAGTTAATGATACTGTATTGGATACTTAGACCTCTGCTAACATGGTGTAGATATCATGTTAACTGTTCTTATTTAAAAATAAAAGACAATAATTAGGGTGGGAGGAAACTTGAAGGTGATGGATATGTTTATGGCATGGATTATGGTGATACTTTCATGAGTATATACTTATCTCTAAACTTGTCAACTTGCATACACTAAATATACATGCATTTTGTATATCCATCATACCTCAAAGTAGTGTAAAAAATGTGGAAGTGTTCTGGGCAAATTAGAATAATTGGATACCCTGAAAAATAAAAAAGAAAAAGGAAATGGAGTCAGTCTCATTGTAGAAGGTTGGCACATGATCCAAACTGGACCAATCAGGTGCCCTCCTGGAATTTTAGTGACACAAAGTCTGAAATCAACAGAAACTTATTCATCCTGACAGTGGCATCTCTCAATTATCTAAATCCCAAGAGCTCCTCTGACTTTGACTTTTGTTGAATCTTAAGGTTTTTACCCTTCCTTTTGGTTTCCTTAGCTATGACTATCCTACCAATGAATATATATTTATGTTAGTTTATTTCTACTACTGTTAAGTATCTCAACAGATATTGACAGATTAAAAAACGTCAACTACATTTTCACAACTAAACGTAAACTATTCAGGAGGTTATTAGGGCAACTGAATGAGTTAATGCTTCATTTGATTTTCATGATTGCTTTGTTCATTCATTCACTCAAGTATTTACTGAGCACCTGTCATATGTTGACAGAATGCTCTACTTTGTATGCACTTATATGGCTCTTTCATTAAGAATCTCAGAATCTAATAGAGAATAATCAAATTTCAATGTCTGTGCAGGGTACACAGTGTTGGTATGAAGACAAGAGTGATTAATTGTAGTGGTGACTGAGAGGGTCACGAAGGACCAACAGAGTTTCCTAAGCTTCAGCTGGAGCCTGGGAAGATGAGTAGACATTTTCAGGTAGACAAGGAAAGGCAGGATAGGGAATGGGGAAAGGCTTTGCATTCAGAGTGGGCATGTGGAATTCCCAGGAAGTGGGAATTCCAGGTAGTATGCTGGACAGCATAGGGAGCCTCTTGGTCTTGGTTTATCTACATAGATACCTAAAACGAGGTTATAAGAAAATAGCATCTCATTAGTATCATTTTCCCCAGAAGATAGGGTGCTTGAAGTTCTCTGGAAGTTCAACATCCAAATCACCCCTTTTTCCACACTGCAGGTCTCAGTACCTGATACAGTGACACAGGGGCAAAAACCTAGGAAAGTGTATGGCAGATAAACACCCATCAATTCAATGTTTGGGCAGTCATAGATAAGATGATATTTTGTGAAATTATCTTTCCGCTGTATTATTCCTAAGAATGTTTAAAATGAAACACAGGCACTCTGAGTAGCTTTGAGGATAAAGACAGAAAACTCTGAACAGCAGGTGGCCACTAAGGCTTTCTCGGCACAGCTTAGAAAAAGCAACTCCTTGTATAGTGATATGCTCAAAATAGGGATCTGATATGACTCGACTCATTTTATTGTACAAATTCACGTGACTGAAAACAGGGCTTAATGTTTAGAAACCATGCAGGAGAAATTAGAGAAGACACCACCTGATAGGAATCATAGTACAGTTGAGCCCAGGATGCTATCATAACCATTCATTTTAAAAAATGTTTCCCAGTGAATTGTGTTTTCAGACCACACAGAAGTATGTAAAGATGTTTAGAAACGTAAGGAACCAACATGAAGTTCTTCATTTATTGGTCTTTGGCTGAACTAGAGGGAAAGAATTAGATACACTAATTTTTGATGAATCACTTTGTTCCCCTTGGAACTGGTATGCCACCTTACTACCGGAATATAAAGAAAGAGTTAAACCAATCTCCAATGCTAGACTTATTGATCTTCTCTGGCTTACAAGTGAAACATTTGTGAAAATAAAAAACAATGTACCCTCCACAATAAACTTTAATTATTGAAGGGCATAAAATTTTTGTGCACCTGCCGAGTGCCTGGTCTTATACTAGGTCCTGGTGATACATGAATGACCATGATATATGACCTGGACAACAAGGTCCTTTACTTTCACAGCTTCATTTTAGTGCTATGGAAAGTAAAAATTCTCTAGGAAGGGAAGCTTTCCTAAAACTACTCCCAAGTTCAAAATCTATGTAGTAAACATTAAAGTTCCAAAAGAAATACATTGTTTAGTACACACTATACATTTTAACTTTGAATAGCTTATGCAGTTAATAAGTGAATCAGATGATTATTTATATAGAACCATGACCTAGAAATATGAAAATCTTTGTGTGTATGTGATAAGATCTTCAAAACAAAGCTGGTCTCACAACTGCTCAGGAAGAGGAAATAATGTATCTTTTCTTGTTCTAATCAATCTTGTGTGTTTTGCAACTGAAGAACATTGCCAAGAATTTTTGGCCCCTCTATAGGGTTCATACTGGTAGAGTTGATTTTACGATCCTATGATAATAATTTTTCCTTCTGTTCTAGTTAAAGGCTTGTCAGGTTCTCATTACACTCAGAGATTCTAATTTCTGAATTGAGTCCGTTTCATCTTGGCAAATCAACAAGTACAAATCACATCACAAATCATTGTTGGTTACAGCATTATGTCTCACAAAATATGATATGGGGTTCTTGGCTTCTGTACCTTTGTCTCAATTTTATGTCAGTTCTGTATAGTTTGGATTGCAGAGGGTTGTGGAGTCTGTGTGTGTGTGTGTGTGTGTGTGTGTGTGTGTGTGTGTGTGTTTAAGTAAAGAGCAGGGTGAGAGGATTTTAAGAGTAAAGAAGATGCTGCGTCCCAGGTGGATGGTGGGCAATTCACTTGGTACAATGCAAATCAATTTAAACAAGAGCATACTAGAGGTTAGTTAATAAAGTATTTAGAAGGATGGCAAAATTCAATTACCCCTGTTAAAAATCCATATTCCTTTTTTTCCTATGAATTCTCATTTTGAGTGGTGAGATGGCATACATACATTTAATATATCATTAGCAGATAATAGCAGTGTTACTTCTGGATTGTCAACATTCTGACTATAATGAAAGCAAGATCATCTTTCTTTTGTTTCTTGTGCAGCATATTGGAAATATGTCACGAATGACTCCTTTTGACCTTTTTAGAAAGAATTAGTTATATTCCAGGTGCTATTTTGATTTGTATTGCCAAGGGACTGTAGTTTGTTAGTAAAAATTATTGAGTGTTAAGGAAGGCTATAAAGAACGAACAAGAGAGGAGAAAACCCAGTGGGCATTGGCTGCATCTGCTTTAATCCCCTGGGATGAAGTGATAGCAGAAATGATAAATACTGGACCACTTTCCAAGAGTTCCAAATTACATGGCACCATGCCCCAGGGGAAGTTTAACTTCCTAGACATCTGTTGGGTTACAAATACAGAGATCTCATGCTTCCTAAATTATTCTGGGGACAGCTTTATGATGCAGCAAGTGAGAATCTAACCAGAGTTGAAGTCATTCTGACTTGAGAAAAACAAAGATAACTTGTATCAAAGTGTTGGGCAAAAAGAAAGGTGGACGCATAGGGCTTGGAGCAGGTCTGGCTCATCAGGACAAGGGCAGGCTGACATATAGGGGCTGGAACAAACATATATTTAAGCAAAGAAATTCACAGAAAAAAATTTGACTTATTTCTTTAGAAAATTACATTTTTGAGAAATCTGGATTACTGACAGCAACGGCAACTTTTTCTTGTGAGGCAGTTGTGACTATTACCAAAAAATCGAGTGTTCAAGGAATATAGTAAGTCTGAGGAAAGGAATTGTTGGACAATTTAAAAATGAAGTATTTATCTCATACAGAGTCTATATCATTTCTGTGCTGTATTCACACACGAATCCTTACATAATCCTGAAGAACTTTGGAAAAGGTATATTAAACCCTGTCAGTGGCAGAGATACTAAGATATATAACAAGGAAGGGCATGCACATAATTTATTTATTTTCCTCTCTAGGTGTATGATTATTCTACCTATCTCAGCCTCCCTTCTTGAGTGTGGTCAGCACATGGCTGGTTCCTAGCCAGTGGGAGGGAAATGGACATGAGTGTGCTCTCTTTACCCACTGGCAAAACGCAAGGACTCTGAACCCCAGCATGGGGCATAGCCATGATATGGAAGGAGCCTGGGACCTTCTAAGTCTACCTGACAACCAGGAATATCTCTCTTCAACTTTCTGTGGGAAAGAAAGAATTCTTTTGTTCTAAGCCTATCAGGTTTTGTGGATTTATCTATTCTAGAAGCTAGCTATTCTTTCCCCCACTAACTAATATGATTCTTAAATCAGACTTCATGGGAAGGAAAATCTATTATTAACACTATTCTATTTCAAGGACATTGTTCAATCCGTTTTACAATCAATTTTACCTCTTTATCTTGACTGACTTAGGTATGTCTATTCAAATCAGGATGTAGCTGAAAGCCATTATCCTCAGCAAACTAATACAGGAACAGAAAGCCAAATACTGCATGTTCTCACTTATAAGTGGGAGCTGAACAATGAGAACACATGGACACAGGAACAACACACACAGGGGCCTGTCAGGGGTGGGGTGGGGGGAGGCAGAACATTAGGAAAAATAGCTGGTGCATGGGGGTTTAATAATTGGGTGATGGGTTGATAGGTGCAGCAAACCACCATGGCACATGTTTACCTGTGTAACAAACCTGCACATCCTGGACATGTATTCCAGAACTTAAAAATTGAAATAAAGGCTGGGTGCGGTGGTTCATGCCTGTAATTCCAACACTTTGGGAGGCCAAGGTGGGTGGATCACGAGGTTAGGAGTTTAAGACCAGCGTGGCCAAGATGGTGAAACCTCATCTCTACTAAAAATACAAAACTTCGTCGTGCGTGGTGGTGGGTGCATGTAATCCCAGCTACTCGGGAGGCTGTGGCAGAGAATGCTTGAGCTCTGGAGGCGGAGGTTGCAGTGAGCCGAGATCACGCTACTGCACTCCAGCCTGGGTGACAGAGCAAAACTCCATTTCAAATAAATAAATAAATAAAAATAAAAAACCAGTAAACATTTAGTTAGAGCATTTAACTCTCAAGGTACTATCCTTGGTGTTGGGTAGATTTCATTGGATAGACTATGAAGTAGGAAATTCAAAATTATAAGAACAAGCTGAGAGGAAGTGGGTAAATAAAGTGTCACCCAACCATGCCTTCTCCACGATTACAAAAGAAAACAGACAAGAAAGCAGTTTATAAATGAACTATCATGTCGTATGGTTTCCACTTCATGGATAGCATTTTTTTTTCCTATACAGTGTTCTTTATAGGCGCCATTTGTAAACATGTTCTTTATAATGTTATATTTTTCTTTTTGAATAATTCTATTTTTCTAATATGTAAAAGTACCAATATTTCAGTTCCATTGTCTTGAGTAGACAACAGAAATCTCAGAGAATGAGTAATATTTCTAGATTTATCAAAATGCCATGCCAATAATGGCACTATTATAACGAAATACCTTAAATGGGAAATATTTATGATAGATTAAAATACCTTAGTACCTGAATAAGCTGACCTAAAAGTACAATAACAAATGGCTACATTTGGACTCTCAATATTTAAGAAATTGTGAGTCTTTTATTTGCTTATTAAACAAATAATGACTGAGCACCTATTGTGTGTAACGCATAGTGTTAAACATTCTGTAGAATGCAAAAAAAAAAAAAATAGAAAAAGGAAAATAAAACCATCTCCTAAAGCGATCATCTTGTACTTATAAATCTCAAATAGGAGATTCAAGATGCTCTGGCATAATCAAGACTTATTTCTCGTATTGTACTAGAACTGAAGAAAACATGCTCTGGGTAATTAAAGGAAAGAAAACATAGCTGCATGGCTGACATAGAAGGGACCTCATGTTAGAGAAGCTATTTGTACGGCTGAGTAGTAAAGTCTAACACACTGGCCCCCAGTACTGACAGATTTCCTGTTATACAGCATTGCTAGTGATGTAGATTTACTCTCAAAATCAGAAACCAGCCTAAGCGGAGGCTCCTCATGAGACCATTTGAGGCACTGCATCTGACGTCCTCAATGAGTCTCACTCATTTCCCCCACAAGGCACTGCTGCTCCATGGGTGTTATTATCAGGGACCTGCTAGTCTACGGAGGTCACAGGTGATTTGAATGTCTTTGGAAGAACACAGCAGTACAGAAGTATTTTATTTGTTGTTCAGGCGACTGAGACTTGGCATCATTCTTTTTTTTGTTGTTGTTTTTTTAAACATAGGGTCTTCCTGTCGCTCAGACTGGAGTGCAATGGCACAATCTTGGCTCACTGCAGCCTCCACCTCCTGGGTTCAAACGATTCTCCTGCCTCAGCCTCCTGAGTAGCTGGGACTACAGGCACCCGCCACCACACCCACTTAATTTTTTGTTTTTTTTGGTAGAGATGGGGGTTTCACCATGTTGGCTAGGCTGGCCTTGAACTCCTGATCTCAAGTGATCCACCCACCTCAGCCTCCCAAAGTGCTAGGATTACAGGCGTATGAAGAAAGTACTTTGAGGCTAGGGCCTCTTTAGAGACTGCAAATAATTACCCCTGTTGATGTTGGGAAAGATAATTGTAAAAATACATTTTGTGCTTTATGATAGAAATAAGATAATCTAAAATAATTTAACCACAAATTGTCTACTGACTGATTTGGGGACATCAGAACTGAGAAACCAAATGGAATAATGGATGCTAGCTAAGTTCCAGCACTGACATTAAAGACTAAGAAGAAAGGCGACAGGACACTATAACTCAAAAGTTTGGCTTGGAATTTTCTCATTTATTTATCAGCTTAACACTGTCCCTCACACTAAACTTTTTCCGGTTGTAAGACACAAAACTTTTGCACAATACTGACTGAAATCAGAAGGAAAAGTACTTATTATATCTTGCTGAAAAGGCATAATTTATTCTAGCAGCAGTAGATACATGGAGAAAGATACCTTCAAAATCGGTTATATACATTTCAAATGGGGAGTTAATATATCTATCTCTTATTCCTATCTTATTTTAACAAAAAAGTTTCTTAAGGATTAAAATGTTTAAATACTTTGCTCACTCATTTAGTGAATTATTTTATCTAGTCTTTCCACTTTGCTACTCATATTTTTTCTTTTGACAAGCCTATTTATACATAGTATTATATTAAAGTTTGATTACTGTTATCATTTATTCAACATCAATGCTCTTTCATGTGTATTTCAAGTAACTGTGACAAAAATTATATATATGAGGCAATCACCCTTTTCAAAATATGCTCTTTTATGTCTTCCGTTATCAGGGCTTGTAAAATTTGTATTTGTTATTTGAATTTATCATATTAGCCGTCAACATATTGCTTAATGAAGCAAGTATTGTTGTTCAGAGAAGATGAATGTCTACCCTTTGATTAGCTGTTATTTTAAAATGTGCTGATAAAAGCAAATCAGTTAGGTTTCTATTGGTTAATTTGCATGTTACCAACTTTAAAAGAAAATTAAACTATGTGTACATATTTACAAATGTGACTAGGACTCATGTCTTCATCTAGAGGTCAACTGGCAGATGTTTTTAGATTGATAATGTAACTGAAGTTCCAACTTTCTTAAGAAAATTTAAGGATATATATGAGGTCCTAACATCTCAATTTGAGGCATTGAAAATTCCTTGGAATGGGACACCTTTTGGTTTTTACACATTTGAGCATAAATAACGTTAAGGGAGTCTCAAAATTTCATTGGAACTTGCACTTATATTTTAGCACTTGTTTTGGTCTCCCAGCATGGGATATAATATTTTATGTAGCCGATAGCTGTTAGCCTTATGACTTTCAAAGACGTAATTTTAATCTTGATCTAATGATACACATTTTTATTTGTCGTTGGCAAATGTAAAAATGCATTATAATCAAAACAATTTTTATACATTGTAACTCTTCATTCAAGCAATATTATGTGGGCATGCTAACAGGCATTTTTAAGCACAGGATGTGAGGGCGATCTGGCTGTGACATCTGTCACCCCATTAATCACCAGGGTTGATTTGGCTGGCTAGGCAGGTGACCCCTTCCTCCCTCTCCACTCCATGTGCATCCCTCCTGAAGCTGCATGCTGGGTCAAAGAGGATGACCATCCCCAATAGAGGGTGACTGGTCTTCTGTCAAGGGTATATGAGTAGCTGTGCTCCCCTGCTAGAACCTCCAAACAAGCTCTCGAGAACTGTAACTGTTAATACGTATAGATTCATACCCTTCTCAGTTAATGTGGTGTCCTTAGGATGAACTGCTTCTGGGTAATTAAAGCCACAGAGGTTATTTGTGGCGATCCTGGAAATGAGTCTATCAGCAAAGTACCAGATACCAGGAGTGCCCATGTAGAAACTGAAAATCAAGGGAGAACACTAGAGAAAAAAGAAGGTTACAATAATAGTTACTGTATAGGTGTGGAAGGGCATGTCAGACACCTGATTTTGGAGTTTGAGAGAGGAAACGTGATGGAATGGATCTGGGACCATCGTCTGACTCTGAAACACTTTGCCATCTCCACCACCTTTGGTTCTTAAAGTGCTCCCAGCTGGGACGGGTACACAACACAATTCTGAAACTGCCTTGTGCAATGTGTTAGGATTTGACAATAGGGCAGGGAAGAGGGAAGAGAGCTCTGATCCTGGGCATTGTCCAATAGGAGAGGTGTGGCAAGAGCTTCGGGCCTTGGTTGGAGAGGGAGGATAGGTAAAATATGCGCCACCAGAGATCGAGTTTGGGAAGAACTATCTTAAAGGGGTGTGAAACCACGAGAAACCTCTGCGTGCCCCAAAGGAGGGAAGAACAAAACCATAGTACCAAGAGTCAGGAAACTGGAGTTTTACAGAACTGTCACTAGCTGACTGGATGACCTCGAATCAAATAATGACATCTTTCTTGGCCTGTTTTATTACTTAAAAAATAAAGAGGGTATTCCTCCTTTATCACTATATAACGAGTTGCCAGAAACTTAGCTACTTAAAATGATGCAAACTTATCGTCTCACAGTTTCTGCTCATTATAAATCTAGGAAAGACATGGCTAGATTCTCTGTTCCAAAGAGCTGAACTGAAATCAAGGTGTCCTGGGTGGTGTGCTTCTCTTCTGGTGGTTAGAGCCCTCTTCCAAGCTTACGGGTTGCCTACATAATTATTTCCTTGCACTTGTTGGACTCAGGGTCCCACTTTCCTTGTGGCTGCTGTCTGAGAAACACTTGGCTTGGAGAGGCTGCCTGCAGTCCTTGCCACGTGGCCCCTGTAGATAGCTCATGACATGTTTGATTTGTTTCAGGCCAGCCAGGGTGTCTCTCTCTGACGTTTTGTTCTGCAGCCAGCAGGAGAAAACCCTCTGCTTTTAAAGGGCTGATAAGGTTAGGTCAGAACTACCCAGATCATCTCCCTATTATAAGGAGGACTGATTTGGGAACTTAATTACATCTTTAAATTCCCTTCACATCAGCACCCAGATTAGTGTAACTGGGGCAAGGTTTGTGTACACCAGGAAGCAGAATATTGGAAGATGCATCTTAAAATTCTGCCTCCTCCAAAGGGGTTTTCTTTTAAAACTCACTCTGATTCTAAATTCTATGACTTTGCTAGTCAAGTACGTACAGTGGCTTTTGTGAAAAGCACTCTGACCTTAAATCCAGGAGTTCATCCCCCTGAAGATTTAGGCACCTGTAGTGCAAACAAGGTCTTCAGACAGACACCAATATAGTCTGATAATAAAATAGATAATATAAAACTAGAAAACCTATATGTGCTAGATTTCATGTTAAATTTCAGAGAGAATGGCACTGAATTTGGCCAAAGTGTTGGGGTTGGTCTCACCTGTTAATCTTTCTCTTATATTCTAAGTTAACTCCTATTTTTTTTTCTGAAAATGAAAGTATGTGTTCAAACGGAGCAGAAGTAAAAGCATTGATTTGTTAAAATTGACACCTACGTTATTTAAATTATAGTGTTACCATTATTTTCAGGCTCTTATTTCCTTCCTCATTTATTGATACCTAATTTATATAGCTGTTGATTTCACAAGAGATCTTGGTTTTAGAATCCCTGGATTCTGGTCCTGTTTCTTCTAATTATGACATATATGAAAGTTGCTACATGACCAAAACTCAGTTTCTCCTTTATTTACAAATGGAAATAATGCTGCCTGCTTCACTGGTTATTGTGAATATATGAGACAATACACATAAACATTTGTTTTTAACTATGAATCACTCTACAAATTTAAGGTATTAATAATTACAATAGTCCTCTAGTATTGAAATTTTATCCCGTAAATCTTTATGAATTAGACACATCAGCGGTTTAAACATAATTTAAATTCATCCCACATCTACAGAAACCTCTGCTTCCAAAATCTTCCAACAACACAACCCAGATGATGTTATTTCTTTGCTAAGAAATCTTCAGTGCTCACTCATTAAAGCCTAAACAGATTTTTCTGGCATTAAATTACTTCCATTCCTGGCTCTAACTCATACTCTGACCTTGTCATCTTCTCCTTCTCCCAGCCTCTATTCTGACTGGTCTTAAAGCAAACGCCACCTGGATGCTTCACTCCACTATCTACACCTGTGATGATTTTACCTTGAATCCGAGGTATACCTCCGATATCTCTATGGGAAGAATTCCTGGATTTTGGACAGTTAACCTCTGACTCACCTCTGCTTCTCACGGAGCCCTTCATACTTAAGCATTTCTTATATTTTGCTGGGAGGAAGGTTATTGGTTTATACTTCTTGTCCCACAAGAACATAGGGTACTCAAACCATAGGAGCCACATCTTCATCCTCCCTGTTTCTTCATCAGCCTAGTGCTCTCTTTGTGAAAGATGTCTAAGAAACTTTTAATAAATCGATTTGAATGAATAAGAAAGTCCACAAAATCTGGCTCAATCAATGCTTTTCAACTGAGCACAAATTTATGTCTCCAGTCTGTACAGAAAGCCCACTGACTTTATTGTGTAATGAAGCATCTGGCTATGGAAGTCGGATGGCGTGGTGAAGGAATGTTCCTGCTTCTGAGAGTGGGAGGAGGCATTTGCTTTGAAGTAAAACACACATCTGCATTTTCTTACATGGCATTTTCTTGACAGCCCACAAATAACAAAGATAAAATGTGTAAGGATTAAAATTTTTCAAGAAGAGGAAGACTTTTGTTATTTTTGCTTAGATCAGGGAATGGTTGCTTTAGACATGCATTATTTTGTTTCTAAGAATGCATGTGAGACTAGCGCAGTGATTTTCTTCAGGAAATGATGACTTTTTACAAGCTCAGTGGGTGTGCAGATACCAAGACCCAGAAAAGTAGGTAAACATCAAACGCTCGCTCGTTTAATAGTTAAAGTGAAAAACAGCACAGGGAGAAAAGTCCTCTTAGGAGAGAGACCAACTGAATTATATTATCATTACAACGTAGGATGGAAATTGCCATGGGTGTTAGACATTTCCTATTAGCACTATGGCCAATTGTTTTCTTTCTCTCAGTATCATATAAACGTGTGAGGAGGAAATCTGAGTCCATTTTCCATGTTGCTTGCTAACAATTCTGACATATTTATTTGAATCAGGCTTACTGCCTCCCTTCCTCCTTCACTTTCTCCCTGCCTTCCTCCCTCCGTCCTTTCCTCCCTCCATCCCTTCCTCCTCTTCCTCTTCTCCCTCTTCTCCTTGTCTTCCCCAATTTGATATGGGCTCTTTTTCTCTATGGCTATGGATTTATTTATGTCATCATTATTATAATTACAACATGTTACAATAGTAATGTATTCCAAATGGTTCCTCATAGCAGAGTCCAAAAGGCTCTTCTGAAGATTAAGAAAATGTAGAGCAAAGGGGCAGTTCTGAGTTTCTCCACAGTGCAAACCTTGCCACGTGGTCTCCCAGGCAAAGTCCTGGTTTGAGAGGAAAATGGCTGTGTCTGTTTGTGGAGGTGAAGGAGTTTCTGGTTTGAATGAAAAGTAAAGAGAAAGCAGCAGTCAGCTTTCAAGAATTTCCAGGGGAGTCAGGGAAAGGAGATGGAGGAATAGAGAGATGGAGGGAGGGAAAGACAAAGAGGCATAAAGTTGCACGTATTTGTGAGTGAATGCATGCGTGGATGGAGGAACAGATGAGTGAATGGATGGAGCAATTAATGAATGATAGCCAGGTAGGTGAGATCTTAAAACCACCAGTGACTAAATTGGTTTGAAGGACATGGGATTACAGGTAGAAAGTGGTTCAAGTTATAATTGCCTTAAAACTCCGAAGTTGACAAAAAGTGGATCGCTATTTACATTAACAAAAGTATTAATTGTTAATAGATGGCAGCTGTCTTAGTATTTCTCTCAAAATTAATTCCACTATTTCTTCCTATTGCACTTCAATTTCTCTTCAGTTTAAGTCATTCGTTTTTATTCACTTAATCATCCATGTCTGTTGAGCACCAACTCTGTGCTAGCTGCATGGTAACCGTGGCCAATATAACATGAGCATGTCAGAAGTGGATGGCTCACAATTCACTGTTTTAATAGTTATTTTATCATCAACATAAACTCTTCTCCTTTGAGAATTACACATTTAAGAAGGAATCACAACGTATTGATTTGTGAGCTTTATCCCGACTTTTAGGCATCAATGCCTTGTCATCTGTTGGTGCAAGTCAATGCTCTTTAGCCACCTGTAGCTGTTTCCTAAATCATAACCATGGCAGGTGATGAATTAGATTAGCTACTAGGGGAGCTTGATTTGCATTTCAATACTATTTCTCATGAATACATTCTCGTAGCCCCTTTACGATCTCAAGTCTCCCTGTTGTGGGTGTTGTAAGTCATGTTCTCCTTTGTATAGGGTCTTTACATTTTTTTAGGAACGGCCGAATGAAATTTTACCTACTACCTCCAAAAAATTAGGATCTATATCTGAGCCTCTGAAGGAGATATGTTAGTGAATATGTATAGTCAAGGCTTCCCTTGTAGGTCAAAGTAAATACCAATCCTAAACTATGCGGCTTAGGTACCAAGTAATTCCAACTATGTCTCAGCTGCTTTCATTTCTTAATTCATCATTTTCAATGAGAAAGTATGAAACAGGTTACAGACTTAATCGTTTATCAGCACTGTCACTTACAGATGCGTGTGAATTCGACATGTGGACATGCTATGCGCTTCTTCTGGCATTTACCTGGAATATGTTCTCATAACTTGCGTGAGGCACAGTCTAATCTACCTTCACCCCAGGCTCTTGAACAGCCTGACAGACTCTTGGGTAGGAAGTATACTAGCTTTATTTGCTTACTGTTTATTATCTTCCTGGACTCATTTCTTCCCACTTGGGAAGGGTGGTTGTGTGATATAAAGGACTTGGACTTTCTACTTTTTCTCTTTTGTATATTTTAATTGAATATATTTGATTTTGATTTCCTTTTCATCACATCTTGTCACTCAAAAGACAGTCATTAAGCAACTACAAAATGCGGAACGCTGTACTATGTAACGGGGTTGCAGTGCTGAGCAAAATACAGTGCCCGACCTCATGGAGAACTCTGGTCTGGCAGAATTACTTCATTTCAGTTATAGGGCTAGCTGTGTCGTCCTGTGGGGAAAATTTTTGCATTTACACTTTCAGACACCATCCACTCTGCCTGAATAGTGTCCCATCACGGTTTATGGAGAAATGTCTAACCACCCTCATTTCAATGAGCTTACATACTGTTGCCCTGTTCTTAAACGCATTCTCATCCCCGCTGCCGAGACATTCGCAGCGCTCCACGTCTCCTCCGTGGCGCCGCGTTGGTTCTTTTAGGTGTGGGTGGGCATTAGATCCACACAAAAGAGCTCGGGGACCTTCCTGAGGGCTTCAGGTGATGCCTCAGGAGGGAGTGGGGGCTGTGAGAAGTTCTAGAATTTCCTCTCCTACTCCCTTCAGAATAATTCAACCATTAGCTATTCATATATTCCTGTTGCATGAAGTTTCTGAACAACACTAACAATTCCCCTGGAAAAACTAAAAACAAAAACACAAATAGAAAAATCAAGATTTGGAAGCAATTTGCTGGGTGCAACACCCTCACGTTGGAAATGCTGAAAAGGAATGGAGGTCTACAGATGTAAAGGGGCTGGATGGTGGCCAAGCCAGGGCCGGCAGACTTGCCTCTGTTCTCTGTTCCCTTTTGTTCTCATAGGTCACAGAGCATCCACCCTCAGCCCAGACACTGTGCTAAGTGTGGTCCCTGAGAAGAGCGCCCCAGGTGATATTAGGCACACTAAAGTTTGAATGATGCTGTCATCGCGGTCAGAGATGGGATTTGGCGAGAGAGAAACGTGTTTTTGAGTCTCTGCACTGCCTCCTCACGGCCCTAAGAGCACCCTCTCTTATCGCTTCTCTTTTTGAACCAGGTACATACAATCCATTTAAAGCATCCAGGTGTTTTATACTTGCAAAGCTCCTCTGGCAGAGATACTCTTCACATCTGTCTCATGTACCTCGGAGGGCCTGCATGATTTCCAGGCCAGCTCCAGGTGACCTTGTCCATAAAGCCATGCCCCAGCCATCAGGCAGCACCGAGCAGCGTGCCCCTGCGCCTTCCTGTGCCACCCATGCTTCTTCCGCAGCACATGTGGGCTGGACTCTTGTCTTTCTCTGCTAGAATGTGAGCTCCTCGAAGGCAGGCCGCATTCCTGTTTATCTTTGTCTCTCAGAGCAAACGAAAGAACGTGGCCCAGAGTGAGCTCTCTCCCCCATGAGGAGAGAGAGAGAGAAGTCGCCTACCATGGCCAATTTGGTATACCATTTTACTAATATACCAAATATGTTTAATATTTAATAAATATGGTTACCATATTTATTAGTAATAAATACATATATTACTAATACATTAATACAATAAATAGAATAAGTATGTTAGTAATGTGTATTTGTTTATATATTAGTAAATATATAAGTAATAAGTATATTACAATATATATATTTATTAAATGAGTAAATTGTCTTTTCCCAATATTATCTGCGGCACAGTGAGAAAGTCACTTAACTACTTTGATCCTGTTTTCTTATCTTAAAAATGGGTGCTTTTTAAAAGTTTGTTACAATGATAAAATTAGAAAATATTATGTGAAAGTGCTTTGTGAATGTGTATGTATATGTGTCTATACATCTACTCCTTAGAGTTTGTTTCTATGCAATAAACAGTTAAAAAAGAAGAAAAAAATAGTAAAATACTCAACCACCGATTTGTCAACCAAAAAAGAAAGAAAAGAAAAACAGCATTCATGGCAGCAATCCTTCAAATATTTCTCTGCATGCAATCAACAACCTGTCTTTCTTCCTTTCTTTCTCATTGGTCTCTTCAACTTCGGCATGAATTATACACCTTCCCCCAACAAGTCTGTGCTCTTTGCAAAGTAAATCAACCTGGTCTGTCACTGTCTTTGGTATTTCCTCTATGTATTTTTCACACCAGGCAGCAAAGACAGTCTCTCTGTGGTGGGCCAGAGAGGAGGAGAGCTGGAGACAATGTTAATTCTGTTTTATGTATGTACAGACTCATATACACCACTGCACCACCCAAATGCAAGCAGGAAATGTTCACCGTGTTATTACTTCTTTCCTACTGTTCTCTGTTTGATATTTGCTAGATCTATGGCCTTAAAACTATAATGTTTTCTTGTATATGTGGGTTAATTCATATCGAAATGTGAAGAATGGAACATACACAAAGGAAATGCAATAATCAGGGAAGTATACTTTTAAATTAGGAACGTTTGTGTGTGACAGAGAGAGACCTGTTGTTTTAAATAGGTGGTGCACTCAGATGTTTAAACATCAAAACGATAAAACAAGGCATGGTCTCTTTTCTTCATTTCGTACATGCATGACAGGATGATATCTGTATTCTTCCACCCCTTGCTTTGTTCAGTTTCCTTATTGGGACACAAAGGCTTTCCTGATTGTCTTTTTAACTGTACAGTATCTGTATAGTTTATGTAGCTAGCCCTCTATTGAGGGGTTGCAACCAATCTTTTGTTATTATGTACAGCACTGTCGTGCATAACAAACATATTCAGTGTATGAGTGTGACTGTTTTCTAATTGGGAACTTTGAACAAGAAATACTTTATAAGACTTTTTTCCTCTTCTCTCTCCATCCTATTTCTTTTCTCTTTTTTCATCTTGTTTGGCAAACTCCAGTGACACAATAGATCACAGCCTAAAATACTCTAAATATTTCTATTTAGAGAGCATATGACATAAAACTCATTGTCTTTATTCTTTTTGAACATGGAGTCTTCACTCTCTCTCTCTTTCCCCTGTTCCTTGTCTCTCTCTCTCTCCTCTTTTCCTCTTTTATTGCACTGATCCTTATAGCTCCAACCTCTACTGAGGCTGATGGCAATTAGAGGATTCTTATTCCCCTGGATACCTGTTGGATCTTCATTATTAGTCCCTTCCTCTTTCTAAACTCATCAGCAATAAGAAAATTTAATCATCAAGAATTGAATTTGTCTGCATTCTATTGCGCCTGTCTGCAAACTTCAATAGTTTCAGTGAATTATCTTTCAGTTCGTTTATTAAACTTTTACTATATACAATGTATTGGGTAGGGGACCCAGTACAGACAGGGTGAAAAGACAAAACTTAGTAAGAAGCCATTTCTTGCTTTTTGTAAGCTCATCTTCAGAATGGAAGACTTTCTATCCCCATGTTATGTATTTGAAGTAATGTTTTTTCAATCATTCAAACTTTTCTATTAAACAATTAGAAGCAATTAATTTCTGTACATATATGGAAATAGCAGACAGTGGACTGTTTCACTCAAGTTAACTTTTCATATTGTTACAGTTTACCCTTAAAGTATTAAACCTTTTAAAGGTGCTCAACCTTTTTGGATGGAAATTTTCCTAAAATATATTACAAATGTTTCTACCTTTTTAAAAAAAAACACATTATAATAAGACCTTTCCTTTCCTCATTAAAAAGTGAGAAGGCCGTGCAGGGTGTTCTCTAAGGCCCCTGTGCTTTCATCGTTTTACAATTAGATGATGATTATACCATCCATCCTGCAGCAGGGCTGTGATACAGCCATGCTCCCTGGGCTTACTGTGGGCTCAGTCGTATTTGCTCCTATAATAAATGGCTCTGGATAACTCTGCTCTTAAAAAATTACTAACATAAAGACGATACAGGGAGCAATTGGGAAATATTAAGATAAAGAAAGTCCTAACATCCCAGCAGCCTCACATTTTCTTTCCTTGACTTTTCTTTTTGTAGTCTAGATCTTCCTTTGGGAGCACTTTGCTTCTTTCTCATGTACATTCTTTAGAATTTCCTTTAGTGAAGTTTTCTCAATTTTCTTTTGGCCTGAAGATGCCCTTATCTGCTATGTGAAGATTATTAGGATTCTTCTTAGTAAATTCTTTCCACACTTTCACTGTATCATTTTACTTTTTTCTGGTTTGTAGCGTTCGTCTTGAAAAGCCTACCGTTTGGTTCCTTTCCCTTGTAGGTAATTGTCCTTCCCTGGTAGGTAATTTTGCTCTTCCTTTGTAGGTAATCCTTTTAATGTTTTCACTTTGTGTCTGGTGTTCTGTAACTTAGCACAATTTGAGATCGTATTTTCCTTTGTATTTCCTTTTGTCTTCTCGGTTCATTATTTCTTTGAATTTTGCTTCTTCCCATGCCATTGGCACTTTCATAATCCATCCAGCTTAGTTTGCCCTCTTTCCCATGCCCTTTCATTCTCTTTACTTCTCATCTAAATTCTTAATATCTCATTTTCTCTGTGGGCTGCATTCTGTGTTGCTTCTGATTTAGCTTCTAATTCTACTGTCACCTTGTCTACTGTTCCACCTCTCCATTGTGATTTTACCTGTATTTATACTTGTGTTTTCTAAGATCTTTACTATTTTGGTTATCATAATACTTAATTTACTTTTAAAGTTTTTTTTAATACATATAAACATTATATTACATATCTTTTAATTATAATGCACCTCTGTAGGGGTGCTAGGGGCTATGAATCTGTAGTCTTTGTTTCTGTAGATTATTTCTCTCTGTGGATAGACATCTTCAATTTGTTCTGTAAAAATCTAGGCCACGTTTTGATACGTAATTTCTCTCCAAATCAACTTCCTTGAGGTAACAAAAAACTATTCATTTTTGAATTTTGAGATTTGTATACACCAACAAATCACAATGGAGAGCATGTTTATGTGCTCATTCTCATTGACCATTCATATGGTTTACGTCTCACGTACTGGTTCAAATATTGCCTCGTTTTGACTGTGTTGTCTGCGATGTTTTATTGAGTTGTAAGAGTATTTTTTCCCATTCTGTAGCTAGCTTTTTCATATTCAAAATGGAATCATTTAAGGAGAAAAATTTTAAAAATTTGGTAAAGTTCAAGTTGCCCATATTTTATTTTATGATTTATGCTTTCTATATACCATGTAAGAAATTTATTCTTACCCCTAACCCACAAGTATGTTCTTCCATGCTTTCTTCTAAGGAATGTTATCCTTTTAGGTTTCACTTGGGTTTATGATTCATTTTGAGGGCTTTTTTGGTGTTTTTGGTTTGTTTGTTTGTTTGTTTGTTTGTTTGAGACAGTCTCACTGTCCCCCAGGCGGGAGTACAGTGGTGCGATTTCAGCTCATGGCAACCTCGGCCTCCTGGGTTCAAGTGATTCTACCGACTCAGCCTCCCAAGTAGGTGGGCGCCTGCCAGCACGCCTGGCTAATTTTTATTTTTATTACAGACGGAGTTTCACCATCTTAGCCAGTGTGGTCTCGAACTCCTGACCTCAAGTGATCCTCCCGCCTTGGCCTCTCAAAGTGCTGAGATTACAGGCATCAGCCACTATGCCGTGTCTCTGAGTTAATTTTTTTATTTGCATGTTATACAGATCTAAGCTCTTTTTTTGGCATATGAATACTCAATAATTCCAGGATCATTTGTTGAAAGGACTATTGCCTTTGCACTTTTGTTGAAAAGCAGCTGAGTATATGTCAGTCTAATTTGAACCCTCTGTTCTGTTTCATTGGTCTATTCAATTGACCAATTGAATACTGTCCAGTCTTATTACTGTAGCTTTATAATACTTGAAGTCAGAAATGTACATTTTCCAACTTTGTCCTACTTCTTCTAAATAATTTATTGGCTCTTCTACATTCTTTGCATTTCACTGTGAATTTCATTATACAATAGTCAATTTTTACACAAAACCCATTGAGATTTTGATTTCAATTGTGTTGAACTTCCATATCTGATAAAAATTCATGTCGATTATGGACTGAATAGACATATTCAGTGTTCCTCCAAAATTTACTTGTTGAAGCCCTAATTCGCAGTGTGATGATATTTGGAGATAGGGCTTTTGGGAGTTAATTAGGTACGGAGAAGGTCATGAGGGTGAGGCCCACACGATGGGATTAGTTTTCTTAGGACAAAAGATCCCAAATAGCTTATGGTTTCTCTCTTTACAGGTGGAGACCCAGCGTGAAGGAGGCTGTGTCTGTAAGGCAGGGAAAAAAGCCTTCACCAGGAACCAGTGCTGGCACCCTGATGTCAGACTTCAAGCCTCCAAAGCTGTGAGGTAATAAATCTCTTCTGTTTAAGACACCAGGTCTGTGGTATTTTATTATGGTAACCAGAACTGACTAAGACAACATCCTAGCAACATTGAGGTTTTTGAGCCATGAATATGATGTGTATCTCCATTTTATTAGATATTCTTTAATTTCTGTCAGCAGTGTCTTATAGACTTTAGCAAATAAATCTTTCGTCAGATTTATCCTCAACATTTAATATTTGATGTTATTGTAAATTGTATTGATTTTTACATTTTAATTTCTAATTCCTTATTGTTAGCACATAAAACTAAATTTTATATGCTGATCTTTTATCCTGCAACTTTGAGGAACCCATTTATTTATTAGCTCTGGTAATCTTTTTTTGTTAGAATTAACATTTCTTTTTTGAATGCTGGGTGAAATTTACAGACATGGAGTCTTCTTTCTGAACAGGTTTTTAACAATTCACTTTATTAGAGATAGAACAATTTATATATTTTTCTTGTCATGTGAGTTTTGAAAGTTTGTGTCTTTCAAGAATTTAGTGCATTCCATCTATGTTTCAATTTTATTGTCATACTTTCTTGTAATATTTTATTACTGTTCTTTATCTACAAAATATATAGTAATGTTCGCTTTCCTAAAATTAAAATTTCTTGTTTTCTCTTTTTTGATAAGTTTTATGTGGAGGTTTACTGATTTTACTGCTTCTACTAAAGAACCAGCTTTTATTTCACCTTCTAATTTTATAGATTATTAATTTTTACTTTATACTTTTTATTACACTCATATAAATTTTTATTCTGAATATATAATTCTATGAATTTTTTTTTACTTCCAACACATTAAACATATTGCTTTGTTGTTTACATGGTTTCTAAGGAGAAATATGAAGTCATCTTTGTTTTTTCTCCTATGCCTTATTTCCTTGGTGGATTTTAAGAGATTCTTTTCATCACTGTTTTAAAGCAATTTGATTTTAATTGGATTTTATTCATATTTTTTGTGCTTGGAGTTCCTTGGCCTTCTTGGATCTGAAAGTTTCTAGTTTTCATCTAATTTGAAAAATTTTTAGCTAATAATTCTTCAGATATGATTTCTGCCATCCCTTCTATTTTCCTTCAGAAACAGCAATTAAACATATATTAAGCTCTTTATCTCATTTCTCACAAACACTTTTATTCTTTAGTCTCTTTTCTGTTTCACTAAACAGCTTTTATTACAATGTTTACAAGTTCCTTAATCTTTCATTCTGCAATCTAAGCTGTAATTCCATTCCCTGTGTTTTTCTACTCAGTGTTACTGTTTTCATCTCTAGAAGTTTGATTGATTGATTGTTTACTATCTCTCATCTCTATTTATCCTGTTCGGCCATCCCTCTAGCTTCTTGAACACATGGAATACGGTTATAAAAATTTATTAATGTGTCATGTCTCAGCTGATTTTAATTTATTGACTTTTCATTATTGGTTATGTTTTTTGGCTTCTATGTGTGCCTAGTAGTTTTTAACTTGTAAGCCAGTTGTGCATTTTACCTTTTGAGGTGCTGGATGTTTAAGTATTCCTATAAATGCTCTTAGCTTTATTCTTGGGATACAGTTAAATTACTTGGAAAGCTTTTTATACTTTTGGGTGTCGCTTTAAGCTTTGCTGGGAATCAGCAGAGCAGCATTTGCTTTATGCCTAATTTTGCCTGATTACTAAGGCAAAACCGTTCTGATTACTGTTCCTGATGTGCTGTGAATTATGATGTTTTCGGCTGTGACTGTGGAAGCAGGAATTATTCCTGACTCTACATGAGCTAAGGGGAGTGTTTCCTTTGATCCTTTTGGGAGATTATTTTCTTGGCTTCCTATAGTTTGTTTAGATGCCTGGGCTAATAAGAACTCATCTTAAGCCTCAAGACTCTCTTCAGATCTCTGGGTATCTCTCCCCGTGGCTTGCTCCTCTCTGGTGGTCTCCCCTCAACACTCCAGATTCCTTACCCTCTCTGAACTCCCACAGAGACCACCAGGTTCTGCCTGGGGGTCCCTCCTCTGTGCCGCAGCCTGGAATCTAACTCCAGGCATTAAGCTGGGGCAATCATAGGGCATATGTGCATCATTTGCAATCTCTGCAGAATCCTTGTCCTCTGTTCCCTGATGCCCAGGGTCTTGAAAATATTACTTCATACATTAGATCCGTTTGAAATTAATTATTTAGAGTAGATTGTAAATCCATTCTGTTATTACTTCATCTTGGCCAGCAAGCAGGTTTCACTTTCACTTTGAAGGATGGTCTTGCTGTATATGAACTTTTTGGTGCACAGTTTTTTTTCTCTCAGTGCTTTGATTATGTCTTTCCATAGCATTCCTGCCTACGCTATTCCTAATGAAAAGTCAGCCATTAGTCATATTTTTGTTCCCTTTTATACAGTAAGTAGTTTTTATCTTGATGCTTTCAATGTTTTATCATGTCGTTGGCTTTTGGCAGTTTGACTGTGAAGTTCATGTGTGTGAATCTCTGTTGATGCTACTTGGAGTGTGTTGAGTTTTTTAGACATGTACATTAATGTCTACCATCTAATTTGGGAAGTTTTCAGCCATTATTTCTTCAAATATTTTTTCTACCCCTTTTCCCACCTGGCTTTATCACATGTATGCTTGACATTCCTTGATGTGCTTTGTGTTTAACCATGCAGCTGTGAGGCTATATTCATTTTCTTTTTTCATTTTTCAGTTGAATGATTTATCCTGATCTGCCTTCAAGTTCATTTATCTTTTATTCTCTCATCTCAAATCTATTGAGTTCAAGTAAAATTCTCACCTTTTAAAAAGTATTCAATGCTACTATTTCCATAGATTTGATAGGTTCTTATTTTTTTCTCTTTTTGTTGAATCATTATTGCACATTTTCTTGTAATTATTTAAACATCCTCATCCATTATTTGAACATATTTGTATAGTTGCTTTAAACCATTATCTGCTCAATCCAACATCTGGGCCCATTCTGAGTTAATTTCTGTTGACTTTTTTTTTTCCTAATTTTGCATTCTTGGTTATGTTTTCTGTTTCTGTGCACACTTTGTAATTCTCTGAGAACTGGCTATTTTAGTTATTATACTGCAGCAGCTCTGACTTCAGAATTTTTCTCTTTACATTTTTGTTTAATATACTTGGACTTAAGACTCTGTCTTCCATGTTGTTTACAGTTGCTGAAGTCTATGCTGTTTTTGAATTCTTATTTTTATTTTTTAGTCTATCTACGGCTGGACCCTGTGACAGTGTAACTTAGTGGTGAGCTAATGATTCTGGCAGAGCTTGTGCTTGAACATCACAAGGCCATACATTTCCAGTCTCTGCAGATGGATATGTATGTGTGAGAGAGAAGTGGGTGGGGGAGCACATTACATGTTGTCAAAGTTTTTCTCAGCTTTTACTTTCCACTGGAAATTCTCAGTTCTCTCCTGCAATAGGCAAATTGTTTCCCACACAGCTAGGGGTTTGTGGAGAGCTTCGATGGCTCTCTGATGTCCAAGCTCTTCCTGTTAAATTTCTGGCTGTCCTTCACTGTTGCAACTAAAATAGAAATTAGGCTAGCAGAGCTGCACGTTTTCCGCATGCATTACTCACAGAATTTGATAATTTTACTGATGATGCTGTGGGTCTTCACTAACCACCTCAAGTAAAGTTTGCTTCCTCTCGTCTTTGTCATCAGCTCTGCCTGATAAAGTACCATTCTCTTCAACTAAATTTGGGGAAATGAGAGAAGCCCCAGGCAAGAAGCCCCCAGACGTCTGCTTTTCTTAACCAAAGCTCTACTGGCTCCTGAATAAAAACTTCTCAATTTGCCTTTTATCAATTTCTAGAACCTGGAATGTGGTGTTTCTGAAAATGCTATAAAGTGTGTGTGTGTGTCTATGGTTGGAGGATACTCACCAATCTCTTCACGCTGTAATAGCTAGAAATCTTATTTATCCTCTAAAGACACAGAAAATGAAAAGAATGTTATATGTATATATGGATACGGATATAAATATATATTAAACACCCTGTGATATAAGTGTGCCTGTGTGTATATATGATTTTCTTCTTGTCTGAAGAACTTTATTTTACCCCTATGTCAGTGCAGATATGTTGGTGATTAATTATTGAGGCTTTTTGGGGGTATGAAAACACTATTTTGCTTTCATTTTGAAAGATAATTTGCAAAGAACTCTAACTTAGCAGTTACTTTTCTTTTACACTGTTTTACCCTTGACTGCAAGGCTTGTGGCTTCTGATGAGTGATCGCTCACATTTAATTTTGCTTTTTCTATTTAATATGTAATACACCCACCATCCACCAATCTTGATGAATGCTTTTAGAGTTTTTCTCTTTATCACTGGTTTTCTGCAATATAATTATGATTGCCTTGGATTTTTTTTTCTTACGCTTATTCCGCTTGGGATTTGGTGAGCTTCCAGAATTTTGGATTGATAGTTTTAGTCAAATTGGAAAAAATGGTATTATTTTTCAAAATTCTCCTTGTGTCTTCTCTTTCAATTATATGTATATTGGACTATATGCTATTGACCCACAAGTGACTGATGACGTGTTTACCTTTTTTTCCTGAACTTTACTTTGCATAGTTTCTATTGCTATGTCTTCTAGTTTACTGGTTATTTCTTCTGGAGGATCTGATCTGCTGTCCATGCCACTCAGTATGTTTTTTCACTTCTGCTACTGTATTTTTTCTTATCGAAAAGTTCTATTCAGTTCTTTTAGTTTTTTTATTTGCTTCTTCATTATATTCATATTTTTCTCAAGCTTCTTGAACACATGGAGCCTATTTCTAATTGCTTGTTTTTGTCCACTGCTGCTCTATCATCCCTGCCATTTATGGGTCTCTCTGTATAGACTGACATCACTACTTTGTATGAGTTATATGATTCTGCATCTTTGAATGTCTTGTAAATTTTGATTGACTGCTAGGTCTGGAGAAGTTTACATTGTTATAGTTATGTTTTACTAATATACTGTTGGAGTTTGTTTTGGCATGCATTTAATTTACTTAGAATCCTTTTAAGACTTGTTTTTAAGCTTTCATGGGGTAGGGACAGAGAAGCCTTCAGTCTAGGGTGAATTTATGTCTCTGGAAAGGCAATAAATATCACTCTGAGGAACTCTTCTCATGTATTGTAAAGACTCTACTCAGTATGTTACCAAGTCCTCCACTATGGTTGGAGTCCCATGTGAGTTCTAGAGCTTGTTCAACCTAATCCTTTTTTATGGTTCTTTCCACATTTAAGATATTTTCTCCTTCTGTGTGCACATCAGTACTCAGCCAAAGACTCAAGAGAACCATCTGTGCATATCCAGAGTTTTCTCTGAGAATTCTCTGCTCTTCTGTGCTTTTTTTCTGCAAATCCTAGCTCTTTCCCCTCTTCTCAAACTTCAGTAAAAGCCTCCTCAACTCATGGAAACTACTTGACTGTGTGTTTTTCTGTGTGCACTGTAATCTGGAAAATGCCTCACAGACAGTAAATCGGTAGAAATGTGATTCACCTTGTCTAGTTTCCTTCCCTCCAAGATTAGAGTCCCTTCTTTTGTCAATATCTGCAGTATTCTGTAGAATTTCCTGGTTTACTATGGCTGCTGGATAAATAGAGTCTGTGTTGTTTTATATTGGCTGAATGTGGAAGTCAGCTTGATTGATGGTTTACTGTCAAGCAAGCTCAGATTGCTAGAAAAAAAATCCTATTGTTTGTATTATCTACTTTATAAATTGTATTCTATTTACTTATATTTATGACAGATTTTTACTTCTATAAACCCAATGGACACTGATATGTAACATTATTTCCCACATCTTTCTAATGTGTTTGTCTTTTTTTGATATCAGGGTACTGGTAGCCGCATAAAACAAGTTGGGGCATATTCCAACAAAATAGAACATTTTGTGAAAGAGTGTATATGAAAAAGTTACTTCTTCCTTGAATGTGTAATAGAATTCACCAGTGGAACCACCAGGGATTGACAATTTCTTTATGGGTAAGTTTTTTATAATTCATTCAATTTCTTCAATTTATTTTATTTTTGTGCTATATTGTGCCAATTTTCTTTTATGTGTTTATGACAGTATCATGCTGTTTTCTTTACAGTAGCTTTAGAAAATATTTTGAGATTAGGGAGTGTGATGTCTTCAGCTTTGTTATTTTAGCTCAAGGTTGCTTTGATGATTTGGGGTCTTTTCTGGTTCTAGATGAATTTTAGGATTTTTCTATTTCTGTGAAACAGGACATTGTAATTTTCATATAAATTATATTGAATCTGTAGATTGATTTGGGTAGCAGAGACATTGTAACAATATTAATTCTTCCAATCCATGTAGATAGGATATCTTTCCATTTATTTAGCCTTCTTCATTTTTTTTAACTAATGTTTTATTGTGTTCACTATACAGGTCTTTTATATCTTTGGTAAGATATATTCCTATTTTCTTTTTGATGCTTTTGTAAGTGGGATGGTTTTCTTAATTTCCTTTTGTGGATAGTTCATCATGTGCAGAAACACTATTGATTTTATATGTTGATTTCGTAACCTGTGGCCAAACTCGATTGTTTTCATTAATTCTAACCTTTTTTGGTGGAGTTTTTAGCAATTTTATATATGAAGTCATATAATCCGTAAACATAATTTCACATCTTCCCTTCCTATGTAGATATCTTTTCCTTTTTCTTTCCTGATTTCTGTAGCTAGGACTTCTGGTATTGTGTTGAGCACAAGTGGTGAGAGTGGGCATCCTTATCTTGTTCATGATCTTAAGGAAAACGCTCAGGGCTCTTTTCATTTATACTCTCCAATGCAAAGCAACCCATCTCTCCATTTTCATGTGTTCCTAAACCTGAAAAGTATCAACATGTTTTTGTCATCCATATGTGTTCATTGATGACAGATGTGTTCATATTTTTGGCCTTTTATAAAATTGGGTGTTTCCTTATTGTGCTTTGAGAGTTCTTCATATACTCTAGATAAAAATTTTATCAGACATGTAATTTGAAAATATTTTTCCAATCTCTGCTTTGAGATTTAACATTTATAACAATGTCTTATGATTATTAAACAATTTAATTTTCATGAAGGCCAACTGAAAATAAATTATTTGGGGTATAATATATCAAATATTTGCCTAACGTAAGTTCACAAAGATTTTCTCTATATGTTATTCTAAAAGTTGCATATTTTAAGGTTTGACATTAAGGCTTATGGTCAATTCTTAATTATTTTTGTGGTGTGACATTCTCATCAAAATTTACTATTTTGCATACAGGTAGCCAATTACTGCTGCATCCTTTATTGAAAACACTATCCTTTCTAATTTGGTTTTTACCTTTGTCAAAACTCAGGTATATTTTTCTCTACTCCCTATTCATCAGTTTGTCTCTATTTATGCTCATATCACACTTTTTATTACTTTAGTTTATAATAATCATTTATATTAGGTAATTTTTGTCCTTCAAATTTGTCTTTATTTTCTACAGGCGTTTTAGCTATTTTAAGATTTTTTTTTTAATTTGGTGGTTGGGTTTTGACTGTTTATTCTTTAGATCACTTTAGAACAAGTAGGGAAATGTGAACATCTAACAGTAGTGAGTATTCTTTTTGGCAATGTTACTTTTAACGTTTTTGGGTAGTGCCTTCCCCTGGTTGGTGTGGTTTCCTAAAGTTCATGCACTGATCACTACTCTGCTGCCTACTCAGGGTGGACCTTCCCACGAGATCTGGAGTTATTTCCCTGTGCCTCTCCTCTCAGAAATTCATCCTGCAAATTCTATTCAACTTGGTCTCCCTTGAAACTCAGCAACATCTCCTCAACTCAGAAACTCTGCCAGACTCAGCTTTAGTTTCCCCTACCTGAATTGCAGTCTGGAAACTCAAATAAGTAAATTGAGAAAATCACAGGGCTCATCTTAGTTTTCTTGGCTTGGTAATCACTGTTCGTTACGGCGTAATATCCAGTGTTTGAAAACGATTATTTGATATTTTCTGTTCACATTTCCTTTGTAAATCTGTACACTGTTACTATTTCTTGTTTCTAAAGGTTGTTTTTGATTGAAACCAAGTACTAAACTTGAAGTATAAAAATGTGAGCATACTAACTTTCCATCATCTACACTTATAAGTGACTTCAAGTGCTCTCTGCATGAATTTATCTGTGAAATAAGAACAGTAATAGATGCCTTGCTTAACTCCAGCATTTTTGACAGATCAAATGAGTGATGTTGTGAGACTGCTACTCAATAGTAACTCATTATACATTAAAAGGATGAGGATGGTGATGAAGATGATGATGAGTTATATTTGAAAGTATTCTATAACAAGATTAAATCTGTTTTTCAGTTTAATAAGAAGATTGAAGTTATTTTAATGACTGGTTGTCATTTATTTGAAAATTAAGGAAAATGTGCCTAGAAAAATGCTGTTGTTTATAAAAAAAAAAAAAAAAAAAGTAAAGTAAAACAAAACAAAACCAAAAGCAGAATGAGCATTTTTGCTTCCATGGTGAAAAAAAAAGTCACAGCTAGAGGAGACATGAAAACAGAAATAAGTAGTCTGCTAAGTACAGTAAACACACAGAGATTTGAAATCATTCCATGATAATTAAAACTCCATCAGATAAGGATTATTATCTCCATTTTTTTTTTTTTTTTTTTTTTTTTTTTTTTTTTTGAGACGGAGTCTCGCTCTGTCGCCCAGGCCGGACTGCGGACTGCAGTGGCGCAATCTCGGCTCACTGCAAGCTCCGCTTCCCGGGTTCACGCCATTCTCCTGCCTCAGCCTCCCCAGTAGCTGGGACTACAGGCGCCCGCCACTGCGCCCGGCTAATTTTTTGTATTTTTAGTAGAGACGGGGTTTCACCGTGTTAGCCAGGATGGTCTCGATCTCCTGACCTCATGATCCACCCGCCTCGGCCTCCCAAAGTGCTGGGACTACAGGCGTGAGCCACCGCGCCCGGCCTCTCCATTTTTATAGAGAGAGAAATTGAGGATTTTATTAAGCAGCTTGCCAGAGGTCACCAATAATAATGGTTGGCAAAATTTTTTTTTCCCAGGTGTGTCTAGCTTTTGAGATATGCCTTAAACCACTAAAACACACTGTAATTTCTCTCCCATTAAAGAGAGAGATACAAGTTGTGGAAAGAAAAATATATAACTTTAAAATATCTATGGCTTTTAAGAAATCCTCACTGATTTTCCTCTTACTTGAATCAAAAGCAGCCCATACATGAGAAGAAAATGTATTTATTTTCTTTAAAACACATAAACAGTAGAAATTCATTTCTATTATATTTACCAGAACCTAACACAAAGTAGATATTTAATAAAATTAGATGTTAAAAAATAACAATATTTTTTGTTGTCTAGGCTAATGATTGTTGTGAACTCATCTGACTTCAATACCAGATAATATAAGTAATTAGCTTAAATCTACTCTAAAGTTATTTTTTTCTGAATTATATGAAATTTCATTTTTTTTCTTGATATAAAAAATAATTTTAACTTAAAAATGCCAAAATATTAAATATTCACTACAAACCACTACCTAACCATGGCCTGTGGAGTTAGGCAGAAATGTACTCAAATACTTTTTTTCCCTTCTTACGTATGTATGTTCTTGAGCTCTTAATTTAAATGTTCTTAACTGAGATTTAAAAAAATGTATATGTAGCTGTAGACTAAATGTTTCTCTCTCTCCCCTTTTATATGTTGAAACCTTACGCCCAATGTGATCGTATTAGAAGGTGGGTCCTTTGGGAGGTAATTAGATCATAGTAGTAGGGCTCTAATAGTGAAATGTTCTTACAAAAGAGAGCCCCAAAAGATCCCTTGACCCTTCCCTGTGATGATGCAGGGAGAGGATGGGCATCTATGAACATGGGCCCTCACCAGACACCAAATCTGCCACCAACTGGACCTTGGACCTCCAGCTTCCAAAACGGTGAGAGGTGTAATAGAAGCCCAGGCTGACTTGGACATTATCAAAACATTTAGTAAAAAAATTTAGTAAATTATTATTTACTAAAAATAAGTCCCCTTTCTGCTTTTTGTGAAAAAAGGTTGAAGAACAGGAA
Organism: Homo sapiens; assembly: GCF_000001405.40. Classification (NCBI taxonomy): domain Eukaryota; kingdom Metazoa; phylum Chordata; class Mammalia; order Primates; family Hominidae; genus Homo; species Homo sapiens. The sequence goes on along the minus strand of NC_000008.11, from coordinate 5,889,551 downwards.
GTCTGCAAACAGCATAAAAACTTTACAGAGCAGGACCATTGGGTGTCAACTTCTTCCTGATAATTATACCTTCCTGAATATGTGAAGAATTAAGATATGATTATTTTTCATAATGGCACATAAATAGACAAATGGAAAGATAAGGCAATAGATAATGAGAAAAATCAATGTTCTTTGCTAAATACTTACCAGGAAAGGATTCTTCTTATAGTTTTTACACATCAAGATGTTTTTTTTTTTACATAAATTATTAGCACTACTATCATCAATGCCTGGCAGACATGACTTTTAAAGCAAAAAGAACATATGACTAAGGTTTTACAAAGTGCCACTTCTTTGCAAATATAGGTAATATGCATGAAAATATTTACCCTGTAAGCAAAGTAGAGAAATAATTTTATTAAATTTTCAACTTGCAACCCTCAACTCAGTAGACAAATACACATCCTATCTCTATTTATTCTAAAAGAATGCAAATTTGTCGTAGTTCACAAATAGAAAGTGGCAATTTTCCTTGGACAAAAAAAAAAACACCTCTATTTGTAACTACATTCAGATAATTATACTTTCTAAAAACTTTAAACATGAAATGACTTACTGTGATCTTTCTGAAAATGTTTTTCAGAAGTATTTTTTTTAAGTGATAAAATTTCTTCTCATTAGAAATCAACTGGGAGACATAAGATTTAAAAAAATTGATATGTGAGTTGAATTCTTAAGAACAATTGTATCTTGATTTGCAATGCCAAATGTTTTGAAGTTGATGGGCACATTTTTTATTAGGGAATGGAAGCTAAGAGTTGAAAAATGTTAAAGAACTATAAAAAGCATGTAATCTATTTTAGGGTCTTTACAAATTAATTAAGAAAAATTAGTCACTAGGTGGTATTCAAGAAAAAGTCTATTATATCCATACAAACCCTTGTACACAAAGATTCATACCAACACTATTTATAGTAGCCAAAACAATGAAAACTCAAATGTCCATCAAGTGAAAAATAGAGAAACAGAATATGGTGCATTCATACAGTGGAATACCAAAGTACTGCAATATGTAACAACACGGAGGAAGAACAAAAATTATCATATGTGAAAGAAGCCAGGCATAAAAGACCACATATTATATGGCTCATATATATGAAATATCTTCAAAATGCCCATTAATAGAGACAGCAAATATGTTAGTCATTACCTGAGGTAATGGTAGACACATCGAAATGATGGTATTGCTATGACTTGTTGTAAAAAATACAGTAGGGTTTTTGTTTTGTTTCATTTTGGATTTCATTGGCAGGAGGGTTTATTGTTTGTTTGTTTCTGTTATTTTCACCAAAACATATTTTCCCGAATATGTTAGAAAAATAAGTTGAAGGTTCATAAAAAGTTAGGTTTATGTTAATATTTTATTAATCATTAATGAATTCATTTGCTTTCTGGCAATGTAAGAAAAGTGAAGGCCGGCTGTGGTGGATCATGAGGTCAGGGGATGGAGACCTTGCTGGCTAACACAGTGAAACCCTGTCTCTACTAAAAATACCCGGCATGGTGGCGGGCGCCTGTAGTCCCAGCTACTCGGGAGACTGAGGCAGGAGAATGGTGTAAACCCAGGAGGTGGAGCTTGCAGTGAGCCTAGATTGCGCCACTGCACTCCAGCCTGGACAACAGAGCGAGACTGTGCCTCGTCTCAAAAAAAAAAAAAAAAAAAAAAAAAAAAGACACTGATCTGGTGAATTAAATATCAATTCATAAAATAATTACATTTAATACTTAATATTTTGAATGATAGTTTAAATAAAAATAAAATGCCTAATGTCTGTGAGAACATTTTTTTAAATTACGCTTTAAATTCTGGGGTACGTGTGCAAAACGTGCAGGTTTGTTACATAGGTATACATGTGCCATGGTGGTTTGCTGCACCCATCAACCTGTCATCTACATTAGGTATTTCTCCTAATGCTATCCCTCCCCCAGACCCCCACCCCTCAACAGCCCACAGTGTGTGATGCGCCCACTGTGTCCATGTGTTCTCATTGTTCAACTCCCACTTATGAGTGAGAACATGCAGTGTTTGGTACTCTGTTCTTGTGTTAGTTTGCTGGGAATGATGGTTTCCAGCTTCATCCATGTCCTGCAAAGGACATGAACTCATCCTTTTTATGGCTGCATAGTATTCCATGGTGTATATGTGCCACATTTTCCTCAGTCTATCATTGATGGACATTTGGGTTGGTTCCAAGTCTTTGCTATTGTGAACAGTACTCCAGTAAACATACGTGTGCATGTGTCTTGATAGTAGAATGATTTACAATCCTTTGGGTATATATCCAGTAATGGGATTGCTGGGGCAAATGGTATTTCCAGTTCTAGATCCTTGAGGAATCACCACACTGTCTTCCACAATGGGTGAATTAATTTATACCCCCACCAACAGTGAAAAAGTGTCCTATTTCTCCACATCCTCTCCAGCACGTGCTGTTTCCTGACATTTTAATGATCGACATTTTAACTGGCGTGAGAAGGTTTCTCAATGTGGTTTTAATTTGTATGTCTCTAATGACCAGTGATTATGAGCTTTTTTTCATAAGTTGGTTGGCTGCATATATGTCTTCTTTTGAGAAGTGTCTGTACATATCCTTCACCCACTTTCTGATGGGGTTGTTTTTTTCTTGTAAATTTGCTTACGTTCTTTGTAGATTCTGGATATTAGCCCTTTGTCAGATGGATAGATTGTAAAAGTTTTCTCCCATTGTTTAGGATGCCTGTTTACTCTGATGATAGTTTCTTTTGCTGTGCAGAAGCTCTTTAGTTTAATTATATCCCAGTTGTCAATTTTAGCTTCTGTTGCCATTGCTTTTGGTGTTTTAGTCATGAAGTCTTTGCCCATGCTTAGGTCCTGAATGGTATTGCTTAGGTTTTCCTCTAGGGTTTTTATGGTTTTAAGTCTTACATTTAAGTCTTTAATCCATCTTGAGTTAATTTTTATATAAGGTATAAGAAAGGGATCTAATTTCAGCTTTCTGCATATGGCTGGCCACTTTTCCCAACACCATTTATTAAATAGGAACTCCTTTCCTCATCACTTGTTTTTGTCAGGTTTGTCAAAGGTCAAATGGTTGCAGATGTGTGGTGTTACTTCTGAGACCTCTGTTCTGTTCCTTTGGTATATATATCTCTTTTGGTACCAGTACCATGCTGTTTTGGTTACTGTAGGCTTGTAGTATAGTTTGAAATCAGGTAGCGTGATGCCTGCAGCTTTGTTATTTTTGCTTAAGATTATCTTGGCTATGCGGGCTTTTTCGTTCCATGTGAAATTTAAAGTAGTTTTTTCCAATTCCGTGAAGAAAGTCAATGGTAGCTTGATGGGGATAGACTTGAATCTATAAATTACTTTGGGCAGTATGGCCATTTTTACCATATTGATTCTTCCTATCCATGATCATGGAATGTTTTCCGTTTGTTTGTGTCCTCTCATTTCCTTGAGCAGTGATTTGTAGTTTCACATCCCTTGGAAGTTGTATTCCTAGATATTTTCTTCTCTTTTGTAGCAATTGTGAATTGGAGCAAAGTCTGAGGATACAAAATCAATGTGCAAAAATCACAAGCATTCCTATACACGAATAACAGAGAGCCAAATCATGAGTGAACGTTTCTTAAATTATATGTATGAGAATGCCTAAGATACTGAGTTTCATCAAGAGTAAAGAATGCCTGAGAAATCAATGCTAGCAACTAATGTGGAAAAAAAATGGCCATACTCTAATGTAGCTGAAAAGCCTTTTTTCCCTGAAAACAGTGAAATTATATTAAGTGACTCTGTATCCTAAGTATTGTGCAACACTATATTTAACACTCAGTTATCTTATTATGTAAATATGTTAATTTAAGAAAATAACCCCCGCCCAGCTTCTCTTAGTGTGAACATCTTATGTAATCATACTGATTTTATGCATACTATGACATTAGAATTAGACAAAGCTTGGTGGCATGTGCCTGTAGTCCCAGCTACTCAGTAGGCTGAGGTCAGAGTATCACTTGAGCCCAGGAGGCAGAGACTGCATTAGCTGAGACCTAGACACCGTACTCGTGAAAGAGAGAGGGAGAGAGAAGAAATTAGCATATACTAAAATACTCATGACTAACTCTATAGGTTTTATCTGGGTTTCACCAACATTTCTACAGTGTACCTTTTTGAGCTTCAGTACCTAATCCAGCAGACCATGTTACATTTAGCCATTTTGTCTTAGGAGGTGTCTTAGATTGAGGAGACTAATTCTTTACTTGTTTTCGCAACCTTTGCTTTTCTAAATAGCCATTTAAATTAGACAATTCATGAACAAAAGTGTGCAGAAGACCCTGGTGGAAAAAGCACCATGTGAAAAATAGTTGAAAAGTTCGGTATAATAAACACATTTTTCATCAATGATCATGAATTCTGGCTCTTCAATTCAGAATAGAAATTATACCCTATTACAAGGGTAAATATCACACATTAATATAAAAATATAAAATATTTAATTAGAGCATAGAATAGCACCTTTAAATGTATTCTGGGTATACAGAGAGCTATTTAATGTTTCGTTAGGATTTCTCAATTATTCTAGTTTGTGTAGACAGTCACTCTACAAATGCATATTCATATAAGCAAATAGTGCTAATGAATACTTATAGTCAATATCAAGTATTGACACAGCCTGGTGTCTAAATTATCTTTCTGGTAAGGTACACTTTATGTACCCAAGGAACCTTTCTTTCAACTCTCAATATGTTGTCCTATTTTTAGCGTTGCTATCTTAGAGTAATTGTAGGTATAATTTGAATAAGAATTCTAACTATAATCCTAGAAACCTTTAAGGTTTTTATGCAAACGGTATCTGGTGCATTTGAGGATGGAGGATTGAGGTTCTTGGACACTGGGTTGGTGATTCACAGTAAACAGATGTTTAATAAACTATCACCCACACTGCTGGTGATTGTGGCATTATCATCTAGTTCAGTCTCTAACGAGTCTTGTGAGAAAGGTATTTTCTTCATGTTTATTTTTATTTCAGTCCTAGGGTACGTGTGCACAACGTGCAGGTTTGTTACATAGGCATACGTGTGCCATGTTGGTGTGCTGCACCCATCAACTCGTCATTTACATTAGGTATATATTTCCTAATGCTATGCTATCCCCACTCACCCCACCCCACAACAGGCTCCGGTGTGTGATGTTCCCCTTCCCATGTCGAAGTGTTCTCATTGTTCAATTCCAACCTCTGAGTGAGAACATGTGGTGTTTGGTTTTTTGTCCTTGCGATAGTTTACTGAGAATGATGGTTTCCAGTTTCATCCATGTCCCTACAAAGGACATTAACTCATCCTTTTTTATGGCTGCATAGTATTCCATGGTGTATATGTACCACATTTTCTTAATCCAGTGTATCAATGATGGACATTTGGGTTGGTTCCAAGTCTTTGCTGTTGTGAATAGTGCCGCAATAAACATACGTGTGCATGTGTCTTTATAGCAGCATGATTTATAGTCCTTTGGGTATATACCCAGTAATGGGATGGCTGGGTCAAATGGTGTTTCTAGTTCTAGATCCCTGAGGAATCGCCACACTGCCTTCCACAATGGTTGAACTAGTTTACAGTCCCACCAACAGTGTAAAAGTGTTCCTATTTCTCCACATCCTCTCCAGCACCTGTTGTTTCCTGACTTTTTAATGATCACCATTCTAACTGGTGTGAAATGGTATGTCATTGTGGTTTTGATTTGCATTTATCTGATGGCCAATAATAGACAAACAGAGAGCCAAATCATGCATGAACTCCCGTTCACAATTGCTTCAAAGAGAATAAAATACCTAGGAATACAACTTAAAAGGGATGCGAAGGACCCCTTCAAGGAGAACTACAAACCACTGCTCAACGAAATTAAAGAGGACACAAACAAATGGAAGAACATTCCATGCTCATGGATAGGAAGAATCAATATCGTGAAAATGGCCATACTGCCCAAGGTAATTTATAGATTCAATGCCATCCCCATCAAGCTACCAATGACTTTCTTCACAGAATTGGAAACAACTACTTTAAAGTTCATGTGGAACCAAAAAAGAGCCCGCATTGCCAAGTTAATCCTAAGCCAAAAGAACAAAGCTGGAGGCATCACGTTACCTGACTTCAAACCATACTACAAGGCTACAGTAACCAAAACAGCATGGTACTGGGACCAAAACAGAGATATAGACCAATGGAACAGAACAGAGCCCTCAGAAATAATGCTGCATATCTACATCTGATCTTTGACAAACCTGACAAAACAAGCACTGGGGAAAGGATTCCCTATTTAATAAATGGTGCTGGGAAAACTGGCTAGCCATATGTAGAAAGCTGAAACTGGATCCCTTCCTTACACCTTATACAAAAATTAAAAATTAATTCTTCATGATTTTATGGCTGAGGAAACTAAGGTTCAGAGAATGAGGTAATTGCTGTAGTCATATGGCTGACATGCAATTGAGTAAACAGACCCAATTTTGAATAGAAACACAATCCTCCTTTCGCTGTATTCTTCAAACCCTCTCACAAAGCACAAAGATTTTTTTCCAGCTGATTTTTGTTTCTTCCCCAGATCATAAATTGCATCTTCTCACGGGATGCATTCTTAGGTGTGTTGCATATATTTTCAGTCTTTAAGCAAGAGAGAATTGCACCATGATGCTGAAAAAAATGCAGTGAGTGTAGATGTATGTTTTTCTGTGAAACATTTTTTCCCAGTAATGACCAGAAAATGACACCAGTCTGATTCTCCTCCCCCCATCTTTTCCCCCCATGTGGCTTGCTCTCTTCTGTCTGGGTTGAGCCCTCTCTCATCAGCACCTTCTTCTTTCTCTGATGCTGTTACTGCTTCCAAGATCTCCCTAAATCTGAGGACTGTTTCTCCATTATCTCTCAGCTTTGCTTTTCTTTCCTTTTAAAGTCCCCAAAGCCGTGGTCTTTACCTGCATGTTTTCTGTATTATCTACATTTCTTATTCTTACTATCTTTTGTTTTTAGCTTTTCATTTCAGCTCTGGTCACTTTGTTTATTGCAGCACAATTGGGTAGTGTTTTCAGGCAAAGCTCAGTAATAATATCATTGGAGATGAAGATAAAGATCATTTGATAATAAGATGGTCATGGCTATGTTCCAGGAAAAGGAAATTCAGGTACAAATACCTTTAAAACGGAATTTAACGTGCAAGTATTTTTTATTTCCTTTTAATATTTAACAAACATAGGAAGAAGATGAAGTTCTTCTAAAGAGTGGAAAATATATATTCAAAGAACTACTGTGTGTTCCATATGGAAAACAAAATAAGCAATTTGCTAATATTGTATATTGAGTAGTGTTGCCTAAATAACATATAAGCAAATATAAAATTGACATGTAAAGTGTGCTTTAAAGACAGTTATGCTGGAAAATGCATCTGTCCCATCCTAGCAATTGTCCATACTTAATATTAAGGATTTCTTAATGTAATCCTTGGTAATCTGATAATTATCTCATAGAGAAATATGGAACCTGATCAGATAGTCTATGTAGACTATAAATTAACTTTTAAAAGTTAATGTGCATTAATTAAGTGATTTCACAAGAGCCACACTTGACTTAAATCCTGTAAATTCTTAGATGAAACCAAAACTCCAGTGACAAAAGAAACATAAAAACTTTTGTGCTTCAAAAGACATATCAAAGAAGAAAAAAACAACCTACAGGATATGAGGAGTCATTTACAATTTATTGCATATAACTAACAGGGACTGTATCTAGAACATGTAAAGAATACTTGCAACTCAATAAAAAGGCAAGTAACCCAATTGAAACATGGGTGGAGAATTTGAATAGACAATTTTAATTCTTTTTTTATTTCTGCAGGTTACTGGGGAACAGGTAGTGTTTGGTTATATTAGTAAGTTCTTTAATGGTGATTTGTGAGAATGCGATGTACACATCACCCTATTAATAGGATATGCTGCACCCTATTTATAGTCTTTTATCCCTCACATCCTTCGTACCTTTTCCCTCTGAGTACCCAAAGTCCACTGTTTCTTCCTTATGCATTTGCATCTTCAGAGCTTAGCTCCCACTTATGAGTGAGAACATACAACATCTGTGTTCCCATTTCTGAGTTACTTCACTTAGAATAATAGTTTCTGATCTCATCTAGGTCACTGTGAATGCCAATAATCAATTCCTTTTTATGGCTGAGTGGTACTCCATCATATATATATATATAGCACAGTTTCTTTATCCATTTGTTGACTGATGGACATTTGGGTTGGTTCCACATTTTTGCAATTGCAAATCATGCTGCTATAAATATGCGAGTGTAAGTATCTTTTTCGTATAATGACTTCTTTTCCTCTGGGTAGATACCCAGTAGTGGGATTGCTGGATCAAATGGTAGTTCTAGTTTTCGTTCTTTAAGGAGTCTGTCCATAGTGGTTGTACTAGTTAACATTCCCACCAGCAGTGTGGAAGTGTTTCGTATTCACTGCATCCATGCCAACATCTACTTTTTTTTGATTTGGGCCATTCTTGCAGGAGTAAGGTAGTTATAGCACTGTGGTTTTAATTTGCATTTCCCTGTTCATTAGTGGTGTTCAGCATTTTTTCATGTTTGTTGGCCATATGTATATCTTCTTTTGAGAAGTGTCTATTCATGTCCTTAGCCCACTTTTAGATGTGATTTATTTTTTCCTTGCTGATTTGAGTTTGTTGTAGATTCTGGATATTTGTCCTTTGTCAGATGTACACATTGTGAACATTTTCTCCCATTCTGTGGGTTGCCTGTTTACTCTGATTGGTCCTTTTGCCATGCAAAAGCTCTTTAAATCCCAGCTACTAATCTTCATTTTATTGCACTTGCTTTTGGGTACTTGGTCATGAAATCTTTGCCTAAGCCAATGACTTAAGGGTTTTTCCAGTGTTATCTTCTAGAATTTTTGTAGTTTCAGGTCTTAGATTTTAGTCCTTAATCCATCTTGAGTTCATTTTTGTATAAGGTGAGAGATAAGGATCCAGTTTCACTCTCCTACATGTGGCTAGCCTGTTATCCCAGCACCATTTGTTGAAAAGTGAGTCCTTTTCCCACCTTGTTTTTGTTTGCTTTGTTGAAGATCAGTTGGCTGTAAGTATTTGGGCTTATTTCTGGGTTCTCTATTCTGTTCCATTCGTCTATGTACCTATTTTTATACCAGTACCATGCTGTTTTGGTGACTATAGCCTTATAGTATAGTTTGAAATCAGGTAATGTGATTTCCTCCAGATATTTTCTTTTTGCTTACTAACACTTTGGCTCTGTGTGCTCTTTTTGGTCCCATGTGAATTTTATAATTGTTTTTTTTTTTCTAATTCTGTGAAGAATGATGCTTGTATTTTGATGGGAATTGGGTTGAATTTGTAGAATGTTTTTGGCAGTATGGTCATTTTTACAATATTGATTCTACCCATCCATGAACATGGGATATGTTTTCATTTGTGTCGTCTATCATTTCCTACAGCAGTGTTTTGTGGAAGTTCAGTCAGGCTGGTGGGAAAAATTTTAAGATGGAGTTATGAGATATAGACAGAAATCTTCTTGGAAGGTCAGAAGGTTCTGCAAAATCTCAGGATAGGGTTATGGGTGAAAGCAGTCTAATCCTTACCTTGAATAAATAGCTTAAAGTGGGTACAATGGAATGTACAGTAGTTTATCTAAATAGCTGGTTTACTCATGTGGTCCTAAGACCAACCGTTGATCAACAGTGAGTGCACAATTGCTCTCTACTCAGGGGGTCGGAAACCAGGTCAGTTACCCTCCAGTGGTGTTTACTCAAGATCTTTGTCATTTAACCTGTACTGAATAAATGCAAGCTTTGCTGGCTGATCAGGGCCATGGGTGCTACTCTTTATAGCACCTTCTTTAGTGTCTGTGAGGGGCCCAGATCCCTAGCCAGACTGACAGAATATCTGGGTCAGTGTATGTTATTCATCTGCCATTGGGTCACGGCTCTGCAGGACAGACCCCGCAGCTGGTGCCCCATGTGAGGCATGCTGCAAAGGGAGCATGATGGACCCTTTGAAAATGCAGGTGAAAAGGACTGTGTGGTCAGTGAGTCATTGTTGCCCACTTGGGGTTTCCAAGTTTTGGAGGGGAGTGTTTAGGCTAAAGTTTCATCATGGGACAACAGCTATTAGCTCAACAGAAACAGTATATAAAAGTATTGAAACAGCTGCCTAAGGCTCGTGGAGCCTCAGTTTTGCAGGCTCATATAAGGGATCTAATGCGAACTGTTGTAAACCATAATCCATGGGTCCTGAAAGAAGGTATGTTAAACATAAAGCTCTGTGAACAAGTGGGGAGAAATCTTAAACAACATTATCCACAAGGGCAACGGGTCCCAATAACAGCCCTAACCCTATGGGCCTTATTTAGAGTGGCCCTGGCTCCATTATACACAGAAGAACCTAAAAAGGGGAAGGAGGAAGAACTGTCACCTACTTTACTACACCCAAGTCCCTCAGCCCTACTATCACCGGGTCAAAATAACAAAGAGGAAACGGAGTTTTTGCCTGAACCCCTTTCTCCAATAAATAGGAAAAAAGATATGCTCCAGCTATAAGACCCTGTCTTAAGAAAGCAGCATTAAAAGGGGAGCTCTTAGCTTGCTAGGTAATGCAAGATCAACAAGGCAACTGGGCATATGGACCCAGTATTTTAACTCTTATAAAAAGATTAAAAAAAAAAAAAAAAAAACCATTAGAGGCAGGAGCCTTGCGGCCAAGTGACCAGTAGGCAAAAAGGAATGCTCGGCGGTGGGAAAGCTCACAAACCTAGAACTGGTGAGTTCTACCTGCGAAGTGGCAGTGGGGATGGGAAGCCAGGCCCAGTGCACTGGAGCTAGCCTTCTGGGGAGATGCAGGAGGCATGCGCAGGAAGGTCCACCTGGCCAGCAGCAGCCCTCTGGAGGAAGGGTGAGGGAGTGGCACAGGTGAAAAGCGGCGCAGACAAAAAGCAGCAGCGCTTAAGCAAGTGCAACACAGCTGCTGCCCCGGGACCTGCCTGCTCAGCTCTCCATCTCCGCAGGCAACCCATGGCAAAATTTCATGTGTTCTTTGTATACAAGAACATTCCAGATTATAATTCTCTGCTAAGATTTAAGTAAACTTTAAAAATTTGAAAGACCTATTTCTGATAATGGCCACAGCTGTTAGCTCTCTCCAAATCCAATTTAAGTAAAGCAGTAACCTTTAAAGGGAGAGAAATTACAAATTCTACTAAGCTGCAAAATCTGTTTTCTATCTTAAAGGGCAATAAAACCCTAGATTCTCCCAAACATTTAACCCCAGCAGCAAAAAGGGAAATCGAGGAAATAGAACAAGCTATCTCTCTAAGGCAACAAGATAGCATAGATCCAGGCTACTCAAGTCATCTGTTTATTTTTGCCACCAAACACTCCCTTTCAGTGTTAATAGGACAGATCACCTCAGGGCTACGCTTACTAGAATGGGTTTTTTTGCTCACATACCGGAACTAAAACACTGTCTCCCTATATCCAGTTCCTTAGGAAAGTCATCCATTCAGGTCACAAACGATGCACTCTGTTGCTAGGTTATATTCTAATATTAGGATTCCTTTAAGTAAAAAGCAATTCAAAGCAGTATTGCCAGTATCTATAGATTTGCAAATAGCACTCTCTGATCACATCGGACAAATAGAGCATGTCCTTCCTGCTGATAAACTCCTTCATTTCTTATCTTGTACTCCTGTAATCTTGCCTACAAAAATAGCTCACTTCCCCATATCTAATGCTTTAACACTGTTTACTGATGGTTCAGGTAAACATGGAAAAGTGGCAGTCTGGTGGAGACCAGGTAATTCAATCACTTGATCTGGGTTTACTAGCACTCGGAGAGCGGAGATTGGGGCCCTGATATTGGCATTGGAAATGTTCCAGTCAGCCCATCAATATTGTGAGTGACTCTGCTTACTCTGTTTATTTATTGCAGAACCTTGAGACAACCCGAATTAAGTCCACTCTGGAGCCTGCCCTGTGTGCTCTTTTTCTCTGACTTCAGCAACTGCTAGATCAACATGCACATCCTATTTTTATTACGCACACTTCAGCCCCCAGCTCACTGCCTGGCCCTTTGGCTTATGGCAATAATCAAGCAGACCTCCAAGTTATGACATCACTGCTTGACCAAGCCACTGAATCACATCAATTCTTCACCGAAACTAGAGAAACTTACTGAACAATTTCAACTTACTCAAAGACTAGCTAAACAAATTATCCTGCAATGCCCAGATTGCCAGCTCACAGGCACATCCCTTCCTTCAACAGGTGAACCTAAACAATTATGGCAAACAGATGTTACACACATCCCTGAATTTAGAAAACTAAGATATGTATATGTATCAATTGATACCAACATTCATCTAATTAGTGCACACGCCCTTCCTGGAGAGTCCACTCGATATGTCATTAAACATCTTCTAATTTTTGTGGGCCATCCCATAAATGCAAAAGTTAAAACTGGTAATGGTCCAGCTTATGCCAGCTCACAATTTCAACAATTCTGTCATACATGAAACATCTAACATTCCATTGGTATGCCATATAACCCCCAAGGACAAGGCATAGTAAAACGTGTCTACTCCACCCTTAAAAAAATGCTCAAAAAAGGAGGAGTATGGGTAAAGACCCTGCAACACTATTGGGACAAGCCTTATTTACCCTTAATTTTCTAAATTTAGATGACAAATTTCAATCACCTATAGAAAAGCACTTTGTTAAAACTTCTCAAGACATAAAACCTGCAGTTTTATGGAAAGATGTAAACAGTAATGTATGGTATGGTCCAAATGAATTAACACGGGGAAGAGGGTATGCTTGTGTCCACACCCCCTCAGGTCCTCTTTGGATTCTAGCCCAATGCATCAACCCATACCATGGCATGGCTAGGAACTGACCCTGCAGGACCCACAGCCCCGGACGATGTGGCTTCCACGGTCGACATAAGCTCTGGATGTTACCTGGGGATGCTGAAGGAATCCTGCTCCAGACACAGACACTGTTCACTCCAGATAATTTACTCCTTGCTATGGTTTCTGTTGTACATTGCAACTCACCTAGGATATTGATCCTTTCTGTGTTTTCACTTTGTCTGCAACCTGTACCTGCTACACTCTATTGGGCTCATATTTTTCTTTTACCCTGTCACCTGGGCAGACACCCCCTGCTCAGCCTTTAATAATGTGACTCCTTGGCTAGGAGGGATAGATTTGCCCCCAGTGGGGTCCCTCAATCATGGCACACATTAGACTAAGGTGCCAGATAACACTACCTGTCACTCCACTATCCTCTCGCTGTGTAAGTTATAAAGGTTCGAATCCTTATTGTGTATCTGCCCAAACACAATTAAGGCTGTATTATGGCAAAAAAAAAAAAAAAAAAAAAAAAAAAGCCTTAAAAGTCTTAGTTGCAGGTAGCCTCAAACCAGGTAATGCAATCAGTGCTGCTTTTCCAAACATTGCTTCCTGTGCTAAAGAACAAAGCTGGGAAAGTAATGGATTGCACTTTAGCTGGGAGGTCTGTCATGGGGAACAAGCCCATAGCCTCCAGTTAGGCAATTATAACATCTTAGACTGGAGCCCCTGTGGCCGTTTGCAGGGCCAACTTACTGATGTCCTCATCCATAATGTCATCAATCCCAGTTTCATAGCCTCATCATATTCCCCTATGATTTGGGCTGATGAGGGGATGAGATACCCCAGACCCCAAGTAAAGTCCATGCCAGCCCAAGACACTTCATGGTACCTGGGGCATCTCAGCATCTCAGCATGGGACATATCATGATTCCAGTCACAACTATACGATAACGTTTATTCATAATCACACTGTTCAGTCCCTAATTTGCACTCCCCATCCATATGTTTTCCTTATGGGAACTGTTATTTCCATTACACCTCAAAACTGTGTTGCTGACCCAGGTGCAGGGAGAGGCTTGGTTTCCCTCATGACAATATGTCTAATTATTGCTAGTGTCATGGTATTGAGACAATCTGAGGCATTATTACCAGTCAATTTGACATGCAATTGGCGAGGTTTCTCTGCCTTTGCCTTCTTAGAACATGCCCTAACCCAGGTCAGACCCAAAAGATTCATAGATGCACTTATAGCCTTTATAATCTTAGCCATAGTCATCCCAGCAAGTGCTAGTGTGGCTATACCATCTATTACTGAATCAGTACAAACAGCTGCTATTGTAGATAATTTAGCCCGAAATGTGTCTAACGAACTTCTCTTACAGCAGGGTATAGATCAAAAGATACTTACATGTCTGCAAGCCCTCGAGGCTGGCTTGGAATATGTGGGGGAGTCACAAGATGCCCTGGCATTCTGATAGCAATTAAACTACGACTGGGAGCATAAACATATCTGTGTCACTTCTCTTCCATGGAATCAATCAATACATAATTGGGATGAGGTGAAACAACACCTCTGGGGAACCTTTCATGACAAGTCAACAGCAGATGTAAAGCAACTTAAAACTAAAATTTTAGAATCCCTTCCCACTACAGATCTATACACCCAACAAACAGCCATACGGAAGGGTGTGTGAGATCATCTTTCCTGGTTATACCTCTGCTTCTGGGGGTCACTCTTTGACTGGAAAAGAATGTTGCTAATTATACTCAAGATTGTCTTATGTTATTTGCTATTTCTAGGATGCAAAGTCGCAATAAGAGCAATGACCGCCTTGCCCCACAGACCTGTTGCTACACACATCTGTATGCTTCAGTCAACAGAACCCAAGGCAATAAAACAGAAAAGGGGGAGATGTGGGAGTTCAGTCAGGCTGGTGGGAAAAATTTTAAGATGGAGTTATAGGATATAGAGAGAAATCTTCTTGGAAGGCTGGAAGGTTTTACAAAAGTCTCAGGATAGGGTTATGGGTGAAAGCAGTCTAATCCTTACCTTGACTAAATAGCTCCAAGTAGGTACAAAGGAATGTACAGTAGTTTATCTAAATACTTTGTTTACTCATGTGGTCTTAAGACCAAGCTTTGATCAACTGTGGTTGCGTAATTGCTTTCTACCAGGAGTGGGGATGGGTAATTGGCAGCTAGGTCAATTACCCTCTAGTAGTGTTTACTGAAGACCTTTAATCTGTAATGAATAAATGCGAGCTTCACTGGCTGATCAGGGCGGTGGCTGCTACTCTTTACACACTTTCCTTAGCGTCTGTGAGGGGCCCAGACCCTTAGCCAGACTGACAGGCAGAATATCTGTGTCAGTGTACGTTATTCATCTGTTGTTGGGTCAGGGTCTGTGGGACGGACCCCTGTAGTGTTTTGTAGTTTTCCTTTTAAAGGTCTTTCACCTCCTTGGTTAGGTATATTACAAATTTTTGTTTGTTTCACAGCTATTTTAAAGGGGTTGAGTTATTGATTTGATTCTCAGCTTGGTCGCTGTTGGTGTGTAGAAGAGCTACTGATTTCTTTACATCTCCCATTTCATTTATTATTGAGCTTATTTGGATTTTCTTTCCTCTCTTCTTGGTTAATCTTCCTAATGGTCTATAAATTTTATTTATCTTTTGAAAGAACCAATGTTTTGTTTCATTTATCTCTTGTGTTATTCTTTGTTTGTTTTTTTTTTTTTTATTTAGTTGCACTCTGATCTTGGTTATATCCTTTCTTCTGGGTTTGGTTTGTTCTTGTTTCTCTAGTTCCTTGAAGTCTGGCCTTAGATTGTGTGTTTGTGCTCTTTCAGACTTTTTGATATAGTTGTTTAGGGCTATGAATCTTCCTGTTAGAGCTCTATATCTTGAAACAAATCCCAGAAACACATTAAAACATAACCTCTTTAAACCATAAATCTCACAGGACCTCTAAAACAAAAATACAATTTAAAAAACAAACAAACAAACAAAAAACAAGGTATACAGGCAACAAACAGCCCAATGAATGGCATGATACCTCTCATCTCAATACTAATATTGAACGTAAACAGCCTAGATGCTCCACTTAAAAGAGAATTTCAGAATGGTTATTAATTCACCAACCAACTATCTGCTGCCTTCAAGATACTCACCTAAAACTTAAGGACTCACATCAATTCAACGTAATTCAAGATACTCACCTAAAACATAAGGACTCACATAAACTCAAGGTAAAGGGGTGGAAAAAAACATTTCATGCAAATGGACACCAAAAGCAAGCAGAAGTAGGTATTCTTATGTCAGACAAAACAAACTTTAAAGCAACAGCAGTTAAAAAAGACAGCGACATTAATAATAAAAAAAAAAAAAGTCCTTATCCAACAGGAAAATAACACAATCCTAACACATATCCACCTAACCCTGGAGCTCCCAAAGTGCTAACAAATCAGATAGACAGCAATATAATAGTGGGGGACTTCAATACTCCACTGACAGCACTAGACAGGTCATCAAGATGAAGTCAATAAACAGTGGATTTAAACTATATTAACAGATATATATATAGAACATTCTTTGCAACAACTGCAGAATGTACATTCTATTCAACAGCACATGGAATTTTTTCCAAAACAGAACACATTGTCAGCCACAAAATCGGCCTCATAATTTAAATTTTCTTGAATTTATTATCAAGCACTCAATCAGACCACAGTGAAATAAAACTGGAAATCAACTCCAAAAGGAACCTTCAAAATCATGCAAATATCTGAAAATTAAATAATCTGCTCCTGAATGATCATTGGGTCAAAAATGAAATCAAGATGGAAATTAAAAAAAAAATTCTTCGAACTGAATGATGATAGTGACACAACCTATGAAAACCTCTGGGATGAATAGACATTTCTTCAAAAACATACACAAGTTGCCAATAAGCACATGCAAAGCTGTATGACATCGTCATTAGACACATGCGAATCAACCAAAACCATAATGAGATAGCCCTGAACATGCACTAGCATGGCTAGAAGCAGAAATCAGATAATAAGTGTTGCCGAAGATATGGAGACAGAACCCACACATACTGCTGGTGGGAATACAGTCTACCAGTTCCTCAAAGGTTAAACGTAGAGCTACCTTGTGACCCAGCAAGACCAATCCTATGTCTATAACCAAGACCAATAAAAGCATAACTCTACACAAAACTTACATGCCAATGTTCACAGCAACATTATTTGTAATAGCCAAAAGATAGAAACACCTTGCATTCTCAAGTGTCAAATGGATAAAGACAATGTATTATATCCAAACAATGGAACATTATTCTATGATAAAAAGGAATGAAATACTGATACATGCTACAATATGGAAGAACCCTGATAACATTATATTAGGTGAAAGAAGCCAGTCACACAGACACACACACAAAAAAACCAAAAAACACATATTAGAATGATTCTGTACATACTAAATGTCTATACAGAGAAAAATGGGTTTGTAGTTGTCTAGGGCTGGGAGGACCAGGGATTGGGGAAGTAGCTAAAAGGTAATGGGTTTCTTTCTGAGGTGATAAAATGTTCTAAAATTGACTGTGCAGATGGATGCAAATATCTGTGACTACACTTAATTACAATGTACATTTTAAATGAGTGAGTTGTATGGTGTGTGAATATTACCTTAATGAAGCTGTTAAAAATTTGAATTCAGAAAGTTTTAAAAGTCCAATATCAAATTTCAATATCTAATATAAAATGAAGATCTCACGAATACATTTCAATAGATATTATCACTAACTTTAATGGCTAATACTTTCTGAACTCTTCTGTGGCAGGCACTATTCTAAGATTTTGCATGTAATATCTTACTGTAAACAATTCCCTGGCAAAGTGGGTTCTGCTAATTATGAAAATTTAAACCATATGCATGCTAACACAGAAAGAAGTTAAACACACATTTCATGATTAACTGGTAGAGCATCAGGACAATAACCAAAAAAGTTATAATCTGTCTTTTGTTTATTATGCAGAAGTTTGGTCTCAGTAAGGATTTTTAAATTAATTATTTTCTTCTTTGGGTAAATTATTGAGAGGGGTGCTTCTCCAAGACATATCAGAAAGCTGGAAAGGAGTAAATTATAGGCTTGAGGATCTAAGGGTTCTGTGGCAGAATAGAAGTAATCTACAAGATTTAGTGAAAGAAAATTTGATGACAAAAGTTCAGCGGACCTAGAGAACAGCTGGTCCAAATTGAAATTGAATTATACAAGATTCTAGGAATACAATGACTTCAGAATATTAAGCTGAGAGAAAATACAAGCATTTGAAAAAATCAAGGATAGTTACTTTTCAAGCAAACAAGTTAAAAACACACACAAATGCATGCACAGCCAGAGAGAAGAGAGATAATTATATACTACTCAAACAAGAAAACTTGTAAAATAAATGAAATATGGTATATTTTGTGATTCACCTGTGAATGTTTACATAATCATAATAATAAAAATAGTGAATTGTTTTCACAAAAATTATTGCTAAATATTAAAAAGATGGGATTAAGAGAAATGTGTGTGGCTGTGTTTACAGGCAGGGCTGAGGGGAAAAGCTCTAAGGAAGTTGAACCCATCGTTCCCACTGTAGAAAGTCAATTAATGATACCTGTACACTAGGTATTATTGAAACAAACATCAATCATAATATAATGTTCTAAAAATATAAATATATACATGGTACACATACCAACTGACATAGTTAAAACAGGATCCCTTTAAAATCAATTTTTGTTTATATGATTTTTGTAAGTATTTGACTCATAGTTACATTTATTTTTATGTTTGATGAAAAATAAAATCTTGAAAAAATGAATGTGGAGGAGTACTACAAGAAATACGTACTCTTTCTCAGAGTTGGAGTCTACATTTTTGTCGAGATTTTTCTCTATGCTTATCTATTTATTGTTTTACTTTTAAAAGTTTTACAGATAAATTTGAGGCCCATCTCTCCTCTCCATTCAAAGGTGATTATTATCAGAAGAGTGGTATATTCCTTACCATCTTTAATTTTATATTTTAATGTATGCTCTGTTCATGTACAAAAATAGGTATTTTATAGGTTTTACATTTTTACATAAACGTGACGCACTACTTCAAATGTGAAAAAAAATCTTCTGAAAGATATTAGCCTATGACGGAATATGAAATCATATTCAGAAGTTTAGCACCAAAGTTATACTATGATTTTACCACACAGTTGTCTCCATATTTAATAAATTTCATGCATTTTACTTACAGTGAGACCCACCTGTTTTTATTTTATACCTATTGATATTATGTTATGCAATGCAAATTTCTTCCTGAGATCATGTCCCAAGCTCAGAGCAGCTTAGCTGCCAGAAAAGTTTTGATAACAGCAAGCAGTAACAAACCAACTGCAAGAAATGATGCAGGTAAAATACCCAACAAAGGCACGAGAAATCTGCTTTCTGAAGCCATTTAATGGACAGACAAATAGCTCTAAGTGCCTCAGTAGGATCTGAGTTAGTGACAAGAGTTATTTGATGTCCATAATGACAATAGTCTCACTAATAATAAAATGAGTGAA
This sequence comes from Homo sapiens, assembly GCF_000001405.40. Taxonomy (NCBI): domain Eukaryota; kingdom Metazoa; phylum Chordata; class Mammalia; order Primates; family Hominidae; genus Homo; species Homo sapiens. Next base: position 5,870,001 of record NC_000008.11, on the reverse strand, counting down.
GTTCCATATACTGGAGGAAGATAGGAGACAGCGCAACAATGTTTAAAAAAGAAAGATTACAGTTAATGTTTCCAGTATAAGTCTTCAGACTAATTTTTCCAAGGATGTCAGAAAAACAAAAGGTTTCTGTGATTAGCAAGGGTTTTAGAAGAGAAAGTTTCCAATGACAAATGTAGTATATATAGATAAGAGAAGAAGAAGAACAAGTAAAAAATCTTGCAAAAGTAGGAAATATGAATATCCCACGAACATTCTTCAAGTAACATAAGGCAGGTCAAACTTATGAAGTAACATGATCCGTAAGAGTTGTTTCTTGGAAAACAAAAAGCAATTAGATTCATGAAACAAACACTTGTTATAAATGACTGCAAATAAAACACACTTCTCGTAGGAAAATACAGAGCTAGCTCAAAGTCAGCCTTAGACTTCTTCCTTGCATTTTATCAGCGTTGACTTTTACTCTGTGTCTCCACTTAAAGCTATAGCATGTGATTTGCCCAACAGGCCGGATGGGGTTTCCTTTTATTGTTGTGGATCCTAATATTTATTCTGTGCTAGAACTGTTTGAGAATCTAAAAGAAGATAGAAAATTCTGACTCAGTAAAAAACAATCTCACTAAATTATATGTGTCATTATATATGTTATATAATCTCAATAAAATTTTCTATTATTATCTCTGTAATTATAGAGAATTTTCTCTACATATTATATATAATTATATATAATTAGAATTCTCTATATAAATATATATATTCTCTATATAGAGAATTCTATATTTAATATATAGTTGTATAAATTATATACATATACTGGAGAATTTTATAATTTTCTCTATGATTTTATGTATTTATAAATATACATAAAATTCTATATATAAAATATATATAATTTGTATATTTATATTGATAATTTTATATCTATAAAAATTATAGAAAAATTTTTGAGTTTTTTTCTTTTTAAAATTTTACATGAAAATAATTTTTAAATGCTTATTTGGTTAAGGGTATTGAGCTCTCTGGCCTTTCTTTTAATGTGCACGCATTTCTTTTGAAAAAAAAGTGTGTGTGTGTGTATATAATTCTACATATATAATTTAGTGAGAGTGGTCTCTCTTTCAGGAAAGTCAAGAAAGATCAAGGACTCAGAAAAATCCGTTCTATTGATTCTAGGACATTTTATTTTAGTTTCTAATAGTTGAGGTGAAATATTTCCATGATTTAAGAAGAATATGCTTTTATTGGAAAACCTCTATTTAACTCAATAGTCATCTTTTGCCGGAGCAGTTGAGAAAGCACAGAGCCAGTGTGTTACACAGTCACATAGATGAGTGACCTGTGGCCACCAATGGGATCTATTTATAGTATCTTTGAGTTCCAAACCCTTTATACCTCTGGTCATAACTTATGTTAAATTGTTGGGTTTTTAAAAAATATTTTTTAAGCAGTATACTTCTCTGGACTGAGAGGGGAGATGATTTGAATAAATAATGTAGATCCATCTTATAAAAGAAAAAGTTAGTTTGTATGCTTATGATACTCTTCATCACATTTTACCCCAAGCTTACAAAGATAACATTGGATTCTCTTGAAAATTTTCTAATTAATTTCTTTTTGCAGTTGAGTCTCTTTCATTTGTAATTGAAATAAGACAGGGAGGTGGGAATATTGAAAGAAAGGGGAAGAGGAGAGGAGGTAACATTTAAAGATAATCAAGACATCAAAATACATTATGTAGCATTTGTGCAGTGAAAGACTCCACCTCCAATGACTCCTAGAATAACATACCACCATACAGAGACACCTACACATACTCTATTAAAAGTTTTGTGAATGATATTATCCCTTTTTTATAATTATTTGGAGCAACACACACATAGGTAAATGGTTACATAGACATTGATATTCAAACAACTTATGATTTACAAAATAACATTGTCATTTCTATATTAGTGAATTACACAGTATTTATCACTTATCTGCACTTTTCACTTATCTAAAAATAATCTCAATTTTTTTCTTTAAATAATAAATGGAGCAAAACTTGTGAACGTTATAAGAGAAACCAGATAGCTCAATAACCATAACTGAATAAGCATTCTAAAAATTATTTTCTTGTAAAATTTTAAAAAGGAAAAAATGCTCATGTTTAGGCTCTCTGAACTAAGTTAAACTTCAGTCAACTGGTTTGAAGTATACATACAAAAATATAAAATATATACTTATAAATACTATTCTGAGGACATTTAAAGACATTTCTAAGGATATATGGATACATGAAAAATTGATGTGCCTAAATATTATTTGATGAGGATACCACATCTTTTTTTAAGTTCACGTATACTGTTGAGAGGTAGTACAGTTCTGAATAAAATAGAATTTCCATAATACATAATGAAACGTGTATAGCATCTTCCTAGGATTTGAAAGTTTAAATTTACCATTGGCTTTGAATTATACAAGTCATACATTTCTTTTAAAAAAGAACATACTGAAGTCAAACACGGATTTCTTTGAACTGGGTGGTTTTTTTTTAGAAAGTTATAAGCAACTAAAAAAATGTGTTATAGCGAAAATCAATATTCTATATTCTGGTGTAACCCATATATCTCATATACACTATGCATTTGAAATGCAGATTTGCGATATTCATAACAATTGCTCCTTTCTCAAATGAACAGCATGAAAAGAGTATTAACTATAGAAGGCATAAACCTCGAACATAAAAAGTAAAACTAATATTTTACTTCTTAATATTCAGAAAATGGCATGTAAATCATTGCTCTAGCTTCAGAGCTAAAGACATCCATCACTCTCTGCATTTTGCACCTCTTAGAGTGAGGCTTTTCTACTCATCTAATATCGAATCCATTAGAATGTTAAAATAAATCTTAGAATGTTAAAATAAATCCAATGTATTCATCCTAATAAAAATCATTCATAACACAAAGACTGGGTCTTTTGCTTGTTTCTGCTAAAATATGTAGTGTACATATTGATCTTGTTCACTTACGGTATTATGGGAAAACAGCAGATATTCCAGTGGATTCAGAGATAAATTATTTTTGACCATTCCACATGTGTTACTTCTTATTTGCCACCAACAAATTCATACAGTTTGTTATTATAAAGTAACTTAAAGTGTATCATCTCATATTACTAATACAGTGCTAACACTATAGAATGTAAAAACTTAAGAAAATAGATTAAAAATTCCTTATAAAATATATGTTATTAAATAAATATCAGAAGGACTGAGTCAAACTAAGCCAAACTGGTCTCTTAATACTATAACTTATCAGAACTTTAATGTGTCAATGAAGACCATGAATTTCTAAAAGGAGCCTGTTGTATACATTCTTCCCATAACATCTATGACCACAGTTACCTTTTGGTCAATAGGATTTGCAAGACTCTCATCTTGCTCTGAAGCCCAGTGTTTAACAAAGCAATTGTTTCTTACTCATCTCTAAATCCTCAGATTTCATCAAATCCAATAAGCACTCACTAAATTCAGATGAATAATGAATGAATCAAATCTATATTGGCCCATAAAGTAGAATGACTACATGTTACATGCCTTTGAGTCACCATATTAAATGACTTCAAGAGACTGATGACAATCATCCAAAAGGATGTAATTCTTTTCTTCCAAACAAAATAATCACTTTCATAATCTTTTGGGATGCAGATACCATGAAGTTAAATAGGAGGCTGGATTTCAGAAGTGTTTATTTGATGGTTACAAATGAGTGGTCAGACATATGAAGCAGCTAAGGTATTAAATTCAAACACTTTTCTAAGTTTATGCACGGAAGATACTTCCATAAGTTTTGTTACTGAAGAAAATGTGCTAATTTTATCTAATATAATATGATAATCAGGTTTATAAAATGTCAGAATTATCTATGATAATCTGTTTATACAGTAAATTCTTATTAAAATATGAATTAGGTGAAGCTTATTATTTGTTTACTTGAGGGCTTGTTGATTCTTTCCAAAATAGGTGCCAATAAACACTGCCAGAAAAGAATCAGATATGTTTGGACTGTCCTATTAAAATCCATTCATTTGTTTACATATTATTCATCCACTGTTCTCTTTCCTAATAGCTGTTATTTATCAGACACTATCCTAGGTGCTAGGGTGACAGAGATGAATAAGCCCAAGTCTCTGCCAAGGAGAAGCTCACAGATGTCAAATTATGCTGGAAAACAGGGGCCAAGATAGTGAAGAGCTGTGTTTGCATTAATAGAACTTTGAAAGGTTAGGGATAAGTAATACAAACTTTTGACTAGAGGAGTTTGACTGAATATATTTGAAGGTGGTAAAAGGCTGATTTAAAGCCATATACATAAAAATAAAGAAGTGGATTTATGAGACTAGGAAGAAGAAAGGAGTTAATAAGACTGAGATTATATGTATCTATGAGAAATATCTGCCAATATTACAGTTTCTTCTGAGTGTCTTACTTGAAAAACTAGATAGGTAGTTGTTGCATGAAATAAGGATCATAGAAGGCTAGAAGTAATTATAAATTCACAGAAATTATCTTTTATTAGAAAAAAACTTTTGACAAATTAAATTTAGTGGAACTTATGTGAGTAGAGAACAATTAATTCATAAATCAGTAGCCCCTAGGATCAGCGGAGGTTCAGAAAGCTCCACCCATAGCCAGTATGTATAGTCTGAAAACAAGCAAAGTAGAGAAATCGCTTGACTGACTACAGCTAAATGTGTCTTATTTGGGCATGATATGAGTTGGCTGTCTTTGACTGTCTGAAACATGGCTACTTATGATTGGCTGAAATTTGCTATTAGGTTTTGGTTTACATACTAAGTTAGATTGCAGCTTGCTACTTATAACTACAAGGTAAGAGACAATCTCAGCCTAAGTTTAAGTTAATTTATCAGTTATAAGAGGAGGCAATTAGTCTTGGGCATCTGGAGTTTATGAGACAATTCTAGACAAGAAAGAAAGATTTAAGCATGTGGAGGTTAAAGCCACCCCCCCAATACACACACACACGATGAGAGTCTACAAAAAAGGTGAGTGACAAGTACAGAAACTTAGGGAATAATAACATTTAAGACTAACATAGTGAAAATATGATTTTAGTGTTCAATACAGAATTTATTTTAGATGGTACTCAAAGTTTAATATAAGGTGCAGTACTAAGGATAATTAGCATAATTGTCTTCATCAGTGATGACATAGAAAAGTCACAATGAGTCTTAACTTATTAGGCTAAACATTGTTTTTCAGACTTATCTATCTGTATAGAAATTCTGAGTTAGGGACTAATAATTGGAAGACTTTTGTGTAATGCAAGGGAAACTATATCAAACATGTTTATAAAGTTGAGTATTCTTTATATTAATTTGCAAAACATATTTCCATTGAATACATTTGATAGCCCAGGTCTCATTTCAGGCAGTAAAGATACCTCAATGAACAAAACAAACTTCATACTCCCCATGGATGAAGGCACAAATAACCAAGTACTTCAATATAATATGTGACATAAAACATTTATCATATACATGACTTACATAAAATAACGCATCACTTGCCAGGCAGTAATAAATGCTATCCAAAAAAGTAAGATAAAAATAAAGGAAAGTAGAGTTAGTTGAGGACAGGTGATTTTAAATGTAATAATCATGGACACCTTCTTTAATGACAAGCTGTTTAAGCAGGAGAGTGACTTTGATGAAGGAGTTAGCCCTGGGGACAGAGTATTGTAGGCAGATGGTAATATAAGCACAAAGGCAGGAGTATGTTTGGAGTGTTTATAAAATATGCAGATTTTGCTAACCATACTGAAACCATTGAGACTAGAAAGAAAGAATATGAAATGACTAAGGGAATTTATGGCATTTCAGAATGCAGCACAAGGACCAACCAAATTTTGCAATTTATAAGTATTTTCAGTGTACATAAGAGTAATATCTCTTCCTACAACAATAAAGCTGTCCCATACTATGAACTTATACTTTCTTAAAATGTGAACTGTCTTTAAAATGTTCAAATATAATCAGGTTCTGCTGAATGGATTCCTACTTGTAAAGACTCTTCTATGCGATCTCATCGAGTGTCCCTGTTCTGATCATTATGTCTCGTTCTGGTTAGATATTGGCATGACTAACACTAAAATCTGGTTCTCTTACTACATCCCCCAACCCTGGTCAAAGCACACCAGCAGCAAAACTCATTGTCACCATCTTCCCAACAAGCAATGTGTGGTATCTAAGACAATGAACTTAACCAATGAATGTGGTGTGTGTTCTGATGGCTCTACTGGTGAGCCATTCTCCTGTCTCTCTCCATCTCCTCAGGCCTCCCTAGTCCCTGAGACACAGCAGTATTAAAATTAGGCTAATGAATAACCCCTAAGATAGCATCTAAGTGCTCAAGCAACAGAAAAATTCCCATATATCACAGTTTAAAAGCTAGACATAATTAATCTTAGTGAGAAGGCACGTCAGAAGCTGAGATAGGCTGAAGGAAACAGCTTTGTTGCTGTTACGGAGAAAGTGTGAATGGTCAGAATAGAAGATCAAACCAGCTATGATATTCCCTTAAGCCAATGGCTAATTCAGAGCAAGACCCTAACTCTCTTCAGTTCTATGAAGGCTGAGAAGGGTGAAGAAGCTGGAAAAGAGATGGTTGAAGCTAGTAGACATTATTCACAAGGTTTAAGAAAAAGAGCCACCTTCATGACATAACAGTGCAACCTGAAGCAGCAGGTACTGGTAACTGCAGCAAGTTATCCGGAAGATCTAGCTATAATATTGATGAAGGTTGCTACATTAAACAGCAGCTTTTCCATACAGATGAAACAGCTTTCTGTTGGAAGAGGATGCCATCTAGGACTTCCATAGGGAAAGAGAAGTAAATGCCTAGCCTCAAAGCGCAAGCTGACTCTCTCAGGGGCAAATGCAGCTGGTGACTATAAGCTGAAGTCAATACTCATGTACCATTTCAAAAATCTCAGGGACCTTAAGAAGAAAATGATAAATCTAATTCTATAATGCTAAATCTGCTCTGCCTGTGCTCTATAAATAAGAAAGCTGGGATGACAGCACATCTGTTTACAGCATGGTTTAATGAATATTTCAAGCCCAATATTGACACCTACTGTTCAGTAAAAACAAATATATTTTTAAAAAATATTATTTCTCATTGACAATGTACCTGGTCACCCAAGAGCTCTGACGGAAATGCACAAGAAGATTAATGTTACTTGCATGCCCGCTTGCACAAATCCATTTTGCAGCCCATGGATCAAGAAATAAGTATGAGTTGCAGGTCTTATTATTTAAGAAATATATTTCATAAGGCTATAGCTGCTGTAGATAATGATTCCTCTGCTGGAATTTGGCAAAGTACATTGAAACCTTTTTGGAAAGGGTTCCTCATCCTAGATGCCATTAAGGACATTTGAGACTCATGGGAGGAGATAAAAATATCAGCATTAACAGAAGTTTGGAAGAAGTTGATTCCAACCCTCATGTATGACTTTGAAGAGTTCAAGACTTCAGTGGAGGACATAACTACAGAGGTGGTGGAAATAAGAGAAGCAGAATCAGAAGAGGAGCCTGAAAATGCGATGAATTGCTGCAATGTCATAATCAAACTTGAATGAATGAGTTGCTTCTTATGGATGAGCGAAGAAAGTGATTTCTTGAGATGGAATCTACTCCTGGCGAAGATATTGTAAACATATTTGAAATAACAACAGATAATTTGGAATATTACATCAACTTAGTTGATAAAGCAGCATCAGAGTTTGAAAGGGTTGACTCCAATGTTGAAAGAAGTTCTAAGGTGGGAAAAATGCTAGCGAAGAGCAATACTTGCTACACAGAAATCTTTCATGAATCTTTTCATGAGTCAATTCATGCACAAACTTCACTGTTGTCTTACTTTTAAGAAATTGCCAAAGCCACCCCAACCTTCGCACCTACTCTGATCAGTCAGCAGCTATCAACATCTAGCCAAGACCCTTCCCCATCCAAAAGATGATGGCTCTCTGAAGGCTCAGACGATCATCAGCATTTTTCAATTAAAGTACATACACTTTTTAGACATAAGGCTATTGCACACCTAAGAGATTATAGTAAAATGTAAACGTAATTTCCATATGTGCTAGGAGGCTTCTGAGAGGTTTCCTTCTCGGGTTCTGTAGTCTGCAAATTAAGTTACTTTCAACTCCCTGAACTGGGACCTTCTCTATTCAACATAGTAACAGTTCTAATCTTTATTTGGATTCCTTTTCTCTGTAACATGTTACTGAACTTGCCTATTTGCAGAGAGCTTAGAGGAGGGCCACATTCACCTCTTTCTTTCCTTTCTCTCGGGGATCACAGGCATGTTAGGTTATATATCTGAAAATAATTCAGAGATTATTCCCAGGCATAGCAAGCCTGTGAGGTTCCCTCCATTTTGTGCTGTGTTTTACTTATTTGTGGTGAGGGATTAATTCTAGGTCTCATTTCTCCCATGTGCACAAAGCATAGGCTTTGTGATCTAGTTTTAAATCTAAATAAAAATTCTTCTGAGCACCACTTTTTAAATTAAATTTGATGGTCTACATTACCATAGTATACCAACAGAAATTCTTAGATCCTAATACCAAATGGTGAGTTGAATTATTGCATTCAAAAGTTATTATACTAATCCCACTTAATGTAGCCTAGCAAAAGTACATAGGAATAAAAAGAGGACAGTTTAAGAGATGAATTATTTTTATGAGATAAACTTTTCAAGTTTCAAAGGTCTGTAACCTACCTAAAATATATGGAGAATGTAATTACATTTCACAGGAAATATTACATTTGAAAATAAAGCAGTACAAGAAAAAAACACCCTCCTAATTTTCTTCACATGATATCTCAAAATACATACAATTTGGTTCCTTGTATCTAACACATTTTTAGTTGAAAAGAAATGTCCTTACTTTTAGAGACCTAAAGATTTAAACAAAACACTCAGGTAAAATAATAAGCCTTCAAGAAAGAGATTTGTTGAAACGAATTGAAAAGTTACACGACCATCCAGGGCCACAGAAATTCCAGTCTGATTGTGTTTACACATACAGTTATCTGAAGCTGTAGGTCTTAACTAGGAAAGAGGGACATGGTGATTCACACACACACCAGACATCTGATGAGGTCTAGAAGCATTTTTTGGTTTTCACAAATAGGGGAAGAATTACTACTGGACATCTAGGGACAGAGAATGGCATGACTTGAAAAAACCCACAATATTTTACCCCCCAATATGCCTCTTTGAAAGACATATTAAGATAGAGACACAGAGGAAACAGTGGTTACAGGAAAGGGCTGTCTGAACGACCTTTCTTTCCTATGGGAGTCCAAAAATTTCCTCGTGAAAAAGGAGCACGGGGGCCTGTTTCCCCACTTTCCGCCTGAAAGCTAGGGGAATCTGGGAGAAAACGGTACTACTCTCCCTTTATTTGTCTACCTTTTGGAAACCATGAAGCTGTGTTTTCTTTTGTGTTGCTACTTCTGAATTTATTCTTTGTTAGATTGCTATAGAAGCCAGGACCCTAAGCCACCATCTCAAGAGATATTTTTGAACTGAGGCTTCTTCCAGGTAATGTGCATAGCACATGTTAAAAATAAAAATGTTATTTTTCTCTTGTTAATCCATCTTTTGTCACAGAGGTGTCCCAGATCTGAACTTTTTAGGGTTGCAAAAAATATATTTTTCTCCCTTTCAGAATGAAGAATTTGCAAATTAAATCATTCACCTCTGTTATTTCTATATTAGAGTGACTTTTGCCATTACAAATCATGCCATAAAAATATTTAATCGTGATATTCTCTTCAAACCACCCTACTCCTATCCTTTTTAAAAATTGTACTATTTGTACCAAGACTAGCACCCCAAAGTAATGTGTATTTCAGTATGTTAATTTATTTTAAAGGTAAAGGACACATTTTTCTAATATTTAATAATGTTTCAATGGTGGAGAAATTCATGCATCAATTATATAACTTTATGCTTATGAGTGTTATGAGATATTACATCTCAGTGGTATGAAAACTTCTCCAACCCATACAAAGAGTTAAGACAAGCTTATGTGAAATTACAGATGTCTTAGTCATGTGAACTGTTTCTGTGATGTGAAGGTTGAACATGATTATGAAGATGCAGAAATACCACAAAATTCTAGTGAGTCTGAAAATTATTAAAAATATTTTTATAACTGAATGGCATCACCTAAACCATGACCTTTTTTATATTTTCCATTCGTTGGAGTTTTTTTCTATGATCATATATTTCTGACATAATAGAAATGCATGCAAAAATAGGATTTTCTCATATCACTTAATATTCTTTATTTTTGTTGGTTACTATTTGATATGCACCCAACTTGCTTCATCTTTTTAAAATAGAATACAAATGTATTTTAAGAAGAAAACACTGCATTATAATTTAACAAAACTTGAACACAGAGTCAGTGTCCTCTTCCATTGCTCGTTTATCTTTTAATTCTTAAATGAGTTTCTTTATAAGTTTTGTATTTTCTTAACTAAGTACTTGAAAAGAAAATGTAAAGAGTAATTGTATTTGACTTCAGGTTTCCAGGGGAAAAATCAATCATCCTGCATTTAATATTTATTTACTTAGTAATTAATACTCAGAAATTCAATGTTGTCTGGACTCACAGTCATCTGGGTTTCAGTTAATTGAATATTTTTAATTAAAGTAACTGAACTCCATCCATCCAACTTTAGATATAGCCCCAAAGGCAATAGTTGATTCAATAGTTAACCAAAATTAACATTTGAAATAATGCACATACTCAATAGATTTACAAGGAGAATTAGTTCAGAACTTAATAATGGTGCCTACAATACAATGACTTGAGTTTCATACTGCTTTTTGTTGAAATTATTATTCAAATTAATTGACTTTCATATCCAAGTATCGAAAAGTAGTGACCTAATTACAAGTAAAATAATTTTTACATTGTGATTGTTAATGTTTTCAAGACACAGAAAAATCTAGAGATATGTACTTTGGTCTCTGGAGTTTTAAGTGTGTTTTATTCATTCAGAAGATGGCCTGATGGATTCTGTATACAAATCAAAGTAGTTTTTATATGCTCTAAAAGTTTATAATTTCAAATTTCTCTTGACTTACAATCTAAGTTTGCAAAAGCTGAAATGTAATTAAGAAATAAAATATGGCAGACTGTGTGGTCATTCCTGATGAATGATGTGTCTCTGCTACATGAAGTCAGTAGGAGAGCCCAGGACATGAGTTCCACTCTGGTCGTTAATCAACCTATTCACACTGTCTGGAGTTCCTGACTGTAATAATAAATGGCACATAACACATTCCCAGTTTCATATAGAAGATTAATTTTATTGAAATCTACCACCAGACCAAAAATAGATGGGATGTCTAAAAATAATTCCAAATCATAATAGTATTGGTAGTGATCTTCCTTGGTGAATAGCTGGGGCAACATTCTACATATAGAAAAGACAACGGCTTTAGTGATGAGTGTTGAAGGATGGTGTGAGGCAAGATGCATAACAACATATTTGTTATTATTTACCCAGGTAGCCCTACAATTTCAACCACATCCTTGCCAAAGCTTTGGTGACTAGAGTGCTCTGGGATCCTGAGAAGAAGAAAAGAAAATGAGACCAATATTGAGACAGGACAAATTAAATTATTGAAGATCTTCGTGTCTGATTAATTTGTTTCATGATTAGTTTTCAGAATACAGAGTTTTATGAGGAATAGACATAAGATAGGTACATTCTGAGGAAGAAAAAGAGAAGTAGACCCTAAAAATGTGGGTATATGATCTTGCTGAGGCAGTCAGGCTAGATACAGAGAAGCTCCAAGAAGGCCTAGGGCAGGGGGAGAAGATTGAGAGAGGGCTGCATGGGTGGGAAGGAAAGAGCCCTCAAAGAATGAAGAGATAATGTGTGTGGTTTCACAAAAGGTCAATCTAAGAGAAAGGAACAATCATAGTGTTCTTTCCACAGATGAAATCCAAGGTTAAAGTGGGAGAGTATGACAGGCACTTAGATGCTAATCATGAAACCAGATAAAACTTAACTTTAAAAAATATTTATTATACATATGCGCACACACACACAAAACTAATGTTTGTTTAGAATCTATTCAAGGTCACAGACTACCTCTCCAGCCTCATCTCCTGCAACAATCATCACACACACCCTCCTATGTGTGATGGCCACATGGACGAATGGACATTTCCAAGCTAACAGCACATTGCTAAGTTTCTGTGGGCAGGTGAGCAGCACAAAGTCAGGGGCAGGTTACTCTTGTCTAGGAACCTCATAAGTCCATTTCTCTCCAGGTCAATGCTGCTGCTTTTGTGAAGCTTTCACAGACTCCCTAGGATGCAATTATCTTGCCCTCTTTGCTGTAGGAGATTGGTCAGGGTGGTGGGAAAAATTATAGGGAAACACACAAACCTTCTTGGAAGGCTGGGAGGTTTTGCAAAGCTTTGGGAGAGAATAAAAGCTAAAGGCAGCGAATTCTCTTACCCTGAGGCACAGGGCAAAGGGTAGATAACAAGAGAATGTAAAGAAACTTACCTAGATAAATTGGTTTACTTATGTCTCTGGAAATCAACCTTTGATCATTCACATGTAGGAGTGCTCTGTACTCGGGGGTCGACAATGTTAATCACCCACAAACTGTGTTTGCTCTAGGCCTTTGTCATTAAATCCGTACTCAATAAATACAAACAGCTCTGGTTTATTGCGGCTGGACTCTTGTTGGTGGTGCTAAGCCATGCAGTCCCCTAGCCGCGGTCTCAGGCAAAATACTTGTGTCTGCCTACTCCTTTTATCCATTGCTCAGTCAGGGTCTGAGGGACGGACCTGGCAGGTGGTGCTCTGTGTGAGGAATGCTGCCATGGATTGTGACGGAACCCCCGAAAACAAAGGTAAAGAGACTGTGCAGTCAGTAGGTCAGTGGTACCCGCTCAGGATTTCCAAGATCAAGGGAATTGTTAAGGCTAGAGTTTCATCATGGAACAACAGTTATAAGCTCAACAGAAACAGTATATAAAAGTATTGGAACAGCTACTTAAAGCTACTGGAGCTTTGGTTTCACAGGCTCAATTAAAGGACCTAATGCAAACTGTTGTTTCCCTTAAGCCATGGTTCCTTGAAGAAGGGACAATAGACCTAGAGCTCTGGGAACAAATGCGGAGAAATCTTAACATCGTATGCAAGGGCTTCAGGTCCCAGTAACATTTTTAAAGTTGTGTGCATTAGTCAGGGCTGCTTTGGCCCTGCTCTACACAGAAGAACCTCAAAAAGGAAGGCAGGAGGAACCATCACCTACCTTACTGCCTCCTCCTCCTCCTCCCTCAGTCCTGCTGTTACAGGGCAAAAATACCAAAGAGGAAACGGAGGTTTTGCCTAAGCCCCCTCCCACAATAAATTGGAAGAAAGACAAGGGATACACTATAGCTATGGAACCCTGTCTTAGGCAAGCAGCATTAGAAGGGGAGCTCTTCGCCTGCCTGGTAATGCAAGATCGACAAGGCAATCAGGTATATGAACCCATTTCTTCTGATGCTGATAAAGAGATAAGGAAAAGCATTAGAGAAAACAGAGGCACTAGTCCACTTACAAAAGGATTAATTGAGACCATAGCAGACAACTTACATATGACCCCATGGGACTGGTCAGTGCTAGCTAAAACAACTTTAAAGGTCAGTCAATACCTCTTCCGGAGGGCAGAATTTGGTGAACTATGTGAACAGCAAACCCTTTTCTAATAATGGCCACTATTATTATCCCTCCCCTAACCCTGACATGGATCTCTCAAAATCCAATTTAGGTAGAACAGTAGCCTTTAAAGGGAAAGAAATTACAAAGAGCCCATGAATTAGTTGAGGAGCAATTAAAAGCTACCCATATAGAACCATCAAACAGCCCTTGGAATTTGCCCGTTTGCGTCATTCCCAAAAAGTCTGGTAAATGGAGACTTTTGCATAACTTACAGGCTATCAATGCAAATTTGCAACTTATATGGCCCCTTCAACAGGGGCTCCCTTCCCTCGTGGTGATTCCTTGAGATTGGCCTATAGTCATTATTGACTTAAAGGACTGCTTTTATACTATTTCCCTGGCAAAACAGGACAGAGAAAAATTTGTGCTTACAATACCAGCTATCAATAATGAAAGGCCAACTCACTGATTTCATTGGAAAGTACTTTCTCAAGGGATGCTGAAGAGTCCTACCACGTGTCAGCATCATGTAAATCAAGCTTTGATTCCCAGTAGAAAATAATTTCCTAATTGCAAATTATTCATTTTATGGATATTTTACTAGCAGCCCCAACAGAGCCAGTAGTTTTAAATTTATATACCTCTGTCAAAAGGAATACACCGTTAAGAGGTTTAATCATAGCACCTGAAAAAGTACAAATGTTCTCCTTGTAAATATCATGGATACATAATAGCTTCTCAGTCAGTTATACCCCAGAAGATTAAATTAAATACTAACAACTTATGTACCTTAAATGATTATCAAAAATTAGTATGTGATATTAACTGGCTTCACCCCACCTTAGGCATAACTACTGATAAGTTACAAAACCTGTTTTCTATCCTAAAGGGCAATACAGCCCTAGACTCTCCCAAGTATTTAACGCCTGCACCAAAAAGGGAAAATGAGGAAATAGATCAAGCTATTTCTTAGAGGCAACTAAATCACATAGACCCACAATATTTAGTGGAATTGTTTGTTTTTTTCCTACTAAACATTCCCCAGCAGGATTAATAGGACAGATGGCCCAGGGCTAGTACACCTCCTAGAATGGATTTTTTTACCCACATACTGGGACTAAAACACTATCTATCCATATATGGCTAGTTAGTAAAGTAATCTATACAGGCCACAGACAATGCAATCCGTTGCTAGGTTATGACCCTGATGTCATAAATCCCTTGAGTAAAAAAAAATTCCAAGCAGTCTTGTCCTTATCTCTGGACCTGCAGATAGCAGTATCTGATTATGCAGGCCATATAGAACATGCCCTTCCTGCTGACAAATTACTTCAGTTCTTACCTCATACTCCTGTAGTTATGCCTACAAAGGTAGTTCACTTTCCCATATCTAACACTTTAATGCTTTTTGCTGATGGCTCTAGTAAAAATGGAAAAGCAGCTATTGGTGGGAATCCCCAAGGACAGGCCATAGAACATGGCCACTCCACCCTTAATATGCTCAATATGCTCACTCGTTCTGGATTTACCTTTACTCAGAGAGCTGAGGTTGGAGCCTTAATATTGGCCCTAGAAACATTTTCTTTTCAGCCCATCAATATTGATAGTGACTCTGCTTATGCTGTTTATTTATTGCAGAACCTTGAGACAGCCCTCATTGAGTCTGCTCTGGAGCCCAACCTATATGCACTTTTTCTTCAGACTTCAGCAATTGCTGATCAATGTACATATCCTAACTTTACCACACATATTCGAACCTACAGCTCACTGCCTGGCCCACTGGCTTCTGGGAATAATCAAGCATACCTGCAGGTTATGATGTCACTGCTTGGCCAAGCCACCCAATTGCATCAATTTTTCCATCAAAATTGTAGAAATTTATCCAAACAATTTCATCTTACCTAAAGACTAGCTAAACAAATTATTTTACAATGCCCAGATTGCCAGCTCACAGGCACAGTCCCTCCTTCAACAGGTGTTAACCCTAGAGGACTAGAACCTAATCAGTTATGGCAAACAGATGTTACATACGTCCCTGAATTTAGAGAACTAAGATATGTACATATGTCCATTGAAACCAATTCCCACCTAATTAGTGTGCATGCTTTGCCTGGAGAGTCCACCCAATATGTCATTAAACATCTTCTTTCAACTTTTGCATTTATGGGATGGCCCCCAAAATTAAAACTGATAATGGTCTGGCTTGTGCCAGCTCACAATTTCAACAATTACACGTGGAACATCCAACATTCCACAGGTATCCCTTATAAACCCCAAGGACAGGCCATAGTATGTGTCCACTCCACCCTTAATAGGCTCAATATACTCAAAAAACGAAAAAGGGGGAATATGAGTAAGGACCCTGAAACACTATTGGCACAAGCCTTATTTACCCTTAAGTTTTAAAATTTGAATGATAAATTTCAATCAGCCACAGAAGTGCATTTTACCAAAGGCCCTCACAACATAAAACCTGCAGTTTTATGGAAAGATGTAAATAGTAATGTATGGTGTGGTCCAGATGATTTGCTAACATGGGGAAGAGGATATACTTGTGTTCACACCCTCTCAAGTCCTCTTTGTATTCCAGCACGATGCATCAAATCATACCATGGTGTGGCTAGGACCCAACCCAGTAGGAGAAATGAAGGGAATGACCCTACAGGACCTGCAGCCCCGGATGATGCAACTTCCTTGGATGACACGAGCCCTGGACATTACCTGGGGGATGCTGAAGATGACAACCCAGGAGGCTGAGCAAATCCTACCCTGGACACAGACACCATTCACTCCAGATAATTTGTTCCTTGCTATGCTTTCTGTTGTACATTGCAACTCTTGTAGGATATTGGCTTTTCTTATTTTCTCACTCTGGTTGCAACTGGTACCTGCTACACTCTATTAAGCCCATCTTCTAAATCTGCCTTTCTTCTGCACTGTTACCTGTGCAGATACTCCCTTCCCAGCCTCTAATAACGTAACCGCTTGGCTAGGAGGGATTGACCTACCCGCCATGGGTTTCCTTAGTAATGGCACAGATTGGACTGAGGAGCCAAGCAACACTACATATCACTCCTTGACTGGAAAAGAATGTTACGAATTATACTCATGTTTGTCTCATTATTTACTAATTCTAGGATGCAAAGCCAGAATACAAGCAGCAACCACTACACCAGACAAACCTTTTGCTGCACACATCTGTATTCTTCAATCAACAAAACCTGACACAAACAAAAAGAAAATGGGGAGATGTCAGAGATCAGTCAGCATGGTGGGAAAAATTATAGGGAAAGACCCAAACCTTCTTGGAAGGCTGGGATGTTTAGCACAGCTTCAGGACAGAATAAAAGCTGAAGGCAGCTAATTCCCTTACCCTGAAGCAGAAGGCAAATGGTAAATAACATGGGAATATAAAGATCCTTATCTAGATAAATTGGTTCACTTATGTCTCCAGAAACCAACCTCTGATCATTTGCACAGAGGACTGCTCTCTATTCGGGGGGTCAGCAGTGTTAATCACCCACAAACTGTGCTTGCTCCAGGCCTTTGCCATTAAATCTGTACTAAGTAAATACAAATAGCTCTGGCTTATTGGGGTGGCACTCTTGTCAGCAGTGCTAAGCCGTGCAGTCCCCTAGCCGCACTCTCAGGGAAAGTACCTGTGTCTGCCTACTCCTTTCATCCATCGCTCGGCCACGGTCTGTGGGACAGACCCAGCACTTTACAATTCCAACATCTGTATTGTATTTAGTTCAAAATTTACGACTTTCTTATTTGTTTCTCAGTTCATTGAAATTAAAATGTACTCTTTAGTCAGCAGGTACTGTATATATGTGTGCTGAAGTGGATCGAATGGCTCCTTGAGGCAACTTTAGAAGGGGAGTTGAACATAGGCTGTGCAAAGTTTTCATCTGCCCCATAGCTAACCATTCTTTTATTGAACTGGTAGCCTTCATCCATATCTGGTATAGACAGTCTTATACAGATCAATTTAACTTCTGTTTTTCTCAAGAAAGAAAGATATGTGTGAGCTGGTAAGTGACTTCAGAGGATTAATAAGCAGGCACTGATACAACATATAACTTAAAGAGGTAAGGATGCTTAGCATTCCCTCTGACAAGAATTCAGCACAGTTGGTCAGGTTTTCTTATTGGCTACCATTTACTGTTGCTAAACTTGTGTTAATTTCTGTCACTGGGCGAGAAGAGCTAACCTTCTTCAGGCAATGCACTTAGTTCAATACATTAGTGGTTGCTTGGTGTGTAGGCAAAAGGAGGATTGCAAAGTCAAGCCTGCAGTTAAAAATGGAAATGTAACTGTGTTGCAGTTCTTAATAATATAAATACATATTTTTATGTTTTCGCCTTTTACGATGTACATTTACACATGAATAATTGGTATTAACATTACTAATTACTAAGAGAGTTAGCTTCAATTCTTTTTATTTTAATTTTTATTTCAATAGCTTTAGGGATACAAGTGGCTTTTGGTTGCATGGATGAATTGTGTAGCCGTGAAGTCTGGGATTTTAGTGCACCTATCACCTAAATACCGTACCTTGTACTCAATAGTTTTCCATCCCTCACCTTCTCCTGCCCAGCCTCCTTCATGAGCCTCCAGTGCCCATGATACCACTCTGTATGCCTTAGCATACCCACAGTTTAATTTCCACCTGTAAGTGAGAACATGTAATGTTTGGTTTTCAATTCCTGAGTTACTTCACTTAGAATAAAAGCCTCCAGCTCCATCCAAATTGTGCAAAAGACACTTTTGTTCTTTTCTTATGGCTTAGTTGTATTCCATAGTATATTTATATGGATATATACCACCTTTTCTTTATTCACTCATTGGTTGATAGGAATTTAGGTTGGTTCCATATCTTTTAAGTTGTAAACTGTGCTGCAGTAGAGGGATTACCAAGCATATATCTAATTTACATACACATAAAAGTTTCTTTTCCATATAATGACTTATTTTCCTTTGGGTAGATAGCCAGCAGTGGGATCTCTGGATTGAATGGTAAATCTATTCTTACTTGAGAAATCTCCATACTGTTTTCAATAGAAGTTGTACTAATTTACATTCCCACCAACAGTGCATAAGTGTTTTTTTTTTTTTTTTTTTTTTTTTTACTATATCCATGCTAATATCTACTTTTTTCTTTTTAATAAAAAGTACCCTTACCCATTCTGGCTGAGGTAAGATGGTATCTCATAGTAGTTTCAATTGCATTTTACTCAGGAGTAGTAATATTGAGCATTCTTAAAAATGTGTTTGTTGGCTATTTGTATATCTTCTTTTGAGAAATGTCTGTTCATATCACTTGCTCAATTTTTGATGGGATTATTTTTTTCTTCCTTGCTGGTTTGTTTGAATTCCTTGTAGATTCTTGATATCAGTCCTTTATTAGGTGCATAATTTGCAAATATTTTCTCCCATTCTGTAGGTTGCCTATTTACTGATAATTAAATCTTTTTTCTCCCAAAAGGTTTGTCACATTTAAAGTACAAAATCAAATACACAGAACCAGATATGTGAACCATATATACATATCTATAAAGCCATTATTTAGACCTATGCAAACCTATATGTATATATACTAATTTATCATCAGCGCTATCCCTTAAGTAAAAAGCAACATATCTCTTAAAAAAAACCTAGGTTTGTTATCAGTGAAACTGTCGAATGTAAATTATTTCCACTTTATCACTTGAAAGGGTAGAAATAGGTACCTCCTAGAAACAGGGGAATTACCAAGCATATATCAAGTTTGTATACATTTCTTAAAATATATTCTATATGAATAATTAACCAAAGAGACTGCCAATCAAATTCTTTGGGCATACTAACTCTAACAAAACTTGAGTCATGGGAAGACATAGAGTTAATTAATTGCATTCCAAGAGTTTTGTTTTGATTTTGGTTTTAAATGCAGAGGGACTTTATTTTGTTTAGTAACACAGAGCACTTCCAAGTCATATTTCACATGGAGTTATAGTGATAAATTTTTCAGGGGTTACGTATAGCTATTAAAAATTAAACTGATCAATAATGGAGGTATCTGGTTTTTAAAACTGTGTAGGTTATTTAAAGCAAAATGCAAGAGCACATCCTTTAAGAGAAAGGCAGAAATTTTAGACTTCTAGATACAGAATGTACGACATCACTGAATACAGAGATGCCCTGCTGATCAGGGGGACTAAGTTGTAACAGCTTCTTTGTTCTAGGATGTCATCTATCTTACATGCAGACCACAAGATACTAAGCCTCAGGTACCGAAATATCTCCATTCCAGGCACAGGATTTCATTAGTGCCTGCTCCCACAACTAGGAACACATACATATAGAGATATGGGTCATTACCAAAGATTTATATTAGTGGCTTCACAAGAGCAACACAAAAGGTACTCATTGTCTCATTTCCATATGAACGGTTATATATATACCATACACTTCAGCCTTGAAATGTAGACCCCCCCACTAAAATTCAATTTTCAGTAATCAATGAATTTGATGAGAGTCCCGCACCTTCAAATCCTCATTTAGCACAGCAAAAGCCCCTCCTTGGTTGCCAAGCACTGGTGGTGAACTTTGTCTTCAGCTCTTCATGATTTGGATGCCAGACTTTCATGATAATCCTTTCAATGTTAACGGCATAGACAGTATGTGTAGGTATGACTTCCCTGTGTACCCGCAGAGCTTCAAAAAGTTCATACATGTTCGCTGCAGATAAAGATGCAGATAGAGTGTCTCCAGAGCATGCCAGAAGGAATGCAGCCTGCTGCTCGGCTTCATCAGGAGGTGGGTGAGAAGCCGGATTCTGACCAGCACAGGGAGCAGTAAAAGCTTGAGGGCTTTATATTAAGTTGTTCTAAGCTACTACATTATTCTTCAGGTATGGCTGTGGGGTCAAATTACTGCCAAAGGCATATTTAAAATGGTCATCTCGTAACCGATAAGCTTTCCTTCTTGACACAACTGATGTCAGTATATCTTTAGGATGATTCTCCACAGCATAGACAAGAGCTGAAATAGCCTCCTCGGTGACATTGTCCAGCCCATGCTCATAAGCAGTCACTGTCATTCTCCCTTCAAGCCAGCCTTGAATGAGAAGCATCATGGTGTGGGAACAAAGTTTCAAATCATCATCATCTTGGGGATCTTTTGCCACAAATTACTGGGCTCTTGAGAAAGGACTGTGAGGCTGAAATCTATGATCAAATTTCTGACAGAAGAAAGCTTTTTCTTTCCATTGGGCTTTCCAGGTTTTGCTGCAGAACCCCCCATCCAGGGCAAAGATCCAGCACCCTCTGATGTAGAAACCAAAATCTGACAATGCGTGAGAATGGCCAGGAGGAAATCATTGTGAGGATGCATATTATCCTATGTAAGAAACCTATGAGTTTCAAGGTCAAAGTCCTCTTTCCTGATCTTCCGCTTGAACCACAGCTTAAGTTAGCCCAGTATTGATTCACGTTGTCCCCCAGGGCCTCACTGAAGTTCTTCTTGGCCACCTCCAGCTCACTCACAAAGGTCGCCATTGCTCCATTCGTTGATAATTAAATCTTTGGCTGTGCAGACATGTTTAGTTTAATTAGGTCCCATTTATTTATGTTTTTGTTGAATTTGCTTTGGGGTTCTCAGTCAAATTATTTGCCTAGGCCAATGTCCAGAAAAGTTTTTCCTAGGAATTTTTTTGAGAATTTTTATGGCTTCAGGTCTTAAATTTAACATTTTCATCCACATTGAGATAATTTTTATATATGGTGAGAGTCACGAATATAGTTCATTCTTCCCCTTGTGGCTCTTCAATTTTCCCAGCACCGTATCTTGAGGGTGTCATTTCCCCAGTGTATGTTTTTGTCTGCTGTGTCAAAGATCAGTTGGTTGTAAATATTTGGCTTTATTTCTGGGTTCTCTATTCTGCTCCATTGGTCTAGGTATTTACTTTTATACCAGTGCCATAGTGTTTTGGTTAGTATAGCCTTGTAGTATAATTTGAAGTTGGGTAATTTGATGCCTCCAACTTTTTTTTTTGTTTTTCATTTTGCTTAGGATTGCTTTGGCTCTTTGGGCTCTTTTTTGGTTCTATTTGAATTTTAGGAATTTTTCTAATTTTGTAAAAAATTGCATTGATCAGACTGCATGACAAAGTGAGACTCCATCTCAAAAAGAAATTATATTGATATTTTGATAGGAATTGCATTGAATTCGTACATTGTTTTAGGCCATACAGATGGTTATTTTCACAATACTGATTCTTCTTACCCATGAGCCTGGGATGTATTTCCATTTGTTGTGTCAAAAATGATTTCTTTCAGCAGTGTTTTGTAATTTTCCTTGTATAGCTCTCTCAACTCCTTGGTTATTTCTAGGTATTTTTGTTGTAAAAAAATTACCTTAAAATATTTAATTTAGAAACACTGAGCTGAAAATGGAAATACATAAACCAAGACATATGCTGTACAGTTTTTCTTAAGTTAGATAAATGATACATTTTACTAACTCAGATGGTTATTCACATATGTAAATAATTTATGAATTTAGTTTCAAAGTACTTTAAAAATATTTTATTGTGATATCAGTAAAATTCCTAATTATTAAGTGGACATTTAGATGAATTTTAATAAACATTTTCACTCAGGTGACAAAACATGTGTCAAGATATAGTCCATTTCTACCACTTCTAAATATTTTCTAATTTCTTTTTCTAGTCACTACCAGTGCATAAGCAACTCTATTTGATTTGTTAATACAGATTAGTTTCATCTATGTTTTGTTTTATCCAACAAAAGTTATTTGCAGTTTATCTATGTGTTTTCATGTCTTATAAACTTATTGCTTTTCTTTTGCTAAATAGTATAAATGTAGAAACTTGGGTTATTCTCCTGTTGATGGGTGATATAGTTTGGCTGTGTCCCCACCCAAATCTTACCTTGAATTGTAGTTCCCATAATCCCCACATGTGGAAGGAACCAGGTGGAGATAATTAAATCACAGGGGTGGTTTCCCCCATCTGGTTCTTACAATAGTGAGTTAGTTTTCATGAGATCTGATGGTTTTATAAGGTACTTTTTCCTTCACTGGGCACTCATTGTCTCTCCTGCCACCCTGTGTAAGAGGGGCCTTTGCCATGATAGTAAGTTTCTTGAGGCCTGCCCAGCCATGCAGAACTGTGAGTCAATTAAACCTTTTTCCTTTATAAATTACCCAGTTGGGGGCATTTCTTCATAGCAGCATGAGAATGGACTAAGGCAGTAAATTGGTCCTGGGAGTCGGGCACTGCTATAAAGATACCTGAAAATGTGGAAGTGACTTTAGAACTGAGTAACAGGAAGAGGTTGGATCAGTTTAGAGGACTCAAAAGAAAACAGGAAAATGTGGAAAAGTCTGAAACTTCCTACAGATTTCTTCAATGGCTTTGACCATTTAATGCTGATAGTGATATGGACAATGAAGTCCAGGCTGAGGTGGTCTAGGATGGAGATGAGGAAATTGTTGGGAATTGGAATAAAGATAACTGTTGCCATGTTTCAGCAGAGACTGGTGGCATTTTGCCCCTGACCTACAAAACTGTGGAACTTTAAACTTGAGAGAAATGATTTAGGGTATCAGGTGGAAGAAATTTCTAAGCAGCAAAGCATTCATGATGTAACTTGACTGCTGTTAAAAGCATTCAGTTTTATATATTCACAAAGACATGGTTTATAATTAAAACTTACATCCAAAAGGGAAACAAAGCATAAAAGTTTAGAAAACTTGCCACCTGAGATGTGATAAAAAACAATAAAGGAGAAATTCAACCTGGCTGCAGAAAGTTGCATAAGTAACAAAAGCCAAGGCAATGGAGAAAATCTCTCCTTCAAGGCAGATCCTCGCATCACAGGCCCAGAGGCCTAGGAGGAAAAACTGGTCGTGCAGGCTGGACCCAGGCTTCCCTGCTCTATGCAGCCTTGGGACATGGTACCCTGAGTTCCAGATGTGGCTCAAAAGGGCCAATACAGAGCTCAGGTCATTGCTTCAGAGGGTGTAAGCCCCAGGCCTTGGTCACTTACCTGTGGTATTGGGCCTGTGGGTGTACAAAAGTCAAAAATTGAGGTTTGGGAATCTCCACCTAGATTTCACAGGATGTATGGAAATATCTGGATGTCCAGGCAGAAGTCTTTTGCAAGGGCAGAGCCCTAATGGAGAATCTCTGCTAGTGGAGCATGGAAGGAAAATGTGGGGTTGGAGCCCCAACACAGAGTACCCACTGGGGACTGCCCACTAGTGGAACTGTGAAAAGAGAGTCACTGTCCTCCAAATCCCAGAATGGTAGATCCACCAACATCTTGCACCTTGTTCCTGGTAAAGCCACATACACTCAATGTCAGCTTGTACAAGTAGCTGAGAGTGGGGCTGTACCATGCAAAGCCATAGGGGCCGAGCTGCCCACCACCATGTGAGCCTACGTTTTGCATCAACATAACCTGGATGTGAGACATGAAGTCAAAGATCATTTTTGAGCTTTCAGATTTAATGACTGCCCTATTAGGTTTTGGACTTGCAATAGGTCCAGCAGCCCCTCTGTCCTAGACAATTTCTCTTACTTGGAATGGGTATTTTTATCCAATGCCTGTACCCCATTGTATCTAGGAAGCAACCAACTTGCTTTTGATTTTGCAGGCTTATAAGTGGAAGGAACTTTCCTTGTCCCCCTGAGATGAGACTTTGGACTTGGATTTTGAGTTAATGCTGGAATGAGTTAAGATTTTGGGGAACTGTTGGCAGGACATAATTGTGTTTTAAAGTGTAAGGACCTGAGATTTGGAAGCAGTCAGGGTAGAACGATATGGTTTGACCGTGTCCCTGCCCAAATCTCATATTGCATTGTAGTTCCTATAATCCCATGTTGTGGGAGGGATGAGGTGGACATAAATGAATCACAGGGATAGTTTCCCCCATCCTATTCTCGTAATAGTGAGTTACTTTTCATGAGATCTGATGGTTTTATAGGGGCTTTCTCCTTCCCTGGGCAGTCATTCTCTCTCCTGCCACCTGTGAAGAAGTGCCTTCTGCCATGATTGTAAGCTTTCCTGAGGCCTCCCCAGCCATGTAGAACTGTGAATCAATTAAATCTTTTTTCTTTATAAATTACCCAATCTTGGGTATTTCTTCATAACTGCATGAGAATGAACTAATACAATGAATATATGGACTGTTTTCAGTATAAGATACAATGATAAAGTGGCTGGGTGCAGTGCCTTATGCCTGTAATCCCAGCACTTTGGGAGGCCAAGGCAGGAGGATCACCTGAGGTCAGGAGTTTGAGACCAGCCTGGTCAACACGGCAAAACTCCGTCTCTACTAAAAGTCCAAAAGTTAGCCAGGCATGGTGGTGGTTGTCTGTAATCCCAGCTACTCAGGAGGCTGAGGCTCCTGAGAGTCACTTGAACCCGGGAGGTGGAGGTTGCAGTGAGCCAAGATTGCGCCACTACACTCCAGCCTGGGTGACAAGAGCAAGACTCCATCTCAAAAAAAAAAAAAAAGAAAATGATACAATGAAAAAAGTTCTGTGGACATGTGTGCACAAGCCACAAGTCTTTTTGTAGGCTTGTGCACAAATGCTCTTATTTTTCTTGGGTGAAGAACTCAGAGTAGAATTATTGGATTAGAGGGAAATTTAAAATCTTCCAGGGTTTTCCAAAGGATTTACAAGAGCTTACATTTGCATGAACAATTGAGGAGGGTTTCTGGTTGCTCTTTATCCTCACCAACACTTTGACATAGACAATTGACATTGTCTATGTCAATCTTTTTCATTTGGCCATTTTTAGCTATGAATAATTGCATTTTTGTTTTACTTTTTATTTCTTTGATGAACAATAATGTTGAGCACCTTTACTATGTCTGCTCAAAGGTTTGTCAAGTTTTAATGGAGTGTGTGTCCTTTTACTATCAGTCTGCTGGATTTATATGTATATTCTTGTTTAGGTATAGCTATTGACAATATTTCCTCCCAGGTAATAATTTGCCTTGTTATTCTCTTAGTGATATTATTTGATAAGGAAAAGGTGCTCTTTTCATTTTGAAGAAGTCCAGTTTGTCATCTTTTCTTCCATGATTAGTACTCTTTGTGTCTTACATATTTGCTAACTCTGAAGAATATCAAAGGTATTCTCACATAATATTTTCTGTAAGTCCTGTATTTAAGTCCTATGACTCATCTTGAATAAATTCTTATACAGCTATGAGGTTAGGGTCAGGGTTAATTTCTTCCCGTATGAATTTCTAGCTCTTCTTGCACTGTCTGCTGAAATGATTTCCTTTCCTCCTGCAACTGCATGAATGCATTTGTTGAAAATCGATGGACTTTATATGTGTCGATCTATATTGGTCCTATTGCCTTCCATTGATCTTCTTGTCTATCTTGATACTAATGTAACACTGTCATGATTACTGTTGCTTTATTTTAATTTTTGAAATTAGTGATCTGTCAAATTTATTCTTTAAGAATGTCTTGACTGTTCCAGGTCTTTGCATTTTCATATACAGTACAGTATCACCTTTGTACTTTTTATGAATTTTTTTGGAATTTTGTTTTGGCTTCCCGAAGCTTCATACAATTATTTGTAGATAATTGATATCTGTACAATATTCAGTCCTACAATTTACAAACATGACAAAACCATTTATTTAGGTGTTGTAAAAAATTCTTAGCAATTACTTATTTCATTTCCAATGTATAGATTGTAAACAAGTTTTGTCAAATTTGGTATTTGGTATTTCTGATTCATTGTAAGATGTATTTTAAAATTTCATTTTCTAATTGTCACTAGAGTATAGACATACAATGTTTTCATATTGTGATTGTATCACATTTACATATAGTAATTTCCACTGGGAATTTGACTGTTCCTATGGATTTTGCAACTACCAAATCATATCTTCTGCAGCTTTCTTCTTTTTCTCAGGTTTATGCCTTTTACTTTTTCCTTGCCTTACTACATCAGCTGTGATGACCAGTTCAATGTTTAGCAGAAGTTCCACACATTATATGGAAAGTAAACATCAATATAATGTTTTTGATTTGGGAAGAGAGTGCTCAATATTTCAACCAGAAATTTGATATTACTGGTAGGTATTTAATTGATGCAGCTTATCAACAAATTTTTTTTCTATTTTTTGGAAAATGTTTGTTTTAACCCTGAAAGATCATTAAATTTCATTAAATTAGCTTTTCACCACTACTGAAATTAGTATAAAATTTTCTGCTTTGATTTTGTTTTTTATAAAAGAAAAGATTGTAAAAGCTGTCCCAGCTTAAGCTTTCTATTTTGGGTTGTATTAACCAGATATTTCTCTTTTCCTGTAACACTCAATGTGCTTAAAAATTACAGTCATACTTATTTTCAGAAATGCAAGTTTTACTGTGCTTACTTTTATCAGCTCTATCATTTGAGTCATCAGGAATGCACTAGGAGTTAATACCTTAATATTTGATCAAAGACCCTAACAGGATTTAGCCAATCTTGAACTTAAAATTCACAGTCATCCGAACTGCCAAATATACCTAAGATTCTGACCCCAGCTGCAATTTCAGGGGTCTCCAGGCCCACCTTCACTTCAGGCCAGTTGGCTGCAAATGTTGACATCTTCATAAACGTCTTCATTTTTGGTAGTTGAATAAAATGACTCACAGAACTTCAGAAAGTGCTATACTTATACTTACAATTTTATATCAGGAGGAAGATATAAATCATAAGCAGTCAAAGGAAGAAACCCACAGGGTAGAACCTGAGACTAGGAGGGTTCTAAACATGGATCTCCTGTTTCCTCAGTCATGCATTACCCTCCTGACATTGTTGCGTGGCAACGGTCACATGGAGTACACCAGGCCAGGACACTCAGGTGAGCTCCAGTGTCCAGCATTTGTAATCGGGTCTTACTGGGTTGATGCGGCTGATTGGATCACTGCCCACGTGGTTGAACTCAAACTCCAGTGCTTTCACCTCCCCAGAATCCAGGCTGATGTCGCCTTACAGGGATCAAAGTCCAACCCTCCAGTCACATGAATGGTCTTTCTGGTGTGGCCCGACTCCACCCTGGGACCACTGCAGTAGCCAGTCTCAGTCCTAGTCATGGGTCATCTTATTAGCATAACCTGTCAGCTGTGGTCCAGGATTCTTCCATGAGTATAAAGGTACTCCTATCACTCTTGAAATCTCAAGGTTTAGAAGTTCCCTCCCAGGAACTGACATCAAAGGCTAGCCAATTCTTTACTACACAGAGGAAATAGTTAATTTTATCATTTTTATCAGACGGTCAACATATCACTAAAATAAACATCTGATTTTAATTTATCTTCATCCATGTATGTCTTCCTCTAAATATCCAGCTCTGTCATAGTTACTTATGGTGAGCAAAGCAGTGCCCATTAACAACAAACATGAAGAAACATAGGGGGACTTTTTTGCTGTCATTTGAGTGACATGAAAGTCTTCTATTAATTTTCTTGAATTTTGATGATGTTAACTCATTTAGGAGTTTAGAGTTATAGTATTTATACCTAGAAAGGCTCACAGAACGGATATAATTTTATTTTTCACTATTGACTATCACACAGCTTTTTGCTTTTTTTCACTGACTTTGACTTTTTCTTTTGAAAACAGTATGTATATCAAAATAGCCTAACAAGTAATAACAAATTATAAGGTTTCAAAATATTCATTGGATACCTGAACATTTTAATCAGATATTATATTTAACATATGTAACATTTTTAACATGTTATATTATTGTGTTTAACATGATATAAACAGAAATAAAAACATATATTATAGTTTGAACCAATTACTGGGAAATAGATATGCAATATCTATTTGGCTTTTTGAAATACTGAAGTTAAATTTCATTTCCTAATTCATTAAATTTGAGAAGCCAGACTTCAAAACCTCGAATGTAATCTAAATTCCTCACCTTGCACATGAGGGAACCGAATCTAAATGAAGTGAAAATAATTTTCTTAAGATTTTAGAAATGTTTAAAAGTAAATTAATTAAAGGTTCTTAATCAATGTAATTACTCAAGCAAGAAAGAAGTTATCCAATATTTTTATTCAGACTTTACAGTAAATGTTTTATGTATAAGAAATACATACTTACATTTATACTTGGAAAGGATACCTTGGTCATATTTAAAGAGAGTTATTACTGTACTTAAGAAGACAGTGTGCTGCAATAATCTAGGTGAGAAACACGTAAATCAGTTTAAGGCTCAGAGTGAGAGAAGGAATGACAACCGTAAGAGTGTGATGTCGTGAAAAGCAATGCCAGATAATACTTTTAAAAGAAAATAGTGATTAACAAGGATGAATGCAGGAGAAAAACATAATTCAACATCAAGAAATATAATTGCTGAAACATTTCTCACTGCATTCGATATCACTGTGTGTGATGGCAGAAACCAGTACAG
The DNA here is from genome assembly GCF_000001405.40 of Homo sapiens. Lineage (NCBI taxonomy): Eukaryota > Metazoa > Chordata > Mammalia > Primates > Hominidae > Homo > Homo sapiens. The sequence continues at coordinate 5,840,784 of NC_000008.11, read as the reverse complement.
TGTTGGAGAAAATTTAGGTTATAATGGGAAAAGACATGAATGGGAGGTTGAAAAAATAATAATAATGGTGAAATAAGTGCAAACAACTTTCTCAAAAGATTTGCTATGAATGGGTTGGAGATCTAAGATAGAAGTTAGAAGTAATTGTACAGTTCAAAATTCTGGCTGTTGTTGATTTTAGGATCAAATAGTGTTGACCTTATTTAAATGCTGGTGTAAAGGAGTCAGTAAAATAAAAACTTAAAAATATAGGATAGGAAGAGTGAATGAACAAGTTATCTATAGCAGACCAGATGTGATGGAATCGAGGGAGTTAAACCTCATTACACCCACATCCTAACACGCTGGCATAACTTCCTAGATGTGTTCACTAAATATGTCTTCTAGTCCTGTTTACAAGTATTTTTAAAACAATTCTACAGATTTTGCTCCTATGGTGGTATTATCATTTATCCTTCTTTATTCTTTGCTTTTGGCACTCTGTGATAGAATCTTCCAGTGGATTTCAATAGTGAAATATTTGATACAAGTGAAATAATAAATGCTACTAAAATAATATAGTGGTATGACTGCTGAAATGAACTGTGTTTCTAAGGCTATGAAGGAATACCATGGGCATTCACAACAAAGAATAAGTTTATCCTGGACGTCTGTTTATGGTCACAGAAAATTGCTGATTGCAGCCAATTCCTCCTACACTGATGGGCTGATTGGCCACCCTTCCAAGCTCCTCTCCATCTCTTTCAGTCTTGGTTTCTATGTCAAGGCTAAACTTCCTTGATACTGAAGATTTCATGGCCCCAAATTTCAGCTTATTCATTATTGTGACCTCTTTTATGGAAAAAAAACAACAACTATATATCAGTCACAATCTTTTAAATAAACTTTTTTTTTCCTAAGAAAAAGAAGAGTAAGGTTAACATGAGGATAGTTTATAGCAAAACAAACAGAGCCACACACTGATGCTTCTACAATTTGATTGGCCAACAGACATTTGAATGAGGATTTGATGTTGGCAAGGACCAGGTATTTCAACAGACTGTGTAATGCAGTGGCTAAAAGCTGGGTCTATGGAATCAGATAGCTGGACTCAGATCTCTCTCACCACTTACAAACACTCTGATGGTGAACAATTTGCCTAGTCCCCGGGCTTCAGTTTTTTCCTCCGATAACCGGCATGACAGCAGTGCTTAACTTACAGAAAATTGTTTTGTAAATTAAAAGTGAACATGCAATAAAGGAGTGGACACATTCCTTAGTATATGAATACTCATTAGAGATGAGATATGATGTTGATGATGATTACAAGAAGAATAATGATTTTGTATAATATCAAGTTAAAATTAAACCATTTAAAAAGATTTTAGTAGACACGTGAATTATAAACACATTTGCAAAAGCAACTTCGAATGTGACAAAGAAAATTTTTCCACTAGTTACTTTCAAAAAACCATTTTTACGACATTTTTTAAATAAGTAATTACACATTCAGGTAATTTCAGTAGAATGCAAAGTACAGAAGATAACATAGGATCAAACTATGTAGAATAATAGTAGTTAAAGAAGTCAACTGCGCTATAAGTGGGGAATGACAAAGTTTTAAAATATTTTTATAAACTTCCTTATTTAGCATCATGAAGGATGGAAAAAAGATTAACATTTATAAATAACATTAAGTAGTCTTTGAAATATATTTAATGGGCCTCTATATAATAGAAATATACTACAGGCAACACACAAACCATTTAAGTTTCTATTTTGTTAGATATCACAAATAAGCCATTTAAATTATATAATGATCTCGCTTTAAAAAAATAAAGTCTAGAAGGATTTAATAAATGTATTTCAGTATTGTCAGCAATCAGAATTTATGAATCAGGTGATTTTACACATATTTACACATATTTTATTATGTATTTAGCTTGAAGGGAAGTTATGGCTAAGTCTTCTTGACCCAGTTGAATTTTACCACATTCAATGTTTGCTGGAAATCATTTTTTACTAACCCAGATAAAACCCCTCACCTTACGCAAAACTATAAGAAAAATAATTTGAAAAACCAAAGATAAATAGGAGTAAAATATATATCTTTAGATTCATTAATATCTTACTGGATTCTGCAAAGAAAGTTATGATACTAAGAATCTTGGTGCTTTTTCTAAACTAAAACCCCTCCATTTAATCTCTTTCAAAGATGATATTGAAACAAAATATCACCTTAGAAAGGGACTAATTGAACGTTTCAAAATATAAAACACTGTAAGAATATGATTGCAAATTAATTTTTAATAAAAGGTTTCAAGCATTTCCTTTAAATTAGAAAGGTCAAGAGTGTTGTATTAGTTTCTTATCGTTATACACACACACAGACAGACACACGCACGCACGCACAGACGTTTGAGCTCGTATGAATGTAAGGTGGCAAATCTGAAATCCCCAGGGCAAACCAGCAGATTGGAAATTCAGGTGAGAAATGATGTGGTCTCAAGTCCCAAGAATGGAAACTCAGGTGGGATTTCCATGCTGTGGTCTGGAGGTTCAACTCCTTCTTTTGCGGGAAATGTCAGTCTGCTAAGGAGTTCAACTAAAGGCTTACCTGTGTTATGGAAGAGAATGTGCTTTGTTTAAAGTCAACTCATTTTAAGTGTTAATCACATTTTAAAAATACCTTCACAGCAACATCTAGACTAGTGCTTGACCAAACAACTGGGCACATGGCCTTGCCAAGTTTTCACATAAAGTTAACCATAACAGAAGCCTCTTCTCATAAAATTATGAAAATCAGTAAGAGAGATGGAAAACACATTGCATGTTAGTATAAAGAAATTCAAAATATCTCACAGGTTATTACACTAATAAGATAATTTAGTAGTCACTGAATTATTTAAAAAATCGACTGCATTTCCATCCTCTGGAAGCTAGTTTAGCAAGAGACTTATACAAAGCTCTCTCAGTTCTCAATAGATAAGACTAGCAAAAAGTCACTGAAATTACAGAAACTAAAATGAAATATTAACAAGCTTGACATAAAACCTACTTTGTATTATGGTTTATGAACTGTATTTTTGGTATGAATTATAAAATATATCAGAATTGTGTTATCATAAATCCTTTATTTTTGGATAATAGAAATGCTGCATTAATCAAACTTGTTTATTTGTCGCCTTTGTATTTGTAAATATATGTCTGTAGAATAAATTCCTAGAAGAGGGATCATTGTGCTGAAGGATAAATACATTCTTTATTTCATTTTTTTTTTTTTTTTTTTTTTTTTTGAGACAGAGTCTCACTCTGTCACCCAGGCTGGAGTGTAGTGGTGCAAGCCCAGCTCACTGCCTGCTGGGTTCAAGCAATTCTCCTGCCTCAGCCTCCCAAGTAGCTGGGATTATATGCACATGCTACCCCACCCAGCTAATTTTTGTATTTTTAGTAGAGATGGGGTTTCAACATGTTGGCCAGACTAGTCCTGAACTCCTGACCTCAAATGGTCCATCTGCCTTGTCTCCAAAGTGCTGGGATTTCCGGTGTGAAATCCAGCCCAGCCTATTTCCATTAATATTAATGAATTTCTTCACATATGCTATGGAAAATTTTGCACTCCCAAGGCAAATGCAGAAGAGTGCTTACTTCTCTGGACCCCTGATAACAGTGTCCATTGTCAAATTTTCAATTTTTGTTAATTCAATAGTTGGAAAACAGGAGTTCATTGTAGTTTCAATAGGGATTTCTGACATCCAGAATATAAGCAAATTTTCATATATTTAAGCAACATTTTCTTTGTAAAATAGTTGCTTAGGCTTATTGCCATTTTTTCTATAATATTTTTCTCTTTCACTTCTTTATATCTAAAAGGCATTAATACACATTAAGAAGATGAGACATTTATGTATAAGCTGGTACATATCCCTAGTTTGTACTATGGTTTTAGACTTTGCATATGGTATTTTTGTGAATCCTAGCTCTTAATCTTTTTTGTATATTGTGAAATTACTTTTTTTTTTTTTTTTTTGAGATGGATTCTCAATCTATCACCCAGGCTTCAGTGCAGTGGCACGATCTTGGCTCACTAAAACCTCTGCCTCCCGGGCTCATACAATTCTCCTGCCTCAGCCTCCCAAGTAGCTGGGACTACAGATGCCCACCACCATGCCTGGCTAATTTCTTGTATTTTAGTAGAGACGAGGATTCACCATGTTGCCCAGGCTGGTCGCGAACTCCTGAGCTCAGGCAATCAGCCCGCCTTGGCCTCCCAAAGTGCTGGGATTATAGGCGTGAGGCACTGTGCCCAGCCAAAATTATACATTTTTTTTTTTAACACCACTTACTTTTTAAAATTATTATTATACTTTAAGTTTTAGGGTACATGTGCACAACGTGCAGGTTAGTTACATATGTATACATGTGCCATGTTGGTGTGCTGCACCCATTAACTCGTCATTTAACATTAGGTATATCTCCTAATGCTATCCCTCCCCACTCCCCCCACCCCACAACAGGCCCCGGTGTGTGATATTCCCCTTCCTGTGTCCATGTGTTCTCACTGTTCAATTCCCAGCAATGAGTGAGAACATGCGGTGTTTGGTTTTTTGTCCTTGCGATAGTTTGCTGAGAATGACGGTTTCCAGCTTCACCCACTTACGTTTTTATACTTCAAAAAGCCTTTGCCACTTTGCCATTATACAATAATTAGCCCATATTAACTTACAGCAAATTTTTATTTTTACATTTAAATCTTTGTATGAATTAGAATACACATTTTGATCTGGTCTTATTTTGCTATGTCAGATGGATATCCCATTGCATGAAATGACGTTCCTGCTGATATAAATAAAAGGTTGATAAATAACTGGAGGAAAAAGACAACCCTTCCTTACAAAAGAATTCTAAATCATATTGTTAAAACAACTCCCTCTTGGAGGTGGAGTTCAAATCCCCTCCTTCGAATATGGCTTATACTTGGTGACTTATTTTCAAAGAATGCGGTATGGCAAGGGAAACACTGACTTTACAATAGAGAAATTGTAAACTTGATACAACGTGATCAGAGGGGACTTCAGCTCTGAGGTCTCCTGCTGCAAAACTCCTGTCTCCTTATGAGAAAGGCATCAGGCACACCTGAATGGAGGAAAATTGTATAGACCTAGCCAATGTCCCTCCAAATTGTTTAAAAAAAATAAAAAAAAGAGAAACAAGAAGACTGACACTATTACAAACCAGGTAAGACTAAGCAGATAGGATGACTGAATACAATGTGGTAGCCAGAATTGTATTTTGGAACAGAAAGAATATTAGTGGAAAAACTGGTAAAATGTAAATAAAGTCTGGAGTTCTGTTAATAGAAATATACCAATGTTGATTTATCGGTTTGGATGACTGTACCACAGTAACGCGGGATGATGGCATTAAAAGAGACAAACTTGTGAGGAGTATACAGATACCTGAACTAAACCCAGTTTCTCTTTCTCCTCCTTTGTTGAGAAAGCACTTTTACCACATTCTAAAATACTGTATTTGTTCAAGTTTACTTTGATAGTTTTCAGTATATTTGGTTTCATAGCTTCATCTGTGTGTTCGTGGAAGAGTGCCAAACTGTTAGAGACTTCATGATACGTTGCGCTATCATAGGAGATAGGATAGTAACTTCACTACTTTTCACTTTGTTCCCTTTTATGTTGCATGCATGTTGTTTTCATTTCATATGACTTTTAGATTCTACTTGTCTAGTTCCAAGCAATAAAACTATTGATATTTCTATAATGGTTTATATTTATAAACATAATTAAGGATAATTATCATTTAATAAAATATTAAGAATACCTACTCAAGAACAGATATATGTTTCCATGTGTGTAGGTCAACTTTCAGGTTCCAAGAGTGTCAAATGTTTTCTTCATATAGTTGTGCACAGTTTTATTAACTATATTTCTATTTGTTTTTATGTTATTGCTATTTTTCTTTCATTATGTATTCCAAAGTGTTACTGAAGTATGATTTCTATGATATATTTATATATTGATATATGTGTTTCATATTTTACTATCTTTTGTGTTCTCTTATTGTTTCTAGTAGATTATTGGTTATTTTTGTGTCTCCCAGAGTATAGCCATGTTATAAAAAAAAAGTATTATCTATTTCTTCCTAATTATTATGCCTCTATGTTATTTCTCTTGGATAATATATTTGAGGATATTTTCATTACAGTTAAAAATCTTATTGTTATCGGGGGCGGTTTATCTATTCCATGGCTTTAGTAGTTATAAATCCCTCATTTTGCTGGATGTATGTGTTACATCTATGATAAATCTTTGCTCTCAAGGGCGCATGCATATGCATATGTATTTAAGGTATTTTATTGAGTGTTCTTTTTTTTTTAATCAAGAGCATCATCACTTGAAACTTTTCAAATGCCTTTTCAGCACCCATGGAGGCGGTAACTGATTTTTCTCTTCAGATCTATGAATAAAAGTGCATCTAATATCTTTTGTGCAGCACTTCACATCCCCTTGGCCTGTCCTTGTGCTTGCCACGGCTCCACTGACCAATTGCAGCAGGTTTCACTGAGCTTTGCACTGGTGAAACTGACAGGGGCAGGCCATGGCCCCATGTAGTGAAGCTCTCACTTCCTCCCACTGTGGCACCCATAGGAACTGCACTTTGACATGCTCAGCCTAAATGTGCAGGGCTGTTATACCCAATGGAGTCCTCATTGATTAATGGAGCATAGGAGCCAATGTCTGTGCTCCCCACTTTCTTAGACAGGCAGGAGGCAATAGACATACTTCATAAGACTCCTTACGAGGCCTTTAGGGTCAAGTAAGGGATTGAAGAATATGTCACCCCAAAATATGCTACTTTGGCATAAAGATTATTTTAAACTGAAGTAGCTGAGAATGAGCAGATAAACAGAAAGCTCTCTGCCTTCCCTCTATTTGCCTAAAATAAGCACATAAATTTATAAAGTATCAGTGTCCGCCAGGAAGGATAGAAGTTAGTTCCTGGAGACCACTCTAGACTCTTAGCCTGGAGATGGCATCACAGGAATCCACATAACAGGCTTTACTGATCAGCCCTCATCTGCCATTTGCTTCCCCGTATATGTGCCTTCCCACACTTGCCACACTAGATACTCAATGTCTTTTCACTTTGTCTTATCTGTTTCCCAAAAATGCACTGTTCTTTTGCTAAGATATTATATCAACCCAAGTCCTAACCATGCCTTCGAGTTACTCATCTCTGAGAGTTCTTATAGATATATATGGTGCACGTGTTGTTAAATTTTTCTCTTGATTGAGATAGGAGGTGGGTCTTGACTCTGGAGCTGGGGCTTGACACCGGACCAGATTGAGGAATAGCTAAAACAGGGAAGAGGTTAAAGCAACTCTCCCTAAGACACACTCACCAGCGTGCCATGTGTTTACCATTCCCATGGCAACACCCAGAGGTTACCGCCCATTTCCATGGCACTGACCTAACAACCTGGAAGTTACCACCCTGTTTCTAGACATTTCTGCATAATCTGCCCCTTAATTTGCACATGATTAAAAGGAGTATAAGTGAGTGCAGAACAGCCTCTGAGCTGTCACTCTGGGACATTGCCTATGGGGTAGCCCTGCTCTGCAAGGAGAAATCGCTCTGCTGCTTCTGTGCACAGCCGCTTCAGTTCAAGTTGCTGTTTGACACCACCAGCTTGCCCTGGAATTCTTTCCTGGGTGAAGCTGAGAACCCTCCCAGGAAAAGCCCCAGTTTTGGGGCTTACCTGGCCTGCATCAATTCCCTCTGAAATTCCGTTGTTTTTAGAATGTGCATTTTCTTAACATGCGGTCATACAGCACGTAAAGCACAGCTTCACCATCATTTTGTTTAAAGATTCACACTTTTATCCTGTGTGTGCCTGAAGTAAAAGAAGGTTTCTCTCTGGCACACACAGTCTCTTAAAGGCTGATTCTGTCCCCATATGTCTTGTATTTATAAGCATATGTGGGTCATCTGTCTTGCAGTTGTGATATACTGCTTCTCACAGAAATTGTCTAAAAAATTAACACATTTGTAATGATAAGGGAATACAGGAGTCTTTACTGCTTTCTGAAAGTAGAATTTGCATATTTGGAGTTCTATGTGAAACTGACTATATCGGAGGAAATAAATAGAGTGGTAGATAGTTTAAAACTGCTAACTGCTCCTCAAAAATGCCTGCCCGTAGTTCTTCTGACACCAAAACTAAACAACATTTATAAACAACAATATCAAAGCAAAAGAAACAAACAAAAATAAGCAAAGAATTATGCAAAAAGTAAAACAATAAAAAAAAACCTTTTCGCAATACTGTAGTGTATGTTAGGTGAACAATTTAAAAAATATGATTGGAGGATGACCAACTCTCAGCTTAACAATTGGAGGACCCACTAAAATACACTTTTTAAAAAGTTTCCACAAATATAGAATAAGGACTTTCCTTCTTGTTCATTCATATTCATCTGTGTCTCTGTAACCTCCCTTACTGAAGCAAAACATAAGCAATTATGCCTCCAAATGTATTTCTCCAAAGTAAAAACAAGGCCCTAGATTTTTTAAATGGATGGAATCAGTTACAAATCAAGACCTACTGGGAATTAATCACCGCTCAAAAGATAGGTAGGAGAAACCTATAGGAAGAAGAGAGGTTCTAGAAAACTTCCAGCTAAGTAAGGTTAATGGATGTGGAAAGGAGAGAGGGTACCCAGGCTCTTTCCCACGTGATTAACTGGAAAGAAATTTAGAATAGCTGGTTTGGTTATTTCTCCTTTGCTTAAGCCAAGTAGTGGGTGTCTGGCCCATTTATGTTAAGTTTAAAGCACTGGGTATAGCCAGGGAGGATAAAGAGGTAGATGAGTGCTCCAATTAGCAACTAACTTCCAAAAAGAAAGCTTATTTCAAACACACAGAAAACAGATAACACCTCCCCTGGTACCGCATTCCTTCCCCTCCCCACTAATTACCAGAGTTAAATCACAGTATATGGAGCAAGTATTCAAATCCATGCAAAAGCCTGGAATCATTGGGGAGATCCAAAACCTAATTATATGAATAAACTACACAAGTCTACAAAGAGACTTACAAACAATCTTCACAGTAGCTTTATTCATAATAGAAACATACTGGTAACACTGCAGATGTCTGTCAGTATGAGAATACATGACAAACTGATATATGCATGCAATGGAAACAAAACAGCAACAGTAACAAAACCAACATGGAAGAAGCTCAAAAACATCATGCTAAGCTGAAGGATCCTTGCACAAAAGACTGCCCTCTGCATGATTTATATGATTTTCCAACAGCAAAGCTAATTTATAAGATTTTCCAACAGCAAAGCTAATTTGCCGCAGAAAACTCATCAGAAGAGCAGTTGCCTTTGGAGAGTGATGGTAGATATTTACACAGAAGAGACATGACGAAACTTTCTGAAGTTATGGTTATGATGTATGTCTTGATAGGAGTTTGGATTATAGAGGTCTCTGTGTTTGCAAATATTTGGCAAATGTACACTTAAGATAACAGCATTAGTTGGTATGCATATTTTTACATAGAAAAAAGAGAACTTTAATAAAATGCATACTGAAAAATTGAGAGCAGAGCATACTAATATTTGTAATTTACCTAGAAATTATTAAAAAGAAGATGATGGTGTTAAATATAGTGAACCCCAAGTTTCTCTTCAAAGAATCAATATGTCACTATGTTCAGCTCTCTTACTCTTCGATTCTCGATTTTAAAGTCTAACTTCTGGGTTCTCTTCGCCCCTTTGTTCTAGTTTCAACTAGAACAAAGTAAACAACTTTTCCACCAGTCCTAATCAGTAGTTCACATCTGTTCCCTGGTCACCTGCTCTGTCCTGACTCATCCCAGTCACCTGCTTTGAACTAAGTCGCCCCTGGTCACCTGCTCTGACCTAAGTCATCTTTGGTTACCTGTTCCTAAGCTTCCTTCCCACCAAACTACTCACTCCTCCGCTCTGGCTCATACCCCTGCTCTCTTTAAAACAGCCAGTCGGAATTAGACTGTGCAGTCCATCCCTAGCCAATAGAGGAATGACACAGCAGTAGGGGCTACCTGTATCAGGAACAAGAACTCCTTCCCCTCCCCTGTCCAGGTGTGCTCTCGCCATTACTCCATTCGCGAGTGACACCCTTCTATAGAAGTAAAAATTGCTGAGAAAATTAAATTTATGTTCGAGGGCTATTTCTTTGTGGCACCAAGGAACAAGCATTTCTAACAATTTGGTGGCCCATATGGGGAGCCCATTCTCCTCTGGGGGTGGTTTCCGGTCCTCTCTCATGAGGAGGCACCCCACTGCCTCACTGCAGCAGCCTCAGGAATGAGGAACTAAGACCCACCTGGTGCGATGAATAAACCCAGACTCTCAGCAATGCAGAAACTGGCCGGTGACTTGGGGGAAAGGATCCTCGCATACCACAGTGATAAGGTGACTCTGTGCACAGACCAAGGAAGGAAAAGCCACAGGAGCTGGCAAAGTACTTCCTTGGTGGTCGGGACCAAGGTAAGAAAACCGTGGCAGGGATGGGGGTGGTGAAGCATTCCTTGGTCAGGATATCTTGGCGGTTGAAAGTGTGAGGGAAACTGAGCCTCACCCCAATAAGTGAGACATTTCTGGTGAGGGAAATTGAGACTCACCCCAAAGATGGGAAATACCCCAAGCAAGACAGGGAGCAAGAAGGATAAAGATGGTAACAAAGATACTCCCCTTGATAGTCCCCTAGGTCTCATGTTAAAACACTGGAAGGATAATGAAAGGACTAAACATAAGAAAGAGCAACAAATGATAAAATATTGCTGTTTTACTTGGACTCAGGAACCCATCCTCAAACCCTCAATCTTCTGGCCAAAGTTTGGGTCGAATGAGGATATAATGTGTCAGCCTCTAATTCAACATATTAATGATAAATGTCCAGTTTCTCAAGAAGAACTGGACTATGCTCTTCGTTGGAGGCAGGGACCTGTCCTCCTCTTTCCGTTAAAAACAACTAAGGAGGAACCCAATCTGGCACCTCAAAATGAAAAGTCAGAGGAGCCAGTTCCCATGCCTAAAGACTCCAATGCATGGGATCCCCTAGACCATCTCCCCCTGCTCAGTGTCCCCAGTCCTTCCTCTCAGGCAGCCACTGTCACCTCAGATCCCATTCCACATCCTTCCTCTGCTCACGTTATCCCTTCTCCTTATAGCCCTAACTCTTGGGAATTACCATCCCATAAGCCTATTCCCTCCCAGCCTAAATACCCCTTTCTAAAATACCCCTCTCCAGTGTGAGATAGAATAATGTAAAAAAGATATTCAGAATTTCCCATTTCCCTCTGCACCTAAAGAGCCATCTCTGACCCTCTTCCCCTTAAAAGAGGTTCCTCAAGGCAGGGGAGCCATTGGGTTGTAAATGCTCCTTTAACCAATTCAGAAGTTCAGAATTTTAAAAAGGAGCTTAAGCCACTATTAGATGACCCTTACAGAGTGGCAGACCAAATTGCACAATTCTTAGGACCTCAGTTATACACTTGGGTGGACTTCATGTCCATCTTTGGTATCCTCTTTTCAGGGGAAGAAAGGAGTATGACTCACAGGGCTGCTATGGTAGCCTGGGAACATGAGCATCCTCCGGGTCCAAATGTTCCTACCACGGACCAAAAATTTCCTGCCCAAGATCCTCGGTGGGACAATAACAACCTGACTCACCGGGAAAACCTGTAGGACCTGAGGGAAATGATAATAAAAGGAATTCAGAAATCAGTACCCCAAACCCAAAATCTTTCCAAGGCATTTGATATACAACAGGAATAAGATGAAGGACCCATGAGATTCCTGGACAGGCTGAAGGAGCAAATGAGGCAATATGCAGGCCTCAATTTGCAAGACCCCCTTGGGCAAGGGATGTTAAAACTCCAATTTGTGACGAAAAGTTGGCCAGAAGGAAACTATAAAAAGTAGAGAATTGGGAAAACCATCCCCTAAGTGAACTTCTCAAAGAAGCTCAGAAGGTATATGTAAGAAGGGATGAAGAAAAACACAAACCAAAGACATAACTTATGTTATCCACCTTCCAGCAGAAGGGTCCACACTCATGTACTCCTAAGCAGAGTTTCCAGGGGGCCAGAGACCATAAAGGTCCAAACACTCCTTTAGAGGACCTAAATCTCCATCTACAGAACGAAGGCCCTTGTTTATCAGGCCCTCCAAAGGGTATGGGGGAGCAAATTTAAATACTCCCAGAACTAAGAGGGAGGAAGGGAAAGATAGGTGTTACAAATGTGGAAGAATAGGTCACTTTAAGAGACAATGTCCCAAATTTAAAAAGGAGAGAGAAACCGTTCCACTCATGACTTTTCAAGAAGAATAGGGGCGTCAGGGACTCTGTCTCTATTATCTTGAGTCCCACCAGGAGCCCTTGATAAATTTAGAAGTGGGACCTAAACATGAGCCTGTCACCTTTTTAATGCACTCCAGGGTGGTCCGTTCCTCTGTTTCCTTCATCCCCCTAATATTGCCTGTTCTTCAGAAGAACTATTAGTCTCTGGGGTAAAAGGAGAAGGGTTTAAAGGAACAATTTTAGACAATACAGAAGTTAGATACCAGGATCAATCAGCTCATATTCAGTTTTTGTTAATCCCTGAAGCAGGGACTAACTTACTGGGGAGGGATCTAATGTTGCAATTAGGCATAGACCCACAGGTCAGTCCAAGAGGTTTCCTCATCTCATTAAACCAACTCACCACTGTAGACGAAAAATATATTAATCCTAATGTCTGGTCCAAAGAAGGGAACCGAGGGAAACTCTGAGTCCTTCCAATCAACGTCAAGCTAAAAACCCCTGGAGAAGTAGTAAGAAGGAAGCAATACCCCATTCTCCTAGAGGGTAGGATAGGGTTGAAGCCTGTAATTGAGGGCCTTATTAAAGATGGGCTTCTCGAGCCCTGTATGTCCCCTTATAACACTCCAATACTGCCAGTCAAGAAATCAGACAGGTCATACCAGCTGGTACAGGACCTTACAGCTCTCAACCAAATAGTCCAGACTACCCACCCCATCATCCCCAATCCTTACACCATTCTCAGTAAGATTCCATATGATCATCAATGGTTTACTGTAATACATTTAAAGGATGCTTTTTGGGCACATCCCTGGATGAAGACAGCCTAGATATGTTTGCTTTTGAGTGGGAGGACTCCCATTCAGGGCACAAACAATAGTATCTGATGGACAGTCTTGCCCCAAGGATTCACAGACTCCCCTAATCTTTTCGGCCAAATTTTAGAACAAGTATTAGAAAAAGTTGTCATCCCAAAACAAATATGCTTGCTCCAGTATGTGGATGATCTTCTTGTATCTGGTGAAGGTATAAAGAAGGTAACTGACTTCTCTACACATATTCTTAACCATCTGCGTTCGAAAGGCTACAAGTCTCAAAAGGAAAGCTTCAGTATGTAGAGCCTGAAGTTAAATATTTAGGCCACTTAATAAGTGCAGGCAAGAAAAGAACAGGGCTGGAATGAGTTGAAGGAATCGTGTCCTCACACTTACCTCCAACAAGAACTCAGGAAATATGTAGGGTTAGTTGGATGCCACTGCTTATGGACTGACTTATATGCACTACACAGTAAACTGTTACATCAAAAACTTGTCCAGGGGAAGCCTGACCGCTTCCTGTGGACTTCTGAGGAAGTTGATCTAGTTGAAGAGCTGAAAGAGTCATAACCACCTCTGTTTTAGCCTTACCTTCCCTTGGGAAGCCATTCCACCTTTTTGTCAATGTGAACAATGGAGTAGCTTTGGAAGTGATTACTCAAGAATAGGGGGGTCATCAACAGCCTGCGGACTTACTTTCAAATGTCTTAGACCCAGTTACTTGTGGATGGCCTCAGTATTGCGGTTACAACAGTATTGGTCAAAGAAAGTAGAAAGTTTACCTTTCAAGGAAAATTGACAGTAAGCACGTTTCACCAAGTTACAACTATCTTAAACCAGAAAGCAGGGAGGTGGCTCACAGACACAAGAATCTTAAAATATAACGCTATGTTTTTAGAAAAAGATGATTTAACATTAACCACTGATAATGAGCTTAACCAAGCAGGTTTCATAAAGGGGGATCCCAATCTAAAGAGGGAACGCACATGTTTAGATTTAATTATTATATAAAGGCCCGACCAGATGTAGGAGAAACTCCCTTTAGGACGGGAGGACACTTATTTATAGATAGTTCTTCCTGGGTGATTGAGGGGAAAAGACACAATGGGAATTCAGTAACTGATGGAGAAACTCTTAAAAAAAGAGTCAGGAAAATTGCCTAATAATTGGTCTGCCCAAACTTTTGAGCTGTTTGCACTCAGCCAAGCCTTAAAGTACTTGCAGAACCAGGAAGGAACCATCTATAGCAATTCTAAGTACACCTTTGGAGTGGCTCATACATTTGGAAAAATTTGGACTGAATGAGGTCTCATTAATAGTAAAGGTCAAGACCTTGTTCACAAGGAGCTAATCACCCAAGTACTGAATAATCTTTAGTTGCCAGAAGAAATAGCTACTGTCCATGTTCCCGGACACCAGAAAAGCCTTTCTTTTGAAAGTCCAGGAAATTACCTAGCAGATCAGATAGGCAAGCAGGCTGCTGTATCCTCTAAAATACCTATTTTCCACTTAACTTCCTACCTTCCTCCTCCTACCATAATCCCCATTTTATCTTCCACTGAAAAATAAAAACTAATAAAAATACATGCTAAAGAGAATTCAGAAGGAAAATGGATATTGCCAGACCAGAGAGAAATGTTGTCTAAACCCCTTATGAGGGAAATCTTATTCCAGCTACATCAACGGACTCACTGGGGGCCCCAGGCCATGTGTGATGCAGTTCTCAGAGTTTATGGGTGCATAGGAATTTATACCCTGGCCAAACAAGTTACAGATAGTTGCTTAGTATGTACAAAAACTAATAAACTATGAAAAGATTACCCCTTGGGGAAAGGAATCCAAGCTTAAGGCCATTCCAAAGTATCGAAGTTGACTACACAGAAACGCCTCCAATAGGTCATCTAAAATACTTACTAGTGATAACAGATCACCTCACTCACTGGGTTGAAGCTAACCCCTTTTCAAATGCAACAGCCAATAATGTAGTCAAGGCCCTAACTGAAAATATAGTACCCAGGTTCGTACTAATAGAAAACACTGACTCAGACAATGGAACTCATTTCACTGCACACATCATTAAAAAGCTATCCCAAACATTAGACATTAGATGGGAATACCATGCTCCCTGGCACCCACCTTCATCAGGGAGAGTAGAAAGAATGAATCAGACTGTAAAGAACCACTTAACCAAATTATTTCTAGAGACTCGGTTACCATGGGCCAAATGCCTTCCCACTGCCCTGTTGAGAATCCGAACTGCCCCATGGAAAGACATTGGTCTTTCTCCTTATGAGATGCTCTATGGGTTGCCTTATTTACAGTCTACTGCTAACATTCCTACCTTTGAAACAAAAGATCAATTTCTTAAAAATTATATATTTGGTGTATCTTCTACTTTCTCTTCTCTTAAAAGTAGAGGCCTCTTAGCACAGGAGTTGACAGTGCATCAACATCAACCTGGGGATCATGTCCTCATCAAAAGCTGGAAAGAGGAAAAGCTCGAACCAGCCTGGGAAGGACCTTACTTAGTACTCCTAACTACTGAAACTGCAGTCCGGACAGCAGAGACAGGATGGACCCAGCACAATGAAGTCAAGAAAGTGTCAGCCCCTCCAGAGTCATGGGACATAGTCCCAGGGGAAAACCCTATCAAACTAAAGCTAAACAAAGTTTAACCCTCCTTCATTTATTTTATTACTCTTTCTTCTTTCCTTGCTCTACTGGTGACCACCTCATTATTCATGTAATCAGGTCACCTTTTCCTTAGACAATCACATTTGATGCCTATCTCTCCATACCTTGCAAGGATCTCCAAAACGAAAGGCAACTGGCCTCCTCAGAAAAATCTCTCTGTCCTTCCAAAGTCACTTCTATGAGTGCATAGGAATTCTGACATCTGTGACCCTTGCTTCACGGAAACCAAGTCCCCCACGTTTCTCACATTTTGGAAACTGAACAAGTTTCCAGGACGGCACTGTCCCTCCTGGGACAATGTCCTGTGGATCACTGAGGAACAGGGGTGGGCTTCCTCATAGGACTGCACCTCTCTAAAACCATACCTCTGTTTCACCAAAGAGAGTGTTCCCTCGAATTATCAACAGTACCAACGCAACCCAGTGCAGCTCTCTATTCTTACCTCTACCTCTACTGATCCTGACTCCACTTTAGGTTGCTTCTATGGCAGGGGAGCTAACTTGGCCAAAAGACCTCATAGGGTCTTTTGAAATGCTTTTTGTTAATCCCTCCCCCTCTTTATCCCCTTCCCCCTCTTGTCCGTTTGGACCTTCTTCCGATCAAACTGTCATCCCTTCCATACCCAATGATAGGACCACAGTAGACATTGTAGAAGTAAATGATTTAAAACAAAGTTCAGCAACAGAGACAGGATATCAAGATGCAAATGCCTGGTTGGAATGGATTAAATATTCCATCTGCACATTAAACGAAAGCAATTGTTATGCTTGTGAGCATGGTAGGCCAGAGACCCAGATAGTCCCCTTTCCACTAGGATGGTCCTCCAGTCGACCATGCATGGGCTGTATGGTAACTCTTTTCCAGGATTCCGCAGCCTGGGATAACAAGTCATGCCAAGCTCTCTCTGCTATATCCTGAAATTCAAAACCGTGTGGGTCAGCCCCTGAGGGCCATCCAGCCTCCGTCTCCTGACACTAAGTTCACTTCATGTCTGTCACGACAAAGAGGTAATGTAGCGTTCCTTGGAGATCTGAAGGGATGCAGTGAACTTAAGGCCTTTCAAGAGCTTACCAATCATCAGCCCTTGTTCATCCTGAGCAGATGTGCGGTGGTATTGTGGTGAACCTTTACTGGACACTGTGCCAAGTAACTGGAGTGGCTTTTTGCTCTAGTCCAATCGGCTCTCCCTTCCACCCTTGCATTTCATCAAACAGAGGAAGGAAAAATACAACACCATAAAGCAAGAGGAGCCCCTTATAGCTCTTTCAATGCTGACGTATATTTAGATGCAATTGTAGTCCCACAAAGAGTACCAGATAAATTTAAATCCCAAGATCAAATAGCTGCAGGATTTGGGTCAATATTTTGGTGGGTGACAGTTAATAAAAATGTAGATTGGATAAATTGCATCTATTACAACCAACAGCAGTTTATTACCTACACTAAAGATGCTGTTAAAGAATAGCTGAGCAATTAGGGGCTACTAGCCAGATGGTTTGGAAAGATAGAATAGCCTTAGACA
Organism: Homo sapiens; assembly: GCF_000001405.40. Classification (NCBI taxonomy): domain Eukaryota; kingdom Metazoa; phylum Chordata; class Mammalia; order Primates; family Hominidae; genus Homo; species Homo sapiens. Next base: position 5,823,400 of record NC_000008.11, on the reverse strand, counting down.
TGATATTAGCAGAAAGAGGAGGAGTTTGTGTCATGATTCAAACTCAATGTTGTACCTTCATCCCAAACAATACCGCCCCTGATAGAAGTATAACAAAGGCATTGCAAGGTCTCACTGCTCTGTCCAATGAGTTAGCCAAAAGCTCAGGGGTAAATGATCCCTTTACAAGGTGGCTAGAAAAATGGTTCGGTAAATGGAAAGGAATCATAGCCTCAAGTCTTACTTCTCTCGCAGCTGCAGTAGGTGTACTCATTCTTGTCAGGTGTTGTGTCATACCATGCATCCATGTGCTGGTGCACAGACTCATAGAGGCAGCATTTACTAAAACCTCCCTTAATTCTCCTCCACCTTATTCATAGAAGCTTTTTCTTTTAGGGAAGCAAGCAGAACAACTAAGCCAAGACATGGTGGTAAGGAAGTTTGAAGAGAAAGAACTGTAAAATTTCAACTTGGAGGATTGTTAAATATAGTGAACCCCAAGTTTCTCTTCAAAGAATCAGTATGTCAGTATGCTCAGCTCTCTTATTCTTTGATTCTCCATTTTAAAGTTTAACTTCCTGGTTCTCTTCACCCCCTTGCTTCTAGTTTCAGTGAACAACTTTCCTGCCAGAACTAATCAGTAGTTCACATCTGTTCCCTGGTCACCTGCTCTGTCCTGAATCATTCCAGTCACCTGCTCTGACCTAAGTCACCTTTAATTACCTGTTCCTAACTCTCCTTCCAGCCAAACTACTCACCCCACCACTCTGGCTTATGCCCTTGCTCTCTTTAAAATAGCCAATCAGAATTGGCTTAGACTGTGCAGTCCAACCGTACCCAATAGGGGAATGACACAGCAGTAGGGGCTACCTGCATCAGGAATAAGAACTCCTTCCCCTCCCGTGCCCGGGTGTGCTCTCGCCATTCCTCCATTCATCATTCACACCCTTCTATAGAAGTAAAAATTGCCTTGCTGAGAAAATTAATGTTCAAGTTCTATTTCTTTGTGGCACTGAGGAACAAGAATTTCTAAAAATGGGCAGTCAGAGGGTAAAAACAGCTCTATAGACAGGCACATCATAGAAAGACTACAGTAAACTGTTACCGGTAGAGTCTAGGTCAAGGGTGAATTCTCCCATGCACATAAGAAAGAAATAACACAAAGTTTATGATCTTCCTTCCAAATATCATAAAAGAGGACTTACTATCGAGGACGGCATAACCTAGGTATCAGAAATTCGTAAGGATGAAAAAAAAAATGAAGTCCAATCTGTCCTAGAACATAGGTGCAAAATCTTCATATAAAATATTAACAAATCAAAATCATTAATATAGAGTAGAATATTGTATCACAAGTACAAATATCCCAATCCAAAAAAAACAAGAGTTAATTAAACAGGTAATAAAATATATAAATAAAATAATGATATGTTTTTAAAAATTAATATATAGCTTTGGTGAAATTTTAGAAAAAGAGAACTCATAAATAAGTATCAAGCTTGTAATGGGTGTAAATATTTGGAGGCTATCGGGGAATATTTACCAATAAAGGTCTTAAAATGTGAATGTAATTTATCTTACATATCTAGGGCTTTTAAGTTTTCATGAGGAAAATTATGTAACTTTCACACACAAAATAGAACTTCTTAAGCTCCAATCCCTTCAATCTCTTCATTGATTAAGGGAATATCAAACACCATGAAACCATTTTATGGCTTTCAGTTTTAACTCACAATAAAAGGAACGATTATATACTGTCTCCCAATGATTTTCAGGATTAATTTTCTTGCATTAATAAACTAGAAAAAACATGAACTTGAAGAATTGACTTTTGATTTGGAAAAAAAAACAAAGTTTTAAATGTAATAGTAATGGTAAAATCCTTTTACTAATCCTTAATATTTCTAATTACTAAAACAGGAAGGAATATAATTAAAAACAAATCTTCCACCTCAAAAATACTCAGTGCAAAAAGAAAAAAAAAGTCTTATTAAATAAATATTAAACCAGAATTTGATGTGCATCATAGGTAGTTCAAAAATAGAGTGTAAAGACAGGAAGAAATATCCAGCTTTTATGCAGCTAAGCAAAACTCATTATATTAAGTACATATTCTCATGATAAATGATGGATTTAATAGCACACTTTGTCACACAAAGTTCATCCTAGATTCTCCAGGTAACTGGAAAAGTTACCTTTCTGTGGAAGCTAAAATTGGCTTTATCCAAAGAAAAAATAAACTTCTTTTATTTTTAAAACAGAAGGTAGCTTTGTAACTTGGATCCAGGTGCCTATAGAAGTTAGTCTCCTACAGAAACTAGGGAACAGGGACTGTGTCTTTCTTGATAATTATTCTTAAATAAAAAGCAATCAGGTCCTTGACAAAGGCATTCCTGGGGTATAAAACAGGCAAGAGGCTCTTCTACAAATTTGCAATTCAAATGGGCAGAGAAAGAACTTGCAATTATAGCTTTCTGAAGAAAATATTCTAGGAGGCATTAGAGGAGTATTGCGCTGTTTGCACTGGGGAAATTAATTTTTTAAATTTGTATTTATTCTTACACTAGCGGGTTATTAACATTAAGGAAGGTCTGAAAAATATTGGTTAGTATTAGCACTCTTTCCCAATTAATTTGTCTCTGCAAGTTATCTCTTGATGTGAATACTAACTTTATACCATCTTAACTCAAATTGAAAATAAAAACGGAAGTTTAATAGATCATTTAATATCTAGGATCTTGTGCGGATGACTACAAACTTCTCTAGGTATTTCTAATTTTAAAAGCTCCCATTGCTATTTCCTATTTAGCTATCTTCATTTCCAGAAAAGCAAAGACTAACTTCAGAAACACTGATTTCCAAAATACGGAGAATCTTATGTGCAGTAGGGACATCTTTAATTGACTCAAAAACAGGAAAAAAAATGTCAGGAATCAAGTTAACTTGGAAGTTAATAACGCAATATAAGCGATTTTAAAGTGAGCTTCCTGGATGCAAGATCACACCTTAAACATAAAGCTTCCACTCTGCAGGGCAGTGCTCAGCAATACAGGAGTCCAGAGTAGACTCAAGTTCTTAAAAATCTCAACTTCTGCTTTAATTATTCTCATAAGGACTTAGGTGTGTTCAGATGTCAGGAAATAAAAATAAATTTGTTAAAATATTCTCCGTAGTATATATTATAACAAGCACTATTTATTATTTCATAACCATAAACTTTCTAGACATTTTATGTTTTAGCTTCACAAAAAACTTGCAAAGTGGGTATTATTAGGCTAATTTTATAGATGACAGTGCGAAACAGTGTCCAACTAGGCAACAATCACTGAAAATGTGTGGAGAAAACACATGGGTGCGTGGTTTTTTTTTTTGCAGCATTATTTTCAAAAGCAGATGATTGAAAAATCAAAATCTGCATAAAGAGAAGACACCCAACCAAGGAGATACTATGTTCCTATAGAGAAGAATGAGGAAGGTTTTCACATTCCAACGAAACCATCTCCAAAATTACTCATTGAAAAAAGCAAGAATCCAGATAAGTGTTATAATTTTTGTAAACAGGGGAAAATTATGTATATGCTTTATTATAGAAGTATATGTGTAATTACGTACCGTATAATATGAATGTATATATGTGAACTTGGTAGTCCATGCGTAAGATGTCTCTCTAATTAATGTTAGTGGCCTTCAGGAAAGGAATTTTGTGGATGGGAATTAATAGTGGAAGGAAGACTTTTAGTCGTAGAAGTCTTGAACCATGTGAATGTATAATTAATTGAAAAAAGTAAATAAAATTTAAATAAAAATCTTATTTACATGTTTTTCACACATAAACCTTTGTTCTTTACCTGTCATCTACTGTCTTAAACATTTCAGAAATAAATGCAAAAGGGATTATTGTGGAAGATCAGGCAGAGTGGCAGAAGAAATTACAGGAGTAGAAAGGAGCAAACCTTCTCGGAAGGCCAGGGAGGGAGGTTTGCATAGCGTCAGATAGTTTGGCTGAAGGCAACCAGTCTCTTCTCAAGAGCCAAAGAGCTTAGGGTGCAGATAAAAAGAAATGTAGTTAATCTAAATAGCTTGTATACTGATGTGGTCCTAAAATCAACCTTTGATCATTCGTGGGCAGGATGGCTCTATCCGGGGGCGGGCGACCAGGTTAATTACCCACAGGTATGTTGACTCAAAGCCTTTGTCAATTAAATCTGTACAAAATAAATGTGAGCATTGCCAGCTTGGAGAGATGCAAACTCTCTTCGGGCCCTAGTACCAGCAGCCCCCGAGCCACTCTTTTCACTGAGTATCGGTGTCTGAGTACGTATCTCATCCGTCGTGCAATTGGGGTCTGCAGGACAGACCCCCACAGGTTATAAATAACATATGTAAATTAATACATTCTTTCAAGTTTCCAACCATCCCCATCAGTCTAAAGCAGTGCATACAAAACATTAGCATGGAGCCGGGCACGGTGACTCACACTTGTAATCCCAGCACTTTGAGAGGCCGAGGCGTGTGGATCAACTGAGGTCGGGAGTTTGAAACCAGCCTGGCCAACATGGCGAAACCCCATCTCTACTAAAAATACAAAATTAGCTGGGCATGGTGGTGCATGCCTGTAATCCTAGCTACTTGGGAGGCAAGAGAATCGCTTGTACTTGGGAAATGGAGGTTGCAGTGAGCCGAGGGCATGACATTGGACTCTAGCCTGGGCAACAAGAGTGAAACCATGTCTCAAAAACAAACAAACAAAAAAGATCATGGATTTCATTGTAGGAATACCAAAAATAGCCGTTATTTTTGAGGCATATTATTGAAGTGACCAACACAATCAGTCAATGTTTGACTACCAAATGCATAATTAGCTTTCATTCATCAGGGAAAGGTGTCATCTCCTAAAGAGCACAATTCCTTCCTCAAAAACTAACCATACACTTCTTTTTCTCTCTGTGTCCAATCTGTTAGCCTTGATGTTATCTAATGGCAATTTGGAACCATGTCAGGAAGATGCTATTATTTAAATATGTCCTTCCCAAAAGGTATATATTTTTTGTTTTTATTCATACCTAAAAAAAAACTATATAAAATCAAAGTAAAATTTTCTTAGCAGAGCGGAGTTAAGTGCATTTTTCTTTCCCTGGAATCAATTTGGATGATGGCTAAACTGGCTGCTAACAAAAATTTTATATCAGAGAAACACCTGGCATTTGAAGTTGACGTACAAGTATTCATGACATTGCATATGCAGTGGAAACACTCAGCTCATGATTCTGTATGAGAAGCAGGTGACAGTTGAGTACCCTCTAACCCATCATCCAGGGATGCTGCCAGATGGATTCTACAGGTGTAACAGTTAATTACAGACATAATTTAGGAATATTTTAAAACAGATTATAAGAAACAGAGTTTTTGTCTACATCAGATTCACCTAACATGTAATGATCACAATTCTTGTCTAGCTTTTTACAGTTAAAGAAAATAAATAAAGGGAAATTTCTTATCCTTCTGAGAGGTATGTGTTAAACACCCCATTTCCATTTGTGTGTGTACATGGTTTAGAAAGATAGAATTTGTGATGATCTGTGATGCTTTTTATACACTGACATAATATATAAAAGGAAACAAAATGTGTGATATAAGGGAAAATGTCAGAAGTTTTAGATGCGGGGTAGATATTTTTAAGGTTTTGCCATTTACTAATTATCTTTTGAAAAAGTAGAATGCTATGATATTTTAAAGATTTTAAAACTAAACCTTTAAAGTTTTCATTTTAAATCAGGAGCCAACATGGGTTCCCAGCAAAGGATCAGTGGTGTGCTTTGACTCAGACATGTCTATTACCAAAAAAAAAAAAAAAAAAATCCTAAACTTAGCTGCCAGTCTCTCTAAAGAGAAATCTAAAGCCACAGTTGGTTGACCTCAAATGATTTTCTGGATCCTAAATGTTTTTCTTTACATATCATGTGAAAATATCGAAGATTGAAGAGTAGTTTTCAAATAATACCCCAGAAAGGATAAAGGGAAGTGATGGGTCCCTGAGCAAAGATGGAGCATGGATGCCCTTCTGGCCCTGGCAAGGAGAGGAGCAGAGGGGAGGGAGCCTGAAGACACCAAGAGAAACTGCAGGTACAGTAAGTGTAACCCAAGAAGGTGCAAATAAATTAAATTCTCTCAGCATGCTCGATATGAGAGGTGAGCACACTGAGAGCCGTTAGACTCAGAAACCCCCACTCACCCATCTGGGGAGTGCCCATGAGTTTACTTTTACCCTGTCTCATGCCGTCATCTACATTTACACATGAACTTGTTCAGGCAGACAATGAAAGACAGCACGTTGACAGAATGAGCATTTCTCAAAAGAAGCTGAGTTAGTCTGATAAGGATCATTTTAAATGGCACCACAAATTTATATAGAGTAAGGTGAAACTAGTTCTAAATGATGAACAAAGCCACATGTGTACATTTGAATTTTAAATACAAACCACGTTACTCATGTCACTCATATCACAACACTGCACTGAATCTTAGTTTCCTGTAAAATCAAAATATTTTCCTTCTGAGAAGGTGTTTAGTATGAGGATAAAATGCTATTGTATAGATAACATACTTTGCAAATTAATGAGCGGTCTGCCAAAGTAAACACTTCTATCATGAACATAAAGAGAAGATACAAATTTAAACTGTCTAAATCCAAGTGTAAAAAAAACTTGATAAGACAAGTCTTGAAATGGAATTTAGCTTATTTCTGGCTCAGGTTTTTAAAAAATATATTTAGTAAAATTAAGCTTTAGAAAGCTGTTTTCTGTCTTTCATTGGGAAAAGCACAATAGTGAAACATACGACCCCCTTTTATGTACTTACATACTACCAAGACTACTATAAAAATTATAAAACAAAATCAGAATTATACAAAGTCTGCACTACCCAAAATTCATCACCAGCAAGCAATTCTAAATAAATTGCTGTTTTAAACTCTTAACTTATTGAACATCTTGACTTTGTAATGTCCAATAGTTTGCAACTTGATAAGCATATTAGAATACACTGAGGAACATTTCAAAAACTCAAACAAACAGGACTCATCAGAGGTTTAGATTTAATTCCCTTGGTGCAGACTTCTGGCAGTGATAAGTTGAAATTTCCAGGCAGTGAGGGTTGAAAACTTCTCTGAGGAAGAATGAAGAAAAAAGAGGCATGATGGCAGTGTGCCTGTCTTGACCTTGAATCTGGGCACAGAAAAATAAGAATATCTTTTGAGAACCTACAAACACAACTTGCTACTTGAGTGGTTTTGGTGAGTACTCCGATTCTAAAGAGATGATTTAACCATGCCAGACACACAATTTGACCTTTTTAAGGAGTTACACCACACACCCAGAAGAGAAATCTTCAGAGGAAAATTACACCAACTCGGCACACAGAAAATCTGATATATAACAAGAAATAAGCAAATAAATGCATAAATAATACAATATATGAAAAATATATAATTATATAATTATACACATTTGCTATATGTGAACATAAAAAATTGAAATCATCCTATATTGACTTTTTTACATAAATATTTAAACAAAGTGGTATGGTGGTGGTAATTAGTAATAATTACTAATAGGATAACTTAATTATGTATGAGGAAATATAGCAGTGTTTTATATTTCTGTCCTCCAAAAAAGCAATGTTTTAACTTCAAACTCCTTAATATTTAAAATCTGTAAGCCATACTATTGTACGTTCTTAAAATTAATAAATACACTTTTTTAAACTTTCATCTTAGGTTCAGGCATACATGTGCAGGCTTGTTAAGATGGGTAAAGTGGGTGTCACGGGGTTTGGTGTACAGATAATTTCCTCACCCAGGTAATAAGCACGGTACCCGATAGGTATTTTTTCTGGTCCTCTCCCTCCTCTCAACCTCCACCCTCAGGCAGTCCCTAGTTTCTGTTGTTCTCCTCTTCCGGTTGATATGTCCTTAGCTCCCACTTATGAGTGAGATCATGCAGTATTTGGCTTTCTGTTCCTGTGTTATTTTGCTTAAGATAATGGTCTCCAGCTCCAACCATGTTGTTGCAAAGGATGTGATCTCATTCTTTATTATGGCTGTGTAGTATTCCATGGTATATATGTACATTTTCTTTATCCAGTCTACCATTGATGGGCATTTAGGTTGATTCCATATCTCTGCTATTGTGAATAGTGCTGCAGTGAACATATGTATGCATGTGTCTCTATGGTGGTATGATTTCTGTTACTTTGGCTATATACCCAGTAATGAGATTGTTGGGTCAAATGATAGTTCTGCTTTAATTTCTTTGAGGAATTGCCACACTGCCTTCCACAGTGGTTGAACTAATTTACACTCCCACCAGTAGTGTTTAAGGATTCCTTTTTATGCAACCTTGCCAGTATCTCCTATTTTTTGACTTTTTAACAGTCCTTCTGACTGGTGTAATACGGTATCTCCCTGTGGTTTTAATTTGCATTAGAAATCACCTTAGTGATAATTAGTGGTGTAGAGTTTTTTCATATGGTTATTGGCTGCATGTACGTCTTCTTTTCAAAAGTGTCTGTTCCACAGGGGCTCACGCCTGTAATCCCGGCACTTTAGGAGGCTGAAGTAAGGAGATCACCTGATGTCAAGGGCTCGAGACCAGCCTGGTCAACAGAGCAAAAGCCGGTCTCTACTAAAATTACGAAAATTAGCTGGGCATGCTGATGGGTGCCTGTAATCCCAGCTACTCTGGAGGCTGAGGCAGGAGAATTGCTTGGACCCAGGAGACAGAAGTTGCAGTGAGCCGAGATTGCGTTATTGCACTCCAGCCTGGGCGACAAGAGCAAGACTCCATCTCGGGAAAAAAAAAAACAAAACCCAAAGTATCTGTTCATGTCCTTCACCCAGTTTTTAACGGGGTTGTTTTGCGTTTGTAAATTTAAGTTCCTTAGATATTCTAGATATTAGACTTTTCTTAGATGTATAGTTTGCCAAAACATTCTCCCATTCTGTAGGTTGTCTGTTTACTCTTGAGTTTTTTTTTTTTTTTTTTTTTTTTTTTTTTGCCGTGCAGAAACTCTTTAGTTCAGTTAGATAACATTTGTCAGTTTCTGCTTTTGTTGCAATTGCTTTTCACATTTTCATCATGAAATATTTCTATGTCCAGAATGGTATTACCTGGATTGCCTCCCAGGGTTTGTATGGTGGGGTTTTACATTTAAGTCTTTAAATCCATCTTGCATTGATTTTCGTATGCGATGAAAGGAAGGGGTCCAGTTTCAATCTTCTGCACATGGCTAGCGCGTTTATCCCAGCACCATTTATTGAATAGAGAGTTCTTTCCCCATGAATGTTTTTGTCAGCGTTGTCAAAGATCAGATAGTTGTAGGTATTTGGCCTTATTTATGAGCTCTCTATTTGGTTCCATTGATCTATGTGTTTGTTTTTGTCCTAGTAGCCCTGTAGTATAGTTTGGAGTCTGGTCAGGTGATGCCTCCAGCTTTGTTCTTTTTGGTTAGGATTGCTTTGACTCTTTGGGCTTATTTTTGGTTCAAGGTGAATTTTAAATAGTTTTTTTCTATTTCTGTGAAAAATGCCATTGGTAGTTTGGTAGGAGTAACATTGAATCTGGGAAGTGCTGTGGGCAGTATGGTCATTTTAACGATATTGACTCTTCCTATCCATGAGCATCAAATGCTTTTCCTTTTGTTTGTGTCATCTCTGATTTCCTTCAGCCGTGTTTTCTAGCTCTGCTTGCAGAGATCTTTCACTTCCCTGGTTAGCTGCATTCGTTGTATTTCTTTTTGTGCTAATTTGAATGAGATTGTGACCCTTCTTTGGCTCTTGGCTTGGATGTTGTTGGTATATAGGAATGCTACTGATTTTTTGTACATTGATTTTTCATTCTGAAACTTTCCTGAAGTTGTTTATCAGCTGAAGGAGTTTTTGGGCCAAGACTATGAGGTTTTCTAGATATAGAATTATGTCTTCTGCAAAAAGGGGTAGTTTGACTTTCTCTCTTCCTGTTTGGATGCCTGTTATTTCTCTTGTCTAATTGCATTGGCCAGGACTTCCAATACTGTGTTGAATAAGAATGGTGAGTATCTTTGTCTTGTGCCGGTTTCCAAGGGGAAATGCTTCCAGCTTTTGCCCATTCACTATGATGTTGGCTGTGGGCTTGTCATAGATGGCTTTTATTATTCTGAAGTATGTTTCTTCAATGCCTATTGATGGTTTTTAACATGAAGGGATTTTGAATCTTATTGAAAGCCTTTCTGCATCTATTGAGAAAACTATTTTTTTTTAGTTCTGTTTATGTGATGAATCACACCAAAAATGTATGTATTTTTAAGTGGAGAGTATAAATAAAAGTAACTGAATATTTATGCACTTATTAACAACGTAACAATGACATTGATTTCTGTTCCATCATCTGGTAGAAAGTTTACTGTTTTTGTTTCCTTTTGACATAACTTAGGGTATCCTCCTTTTCCTTTATGTAAAAGTCAAAGTAAATACACACAAAGGTAAATGAAAGCTTGACTTGCAGCTTTGCTCTTACCAAGTCCACATTATAGTGATTCTTGGTGTTGGTCCAATATAGCAAAATCAAGCTAAGTATCTTCCCAACAAAACAATTTTAACTTCTGGAACATGTAGGCATTTATTTGTAGGAACAGCAGATTTTTGACTTGGAGGAATTATTTTCCAGCTCTACAAAAATGTTCATTCCCTTTGTATCTACAGGCTGGTTTTGGTGGAACGGCTGTTTGTCATTCAGAATCTACATCTGTAAATCCATCATAAAGACTGTCCAAATTTAAAACATCCATTATTTGTAAACACTTCAAAGCATATTGGATGTCATCAAAATAAAACCCCTCTTTCTCTGGGAAATGGTTTTAAAGCACAGATTTAATCTGTATTAATGAAAATGAAGTTGGTTTCCAAAAATTTTTGTTTAAAAAACTAGAATTTCCTGTTTAATTTGGCTGTCCTTTACTTGTAAGTATTTTTGAGTTCTGATGCAGTCTTATTTCTGCCAAAAATAACTTTTTCATTGGATGAGTTTTTGTTGCAACCTACAGATGGCATTGAACCACCCTGGGGGAGTGACTTCATCCTTTCCTAGACAACTTACGGTATTTTCCAAGATCATTAAACAGTTTTGGAAAAACAGCATATACATTTCTCATTTTCTTTCATTTCTTTTTCTATCATCTTCAATGTATTATTAAATTGGAGAAAAATATTATTTTTCCCTGCACTTTGAATAGATGATTCTATGGCAGGTATCTTTAACATCTTTCTATGGCCAGCAACATTGATAACCAGCTTCTAGGCACATGTATAGGAGAGTTATCTTCTTTCATTTCTTTAAGCTAAAAAATCTAGTTAAGTCATACTATGTATTTTGGGGACACTGAAATGTGACCAAAATGTTTCCTTATAAAACACCACCACAGGTACGCAAATCATTTTACACAAAAATACGTGCAGGCTATGGAACAGGTAGCACTGTTTTATTTGTATGGGTAAGCAGTTTATAGACTTAATGGAATTTGCCAAATTTACCCTTGCACTGTCTGCTGAATATGCACATAGAAGAGCGAAGTTTAGTTTCTAGGTGAACAAGACACCAATTATCTACAGGTTCACTGTCTGCTTGGATACCAAAAAGATCATTTCAAACTATGTATTTTTTTCCTTTTTAGTTGATACATAAGTGTACAAATTTCTGGGATGCAGAGTGATATTTTGATCCATGTATACAACGCATAATGATCAAATAAGGGTAACTGGCGTATCCTTCACATTGAATATTTATCATTTGTGTTGTAAACATTCAACCTCTGTTTTTCTTTTTGAAAATACACATTTATGATTAAACATATTTATCATATAGTGCTGCAGAAGACTGGAGCTTATTTATCCTATCTAGCTATAACTTTGTATCTGTTCACCAACATCTCCCTCTTCTCCCCAGCCCCCTAGCCTTCCCAACCTCTAAACACCATAGTTCTATCGTCTACTCCTATGACCTCATTGCCTCATTTTTCTTTAGCTTCCACATATAAATGAGAATGTGTAATATTTATCTTTATCCCAGGGAATGGTTTCCCAGAAAATGTTTATTTGTTTGTTTTTTATGCTAAAACCAGGACAGTACTGGAAAAACCAGGTATGGCAGTCACCCTACATTCAGAGTAAAACACTAGTCAAAAGTATAGAGCATACTTTCAATAGATTTCCTATAATGTGGAGCCCAGAGCCAACATCCAAGAGAAAAGGAATATGGGTGCATTATTGGCAATAGCTTAGAGTGTCTTGCAAAAAAATTCTCCAAAAGAAAGTTTCTTAAATCTCACAAGTACCTTGAATATGCCCTCCTTTCTTTTGTTCTTCCTTGATAAAGGCATATTGGTGTCGCCTTTGCCGTTTATGGGATGTGCATTTGCAAGCCAGGAGGCCGCTGCTGCCTGAGCAGATGCTGTGCTCTGTTTCAATCGGCAGTGACTGACCCATGAGTTCCGATGCAGAGCCCTTGGCTCTTCTGAGTAGTTGCTTCCTTCATCCCAGAGTGTGCCTGCTGTGTCTCTTTCCTTGTAACATGGTCAGATGAGAAGACACTCTTCTTTCTTTCCACTGAAAGGGTAAGAGATTACTCGTATGTTCTTGGAGTGGTCATGGGCTGGGATTAAATTCTGATACATTGCAGGTGATGGTGGAGGTGGGTCTCCAAACCATCATGGCAGGACTTTTTCAAAACTCCCTCATATGTACACCATCATCTCAAAGTCATGTATATGACAGTGGAAGCTCTTGAGGCTTTTGAAACCTTCTTTCTCCCCACCTTCTCAGTCACTTTCTGACTACTTGGGCTCCAACATAATTAATTGAGTTCCCATTTAATAAAAAGTTAAGTGGATGTATAAGACAGAAGCAACAATTAGAAGAGAGGGACAGACCATGGTGGTGAATGGCTGTCTTGTCGGTGGTTTAGAAAACCATACACTCAAGTCAGAACCCATACACTCAAGTGCTTTCCCAAGGTAAAATGCCAGTGTATTAGAATTGATGTTTCATATAACGTATGCCAGGCACTTCAGTTACACTGGAGGAAAGGAAATAGCAACAGAACACTTGCAGTCATGATTTTCCTGAAACATTTTGTAGAACGTTCAGTTATAACACTGCAATGACCATGTCAGCTACACCAGGTTATGAGAAGGAATTTTGAAAACACACTAGCAAAATCTTTCTAATAACCATCAAGAGAAAAGAGACTTGGGAAACTAACAGGAGAGACTCATATTGGGTGTGACTTCTTCATACGTTTAATAAATCATTAAATATGTAATACATATCTAACACTCCAGGGTCTTCATGTGTTAATGATTTTCTCATACTTTGTGTTAGGTGCTATAGAGGTTACTATGCCGGGACAATTTGATTAGAGTATAGCAAAAGTTATGCTAGGGGAGGTACCGGGTTCAACGAGACCAAATAGAATTTTAATCAGCAAATTGATACTATACACAGAAATACTTCCAATATTTTCTGTTGCTGATATGTTTGTACACATTGCTCATCAATGCAAATACACTACAACATAAAGTATTTAAAGTTCTTCAAATTATTTAGGAATACATTATGCCTATTTTTTAAAAAGTTGTTTTCTAATTTGCAATTGAGACAAGTTTTTGCAACAAGCTCTAAAAGTAGGAAAAGCAGAGTGATGTTGGAGACACATTTTCTTGATCTGGGTTTTGTGGTGAAATTAAATACTTTCTCATTTAGCTATCGGAGTAGACTTACATATGGAAAAGTATCATGCATATATGTGAAAAAGCCTATTGTGGGTAGGATTAGATATGCATAACAAATTAAGAGGTTTGTATAATGACCATTTTGTCACGATGGCTTCAGTTGGGGGAAAAAAACCTGTAAAACATTAGACTAGGCCAAAATTGAAGTGCTTTTATTTGGAAATCAAGAATAAAGAAAACCATCATGAAATAATCAAAGTATAGCCCAAAAGGTGACTGTTTTCTTAAAATTAAAATCTACATCCAATGGCACAGATGCAAGTTGATGAGTTTACAAACATTATCTCTGCTCTCCCCCTCTCTGCAGTGCCCTAGTTGTAGCCTGGACCTTGGCTTCTTGGTTCTTGTCATTATGAAAAGTTTCCAGCCTCATTAGCATTGGTGTGCTGGGAGGTGCTCACCTCTGCGAGGGTGAGTTGACACCACACTTTTGCCTTCTGTAGGGGTCCTTATCAAACAAATAAAGCTTCCTCTGTTGGATGCATTTTCATAGCCGGTTGGATAATTTTAATGTGTTTTTTGATGCATGGCACATTTATGTTGTCAGAACAACAGTTTTACGTGATTTGTACAAGAGCTTTTTATGGCTTTTAAAAATGATTCTAAAATTCAGAGGAGGTTTAGCATGAGTGATGGGTAAATGGGCCCAGTAGCAGAAATTGAATATCAGGCAAAAGTCTTTCCACTTGTGAATGTAATTACTGTAACTTTGGTAAGGTCTAATCTGCTAGTTTTTAAGCTAAGAAGGAGAACTGGACATAAGGTTATAGCTTATAAATAAATTATGTATTTTGAACACAAAAGCCACCTTTGGACTATAATAATACATTACATTTGTACTAACTCATGGTTTTCAAAGTACTGTTACCTGCATTATTTAATTTGACCTTCACAATCACCTTGAGGTTCAGGCAGGAATAAAAATATTTGTACTGTCATACAACAGATGAGGAGACTGAGGCTCAGATAGGATACAGGTGTGAGCAGAATTTTTATAATCTTTTCTTGAGATTTTTAGGATTGCTAATGAATGAAAGAAATTTCACCAATTAAAATCGTAGGATTTCTTTTTTTACTTTATTTATTCATGTTTTTGAGACAAAGTCTCACTCTGTCACCCAGGCTGGAGTGCAGTGGTGTAATCTTGGCTCACTGCAAACTTCACCTTCCGGGCTTAAGCAATTGTCCTGCCTCAGCCTCTCAAGTAGCTGGGATTACAGATATGCACCACCATGCCCAGCTAATTTTTGCATTTTTAGTAGAAACAGGGTTTTGCCATGTTGCCCAGGCTGGTCTCAAACTCCTGACCTCAAGTGATCCACCCACCTCAGTCTCCCAAAGTGCTGGGATTACAGGCGTGAGCCACCACACCCAGCTTATAGGATTTCATAGTTGTAATTGACGGAAGCTTATTCAACCCAGCAAGATGATGTAGAAAAATTATTGCACAATCCCTATTAATTGACTTCCCATTTAATAAAAAGTTAAGTGGATGTACAAGAGAGAAGCAACAATTAGAAGAGAGGGACAGACCATGGTGGTGATTGGCTGTCTTGTCGGTGGTTTAGAAAAGTTTTATTCTAGCAGAAATATTATCAAGAAGTGGCTTCCAAACTCTAAAAGAGAGCAATTGATATGGTATTTATTAATTCTGAAGAGCTGAAGTAACATTAGCAGACAAAGGCTTACGGCAGGAAAGTCGACTGAAGTTGCAACATGGCAAAGAGAAGCATATCGCTTGAGTATCATAGAATTCTAAAGAAAACTGGAGGAAAAACGAACAAACAAAAACATTTGCTGGTATTAAGTTTCCCTTCCAGAGATTGGATGTGTATTCACTATAGTTAAGATGTGAGGTTACGGGAATAGGTCTCCTTTGCAGTTTACGGCTGGTAAGTAGAAAAACAAATGGCAGAATAAAAGCAAATGGGAAATTTGAGGAATGCAGACTTGGAGTGTGGGTCAGAGCAGTCAGTTTGAATTTGCTAACTAACAGTAACGATTTGAGTAAAGGCTCAGGATACCAAACACACCAGGGTAGAGGAAGCATTCATCATATGAAGAGGAAGGTGGCTCTGAAATGCCTGAAAGTATTTGAAAGTAACAACAACAAAAGACGACAAAAAAAGAGAAGTGTTTTGTATTTGGCTGAATCATATTAAATTGCCATTTTCGTAGGACAAAGTAGGTTGAATGACAGCAAGTTGATATGGTTTGACCCAAATGCATTTCTTCCGGGTTGTGTTAGTTATTTACCTTGATAGAGAAATGATGCAAATAAACAGGAAGTGAAAGGCTCTGAAGAGACTGTAATATTTTCTGGTCAATAATTATAGAGTATTACCTTAATGAGAAATATTTACCAATATAAAAATAGAGATTCAGTAATTCCCCTTTCCTCTCTCTCTCCACCCAAATTTGAACTCAATCCCTCCACTTAATTCTCTTCTTTCCCGCCCCCCGCCTCCTTCCCACACCTCAAACACATTTCACTTTTCCTCTTCTTTACCTCTCTCTACTCGTTTCTAAGATTCAATGATCAATTGCTAAAAGCTGGATTTCAAGCAATGCCAGGGGCGGGGATGTGAACCTACCCCACGCTCTGGATCAACTCACTAGTTAATGGTAATTTATGATATTGGCACATCTCAGTAGAGACGGAAAATGCATTTCCGAAAGAAAGGCTGGCAATTAGTGTTGTTCTAAACAATGTATTTAAGGGAAAATAAAAATTCCTTTTCACTAAATATTAGAAAATTAGTTTTACTGTTCTTTTTAATACATAAATGGGTATTTAGCAGACATGAAGCAGAATGAGAGAATGAGGTTATTGCTTGTAATAAGATCCTTTTTTATAACTGAAAAAAATAGATCCTTGTAATAAGATCCTTTTCTATAACCTTAAGAAAAATAAAACAACAGTAATTTTATCCAAAATTTGTTTTTACTTCATCAAATTATAGCATACATATAGGAAAGTTACAATGTGCAAAACTCCTAAATGCACCTCCAGTTCAGGGGATTTTCACACCACCCACAGCAAGATGTGCATTATTTCCTACAGCTCAACAGGCTCCTTTGTGCCTATCCCTAGTCAATATCCCACAGATGCAGCCAATATTTTGAATTTCATTATCGGAAATTATTTTTGTCTGAAGTACAAATAATTTTTCATACGGAAATTTATTCTGTACAGCTTTGTAAGAGTCTTCATGTAAATATATTCAGAACAAACATCTCAAAAAATAAATCAAAAACATTTGAGACACAAATGACTCAGAAAACAAACAAGATTCAGATTTTTGATTGAGATA
This sequence comes from Homo sapiens, assembly GCF_000001405.40. Classification (NCBI taxonomy): domain Eukaryota; kingdom Metazoa; phylum Chordata; class Mammalia; order Primates; family Hominidae; genus Homo; species Homo sapiens. The sequence goes on along the minus strand of NC_000008.11, from coordinate 5,806,289 downwards.
CCAAGTCCTGCCCATCTGAGATGACCTGATATTCTGAGTACGGAGGGGCCGCACATTGTGGTAGCTCTGTTTTGGTCTTCAGCATCAGTGACATCTGTCAGTTTTTTAGAAGCCACAACACCTCCCCCTAGAAGGGAGCTGTCCAGAATGAGCCCTGTGCATCCCTGGAGGGAGATGAACAGGAAGCAGACATGTGGATTATTCATTACCAGTCTTAGTTTCTCTTCCTGATAAAATACATGGTTTCTAAGATGACAGTTAATGCAATAGGTGACTATTTAAGCCGAATTTACGCTGGCACACCTGGTCTACCAGGACGGCATCTGAGAAGAGTTGGCCAATGCAAATCATCCCAGAGAATCTGGGCTTTGTCATCTGACTATCCCCCCGGCCAATTCATCCCCAGCTTTCAGGGTTTTGTGGATTGCAGCATCTTGGTATTAAACATACCAAAATCTCAGGTCTTAAGTTATGCTCTATATATTTGATGTACAGTTCTTCCACTTATTGGTAAATAACTTTGGGCAAGAAACTTACTGTTTCTGAAATTCAGTGTGATCTTCGGAAAATGCAAGTGATTCTATTTGACACTGTGTTAGAAATTTAGTGAATTAACACATGTAAGATGCTTACAAGAATGTCCTGTGACATATCCCCAATAGCCAGGATGGGAACCTACCGCAGGCTCTGGATGAACTCACTAGAATTTATCCCCTTTGCCTGAAAATCATTAAACTTGCAACCATGATTGAGCCTTATCTTAGCCAGGCACTATGAACCCAGTTCTCGAGGGTGGAGACTTCACATCTGTTCCCACTTCTCCTCCAGATCTCCAAATGTGAAGAGTCTCTCCTCCACCTATCAATACTTTGGGTCAGCTTTCTCCATGTTTGCTCCCATCTTCCCTTTCAGAGCCTGGCAAGGTCAAAAGAGGAAAGCCTGTGGGAAGTTCAGAAACCCCCTAGCTCTGTGGTCCCCAGGGGCTTCACATTCTCCTGCTAACCCATATTCACCCTTTAGCAATTTGTTAAAGTTGTTAAATTACTGACCTTCCTAATGGGTTTTATATCATGAAGCAGTGTCTGTACAAGTAAGTACCTGCTGAAGCCCTGTTTATACCTGAAGGCACCTGTCTCTATCCAGGTTTTGAATTAATGGTTTGCCATGTGACCTTAATACATTCAATAATTTGTGATTGTCTAGATTTTTCTTATTATAAACAGAAAAATGACTCTCCTTCTCTCTATATTTCCAAGTTGAAGCTGGAAATCTTCATTAATTTTTAATTTTCCTTTTTATTTTCCTAAAGTACTTAAAAAGTGATGTAAAGCCTGATAAATACTGTTTAGCTTAAATATGTAAGTTTCTCTTTGTAGCATTTTTGTTAGTGTTTCAATTCAAATACTTTTTATAATTTTCAGATTTATGTACAACTTAGAACATGATCTACGGAACCAGAGTGTCTTGATTCATATTTCACTTCCCTTACTTTCTTGTTATATGATTTTCGGCAACTTATTTCACTCTACTCATTGGGTTTTTTCATTTGTGAAATGGTCATAAGGAAAGTAATACACATGTGGTAATTAGGAAAATTAAGTGAAATGATACATGTAAATCATTTAAAAGAGAGGGTGGCAGTATTAAGTAGTTAACAAATTTCAGTATTAATATTTATTATTTGGAACACATATTGAATAACAATACAAAGGAATATTTTGCTAATCCTCTTTGATATTATCTTTCATTATCATATATTATCAAGTATTTTGTGAGTAATATTTTCTTCCATATTTTAATATTATTCTTGTGTGGTTATATATTAATTTTTGTGTATGTTTGTTAAATTATATAAAAGTAGCATTATATAAAATACACATATTTCATAAATGTATAATTATGCAAGAGCCTTTACATTAGTTTGTTTTGAACATAATTTTATATTTTAGATACCTATCCATATTGACGCAGGTAGACAGTACTGATTTTACCTGTTGCATAATATTTTGCCATGAGACTATTTCATAATTTGTATATTTGTTTCCTTGATGGAGTTTTAGATTATATCAACAATTTCCTTTACAAGCAAAGCTAAAATTAGATCCTTATACATGATTTCTATTCACATGTGGATATATTATGAAGCACTGTAATGTCACAAAATAGAAACATCTTTTTAAAATAGGTATTTCCATATCTTTTTAGGAGGGTTTTAACCTATCAGCTTTATACGTGGATTCCTGTTTCTACACATCCTTGTTCATATTCACATTAGTAAAAAAGAATCTCTATATATTCTGGATTTATATATATCCTTCATTGAATTATTCACCTCATTGTTGCACACTGTTTAATTTCAGTAGATGTTTTAGGTAAATTCCCCTTTTGACTTCTTTGACTTTTGTTTGTTGGCTGTTACTGTTTTGTATAAATTTGGAAATGAGTTTTTACAAATTCTAAAAAAATCTTGTCATAATTTATCTTGGAACTGTATTGAAGTTAAAGATTATTTGGGGAATAGATTTCTTTATGATAAAGTCTTTGGTGTATCATGCAAGTATTAGACTATGCTCTTTATAATCTTCTATCACTTTTATTCATAGAGACTAATACAATTGCCTTAGAATAACTACTATTACTATTACCCTGTTTTTACCAGTACTGTTGTAGGAGATCAGTCAGAGTGGTGGGAGAAACTATAGGTGAAGGAGCAGGCCTTCTAAAAGGTCTGAAGGCTCTGCATAGCTTCGTGGAAGAATAAGCTGAAGGCAGCTGTTCTCTGACAGTGAAGCAGAGGGCAAGGAGTAAGTACAAGGAAGTGTAGGGGAATTTATCTTAAATTGGCATGTCTACTTATGTTGTCCAAAAACTGA